>NC_000007.14:90991627-91294657 GCF_000001405.40 Homo sapiens
TGTAGTTTGTGGCACATTGTATGTGCCCAGTAAATGCTTTTAGCCCAGAGGAAAAGAAAGATTTCCTGCCCCAAAAGTGTAAGAGTCAACACAGAAAACACACATGGGTTTATTAAGAAAGGTTAGACTTTCCATGGTTATTCAAAGGAGACCTGTGATTCTCCTTGATGTTTTGGTGATGCTGGAGTGAAGGTGGGTATAGCCTCAGAGGGATGCACTAGGTTGTCCACTCTTGGCTCTGCTTCTATTAAGATTTTGCATGTGAAACAGATCCCACTGCTGAAAGAAAGGTTGAAAAACCCTGGACTAATAACATCTTAAGGTCCTCCCTGGTCAATAGTTCTATGAAAAGAAAAAGTCTATGTGGAAGAAAAGTGTTCAGAAGAGATCCAGTGAAAATGAAGATGTTGCAAAAATAAACATTGAGTGGTTCATGTGTGGAGACATTAGATGGATGTTCTAATAAAGAAAGTTCTATGCTTCTAAGCGAATGGAAATGTTGGTAGCAAACTCCAGTAAGGTCATTAGTCTTACATGAAAGCTAAGACAGTGGGATATCCATCTATAGAATAGCTAATCACATTACTGCTTAAAAAGAAACTTCTATTAAAAGACAACCTGTTTGTGACCCAGAGATTTGAATTAACTCACATAGTGAAAAAACTTTTTTTACTTCAGTGTTTTTGCATTGGAGTACCACAAACTTTCTATAAAATGGAAAATGAGAACACTTTAATTAAATCATTCATTTTCTAAGTTATTCATTTATGCAACAGATATTTATTACGTGCTTACTCTGGGCTAAATAATCTTTTCATGGTTTGAGGAGACCGCAGTACACAAAATAACATTCCTGCTCTCATAGAACTGATATTCCTGTAAGGAAAGATAGACAGTGAGAAAATAAATATATAATGTGTTTCTTAAGTGCTATTCTGAGAGATGCCATTTTACATACCATGTTCTGGGGAGTTTTCTCTCAGAGGTGATACTTGTTCACTGAAGTTTGTAAGGGCACCAAACTCACAAATAACAGGGATCAGAGCATTTGAGGCAGAGGGAGTAGCAACTTGGGTGGGTTTAATGATAATAGTATTAAATGAGAATTCTCATGCCTGCATATGTTAAATTAAGGAACATTCTCCCATGTATTGAAGTCATCCTTTATATGAAGCATTTTCTTACTTGGGAAATGCTTGCTTTGTGTGGAACATTAAATTTCTGTATATGTTACAATTCAGGCATTAGATTGAGTGAATCCACGGAGTTTGAAGTACAACTGAATACGTATTCCAAGTAGGAATTATGCTGGGGCTAGGGATTTGGGCTTTCTGAGTCAGTTCACCATGAGAGTTAGTATAGATACAAGAAAATCGAAGTGTTTCTGTTTTGGAGAGTAGATGATAGTTCAGAAGGGAGAAGGGAGGAAGAATGTCCAGAGGATGAAGAGACCCAGAGAGTGCTTTTTTTGAAAGTCAAAAGTAGAAGAATTTCAAGAAGGAACTATGTATCAGCTGCATCAAATACTCAGAAAGCTGAGACAGGCCACTGGTTGGTGACTTTTGAGTGCTGAATATGTGAAGCCAGGTTACAATGGATTTAAAGGGTGAGTGGGTAGTGAAGAATTGGGAGACACTGAGCCTGTAGACAACTTTGAGAACTGGGTCAATGAAGAGAATTGATGTCACCTTGAGGATATTTTACAATCAATATTCATATATTTTATAATCTAAGTATTTTTAAAATAATGAAAACCAGTATATTTGTAAGGTAAAGGACACCAAAGATCCAAAAAGGCATACTGGATGGATCAAGGTATTGGAGCAGGCAAGAGAGGATGGGTGGAGGAGACAGTGCCTTGAAATGTGGATGAAAAATTTTTCTGAAAGAAGAAGGGGAAGGAAGGAGGGGGACATTTCAATAAATGTTTTAGAGGAGAGAGAAGAAATTTGAAGATTTTATGATCTGCATGATTCCTACGTGAAAGGGAGTGGGGTATGGCTGGCACAGTGATGTGCATATGGAGGGCAGATGTTGAGGGAATGGATAATATTCATAATGCTGGTGAAATAATAAATGATTTGCAACTGATATGATAGGAAATAGTTGCTGACTAGATTTTTAATCTATTTTTTATCTGAGACATTATTATGGAAATAGAAATGTTGTCTTCCCAATTTGTGATTTGTGATAGTTTATTTACTTTTCTATTAACATAAGCTTTTATATCTTCCTACCACCTGTAAATATTTCCCAGTTGTAGTAATTTTTACCAAAGACTTTTCTGGAGGCTATGGTTTACCTCTGTGATCTGTCTTAAATGTTTTGAAAAAAATTTAACCTAATGTATTGCTGTTTAATATTACTATCTTTTTAATATACATGACTTTATTTTTAACATATATGACTACTTCCTGGTTGTTCTGGTTATTTTTTCTCATGTAACCACCTCAAAACCCCCTAGTTTAAATAAACAATAGTCATTTTTAAATTTTCTTTTATGGTTTCAGGGTCAGGAATTCAGTAGGAGCTTGGCTGGGCAGCTCTGGACTTGGGTTGCAGACACATGGTAGCTGGAGCTCGACTAATCAGGGCTGGAGCAGTTGGGACTAGCCAAACATTCCTGTTTCTTTCTTCAGAGTCTTAGGGCTCTCCAAGGGTTCTTGCCATGTGGGCTGGTTTGGACTTCCTTATATCATGGTGGTTGGGTTCCAAGAGTGGGTGGCCCAAGAGGACCAGATGGAAACTGTGTGGTTTCTCTTAATTTAGCTTCAGAAGTCATGCAGTAACTCTCTCCTGGTCAGAGCAGTCACAAACTCTCACCCAAAGTGAAGGGAAGGGGACATAGATCCCATTTGTACATAAGAATGTCAAGAACGCTGGGACTGTGTTTTCAAGCTGCCACACTGACCATGTAAATTTTCATTAGAGCATATCACCAAGTCGAGCTGATAAACAGCTTTGTAGGGAAAAACTCCAGGAAACAATTTTATCAAGTTCCTGAATTTTTTGTTTTTCCCATACTCCTTATAGCCATTATATTACTGCTTCCCGTGCTAAATATAAAGCATGAATTGTCAAGAGTGTTACTTCGTGGGTCATGAGGTCCCTCATTTGCTCACCCTTTTTTCTTCCCTTTTTGACTAACAAGTTCATGGATGTGTCAGACTGAAAAAGATGGCGAAATACTGCCATAGTGTGACACATCTGAGGCAAGTGAGGAGGTGGTGACACTTCTTAGCAGATTCCCTAAATGTTCTCCATAAAGCGTGTTTTCATAATTCCCATTCTGCCTTTGAGTAAAACTTTCATTTGCAGAATACTTCCCCACGTAAATCTGATTTCTCAGAACATTACATATGTTATCTCTTGAGGTGAGCAGCATCTAAGATGGCTCCTAGTGTGCCCACCGCCTGGCGTTTATGCCCTTGTGTAATGCTTTCCCCTTGAGCGTGGGCTGGACCTCGTTACTCACTTCTAATGGATAGAATATGGCAAAAATGATGGGATATCACTTCTGAGACTAGGTGACAAAATGATTGTTACTTCTTGCTCACTTTGTCTTCCTCTCTTACCGGCTCGCTCTGAGGGAAGCCAGCTGCCATGTTACAAGTTGCTCTGAGGAGGGGCCCTCATATCAAGGAACTGATGTTTCCAGCCAACAGCCAGTGTAAACCTGAGGCTTGACCTAAGCTTTGTGAATGAGCTTAGAAGTGGATGCCTCCCCAGAGGAGACCACAGCCATGGTTAACACCTTAATTGCCCCCTCATGAAAGACTGAGCCAAAGGCACCTAGCCAAGATTCATTGGAATTCCTGACCAAAGAAAACTGTAAGATAATAAGTGTTTGTTACTTAAAGCCACTGGGTTTTGTAGTAACTTGTTGCACACCAATAATTACCTAATATAACTCTTTTATAGAGATATACTAATAGATAACTAATATATCCCATGACCAAGAAAGAGTAGATACTATTATTACTCTTATTTTATAGCAGAGAAAATTATCTTTGGAGATCATATGAACTTCCCTAAGAAGACATGTTTAGTGTGTGCCAGAACTGAGACTAAATGCCAAATCTGCTTACTCTTTCATCAGAATACTCTGTTTTGTCTTTTTGTTTGGTTGTTTTTGCTCTGATTCTTAATCAGGAGTATGTCTTAGAGTTATTTGTTGAATGCACATTCTTAGACCCCACTGAGGATTCTGAATCCGAGTCTCAGGGGATGGGACATCCCTCTGTAGTAAAACAGATAAGCAGTCCCTGGTTGATGAGTTCTCTTAAGAACTCTACTCTAAAAGATACATGGAATTCTTTGAAATGTTAAGCATGTTTTAAATTTCCTGGCCTTATGTGACAACCTTAAAACCTAGATAGTGTGGACATTCTATCTGGAATGTGGAAGTCATTCTTCGGTTAGACTGAGTCCTTTGTTTCTCACAGAGATACTTTTGATAGGACCTCAAGGGACCCTCCCTTATAATGAGGATATTCATGGCTTTGTGCTACTAGTATCAGGTGACTATTATTAGAATTGCATACACAAGCAAATGAATATTTGTAATCATCATGTCCCAGCACTGTGACTTCTTATCTTAGCTGGCCACTTGATTGACACTCTGTTTTCCACTCTCATTTTGCAACTTACCTTTTCTTATGCTTCAGAAGTCTTTACCCTCAAGGATAAATCTGTCCAGGATGTTAATCTTTTAGTGAGGCATGAGTTCATTTAAAACCTGACCTTGTATCATCTCTTGCCCAACGCCCTGCAAGAAAAAAGCCTCCTCAAAATATTCTATCCTAAATTGATTTCTTATGTCTCACTATTACATAACTTGATAAAAAGCTATGGCTGTTTGATTAAGATTTATCATAAAATAATCTACCCAAGTCATTGAAGCATTTCCCTTAGAGAACAGTTTTATTCTAAGTCAAGTTAACAGATTATCTGACCTTGGAGCTGAATTTGTCCTCTATCTCATTTGTCTCTTTTGACAATGACAGTCATACGTTTCCAGGTAATGTGTATGTATGGAGGCTATGGCTTTCATATTCTTACTAAAATCTCTTTGTGGGTTTAGTTGTACTGGAAGTGTTGAAAACTGTATTTTAGATATACCATTCAATTAAATTTTTCTTAGTATAATACCTAATATAAATTCAGGCTTCTATTAATTTTGAATAACTCTAGACATGAAAATTGTCAGTGAATCTGAGTCTCTGTGTGGGCATATATTCTTCTCCAGGACAAAAGCAAATGTCAGTATTGTCATATTTTACCTTTCATGTTGGTCAATCCCTGGTAAAGATGCAAGAATTGGTTTAGAGACACATATGGTGCTATTAAACTTCTGTGTCTAAGTATCTGCCAGTTTTTCCTCTTCCTCTCTCTCCAATGTCTAAATATAACCCAACATTCAAAATATATGAAATGTTCCCCCTCACCAGTGAATTTTTCTCTGATTTTTCAATTGGAAATTTTCTTTCCTCCTCCTGGACCTCTTGGTCTCTTTGCCCAAACTTTCTGGTGTCTCTCTTCAGTGTCTGCCTTGCACTGCAGCTGTTTTGCTCTTATTCTCCTAATAGAGTTTAGGATTTGAGAGTAGAGGTAAGAATATAAGGACTACTTTGTGTGGAGCAAACAGTATGTGCCCTGACATGGCTTAGATATTGACTTGTGATGACAGAATTATTGCAGAGGCCAAGGACATTTCTTGAACTTCTCTGTGTCCCTTTTTAAATACATCTTTTGGAGAATTCTGTGGGAATGAAGTTAGAACCAAAGTTTAAAAATTAAAGATGGTTTTCCTTCTTTCATTTGTTTGTTTAAAAATAGATGCAAATTCATGCTTTTTGTTAGTTTCTCCTGTTGCAGTTCTTTGTTCTAATAATACCTAAATCATTAATGGCAGATAACATTTAACATTCAGATGCAGAGTTCATTTCCTTGAAGCTCAAGAGAACAAATTACTATCAATTTGCTCTAAGTAAAATTTGGTATTAAAAATGTTTCATGTTTGCCAAGTAGAAAGTAAACAGCTGAGAGGTGTTAATAAAACCTTTTTGGGAGAATAATATTAGGTTCTTTTCTTGGCTCTCATATTATTCATAATAAAATGAAATACTGCTTATCTTTCATATAGAATAGTGATATATGCACATTTAATTTGATTATTGACTCTTGGGATGTGATTCAAGTCATTCAGCAGTTGTGAGTGTCTTTAGTAAGCCTGACAGTGGGCTTCAGTGAACTTCTATTTTGAAGAAGTTTGACAAAATTTTTATTGAATGTTCTTTCTACTGCTTAGTACTGGGAATGCCACTCTGAGGATATTATGAAGGTAAAATAATAAAGGAACTAAAATTGATTTTCAATTCCTTATTAATTTTCTACCTTATACCAAAAATCTTTTTTAGGCATAAATAATCAGTGCATAGAGTGGCTCATCTCATTATTTTGATCTTCCTAATATACCATCATGTCAAATTAGATGTGAAATGGAAAAAGGATTAACTTGAATGACATTTTAACCACCTTTCTAGCAAAAAATATTTTAGATGAATATAATGTGTTTTTTGTTTATCTTTCCAAATGTTAAGCTAATTTTTACAAGCAATAAAATATGCTATTATATGAGAAATCTCAGTACCTTCCACTTAATTTTGTTGTCAACCTAACACTGCTTTAAAAAATAAAATACATGATTTAAAAAAAGGATGTTGTGGATGAATAAAAACAGAATACTGTCCACAAAATCCATTCTTTTTTTTTGAGGTAATAGTAAGATTGTCCTTTCAGGAATTTCATCTTCTGTCAGTGAGACACAGTGCAGAAGTGAATAGACACTTGGGCAATAAAAATATTTATTCTCTGACAGTTTTATGGAAACTGTGGTAGGTGGGGTAGAGAGGTATCTTAGTCCATTTTCTGTTGCTGTAATAGAATACCACAGACTGGGTAACTTAAAAAGAAAATAGGCCGGGCGCGGTGGCTCACGCCTGTAATCCTAGCACTTTGGGAGGCCCAGGTGGGCGGATCACGAAGTCAGGAGATCAAGATCGTCCTGGCTAACACGGTGAAACCCCGTCTCTATTAAAAATACAAAAAAATTAGCTGGGTGTGGTTGCAGGCACCTGTAGTCCCAGCTACTCGGGAGGCTGAGGCAGGAGAATGGCCTGAACCCGGGAGGCGGAGCTTGCAGTGAGCGGAGATCGCGCCACTGCACTCCAGCCTGGGCGACAGAGTGAGCCTCCATCTCAAAAATAAAATAAATAAATAAATAAATAAATTTACTTCTTAGAGTTCTGGAGGCTGGGAAGTGCAAGGCTGAGGGGCTGCATCTGGTGAGGGCCTTCTTATGTCGTAACATCGTGGAGAGCATCAGATGGCTAGAGGGCAAGAGCATGTCAGCTCCGGTTCTCTTTTTCTCTTCTTATAAAGCCACCAGTTCCATCATGGGGGAGTTTATCTAGTTCTAATTACCTCCCAAAGGCCCCATCTCCAAATGTCATCAACACGTGAATTTGTGGATTAGGTTTCCAAAACTCGAAGTTTGGGGGAACACATTAAAACTGTAGCAGGAGGTGGTGCCAAAATAAGCAAATGCCAGGCTATGAAGCAGAGGAATTAACGGTATAATAGGGGATCAAGCTGAAGCATTAAAAACCTGTCACCAGGGCCGGGCAGGGTGGCTCACGCCTGTAATCCCAGCACTTTAGGAGGTCGAGGTGGGCAGATCATGAGGTCAGGAGTTTGAGACCAGCCTGGCCAACATGGTGAAACCCCGTCTCTACTTAAAAAAAAAAAAAATTAGCCAGGCATGGTGGCGTGTGCCTGTAGTCCTAGCTACTTGGGAGGCTGAGGCAGGAGAATCACTTGAACCTGGGAGGCGGAGGTTGCAGTGAGCCGAGATCATGCCACTGCACTCCAGCCTGGGTGACAGAGCGAGACTCTGTCACAAAACAAAACAAAAACCTGTCATCAGTACTCTGGGGTAGGAAAAACTGTTGGGGGACATTGCTGCTGACCTTCTCCTTCCTGTGTATTTAAGTTGTTATGAATTGGTTAAAATGGCAGCATTCGCTTATTTGAGCAGAGCTGTGTCAACATTACTTCAAAAAAGGTAAGAAATGCGATACCGTATTATCATTCACACAAAACTCAGCAACTTTTAATAGAAAATAATCAACCTTCTACTCTTGAGTTTTAAGAGTGGCCTATTTGTTCAAACATAGGTATTTTGCGGTTTACAAAAAATTATTATTACTTAGTAGTATAACTGTTCTGTCTCAGCCACCACTTTAGCATTTCTTTAATACCAATTTGAAAAAAGTAATGACTGGGCCATATGAAATAGTTTCGTCTTCTCTAGAGATGTATACAATTATTTGACTTCTAGTTTCTAAAGTGGTGATTTTATTTATGAAAATACCACAATAAGCAAGCTGAATTTTTTTTTATTGCTTCAGTAAGCCAACTGCTTGGTATTTCTTTGCTTAGAAAGTTAGCTGAAAAATACACAGCAGAATGCTCACTTCCTCTTGCTTTTTGACTTACCATCCCCTGTAGGCCTGCAGCCCAAGAATGGAGTTTGACAAATGCCAGGAATCTAGCCTATAATTTGTGTTTAGTGTTCAAAACCCTATACTTAAGTAAAAAGAACTACAAACCAGTCTTCTGTAGGCTACTTCCAATTCACTGCTCAATATTTTGCCATCTCTTTTTATGTGATCCTGTGGCTATGGCTTACTTTTTGCCAAAAAACAGCTGTGGCTTACTTTTTGCTGATGTACACACTTATTCCAGATTGTTTCCACCAATAGCCAGGCCTGACATGCCACACCATATGTTTATAACATTGGGATAGGATTCAAGAAAGTAATAGAAGGATATAGCCGAGATTCGTGTTAGTATAAGTAGTTTATTAAGGTGTTGCTACAATGACAGAGAGTACTCTTTATTCCCTCCACATAACCCAGGCTGCTCTTTGAGAACTTTTTTTGCTTCAGGGCTACCTGTGACAATATGTAGGACAAGTTTTAGAAAACAGAAAGACAAAGATGAGAATTTGTTTTAAGAGGCTCTTTCCCAAAGTCTTAAGAAAGGAGATTATCTAAGTGAGGTCTTCACATTTAATGACATTCTCAAAACAGCAGTTTGTGAAGCGAATCATCTAGAATGTTTATGCTTTGGGAAGTTCAGGAGGTCAACAGAGTAACTAAGAGGATTACACATTTAAAACTCAGTGCATTTCTAAATGCCTTTATTCATATTTGTATGGTCTTCGCTGGAATAAAATTTATGGGAGCAAGCTATTCATGTCAGGTTAGTTTTTGGAAATACATAACTAAATTCAGAAATAGCAACTACAGATCAGCAGGCAAAAATATTAGTTTTTTGTTATTGTTACTGTTTTTTTTGTCTTAAACTCTGAAAACTCTTAAAATTAATCTTTACCTTTGTGCTCTGAAGCAGCTTTTGGTTAGAGATGCTTTCTTTTCTTTTGTTCTAGTCCATCTGTTTATGAAAAAATGTTATCCCAATGAAATAGGCTTTTAAATATTGGGGAGAAACAGTATACTGTCTAGGATGACAGATTAATTCCCTTCTTTTCCCCTTAAGGGAGACTAGTAAGAATTTGAAGACATATTGATGCTGATAGCTTACCCCTAAGGTCTGTGTGTTCTACCAAAAATAATGAAAGAAGGAAATTTAGTCCTGCTACTGACTCTCAGAATACGTATCTTTGATAATAGCAGCCTGTCGCTTCAGATGGTAAGATAAAAAAATCACTCAGAAGAGAAAGAAGAAAGCAAATGAAGAGATTTTATCCACGCTGTGTTGCAGCTTAACCTGCTGGATAAATAATATAGTGATAATGGAAATACAATATGAAGCTTCCTTCAATAGTGGCTCCGTTTTTTATTGTTTCTTTCATGGGAAAGGCAATACTTTTTTCAAATATGAATATAAAGAAACTTTCTTTTTATCCTCTTACTCTCTCCTTTACTTCTATTTAGTATTTCATTAATCCCACTCAAACCCAAGAGGGAAAATTAGGATATGTGGCAGTAATTTGCGTATGTATCTCCTAGCAATGTCCCAGGAACAAAGTTGGTTGAGCCTAGCACCCTGTGTGCTACCTCCATTAAAATAACCGACACATAAACCTTTCATGTAACCAGAGCTGTCAGAGCTTAAACCCAGTTGTTGTCTTTAAAGCTCTTTGTCTTTGCATTACACTATGTTTAAGCCCAATGTAAGTGATACAACTTAACCATTTGTAATGAACTAATGGAGTTTATGACTCAAGGAGGTGATAGTAAATATGGAAGTATGTCAAGTTTATTTAAGGTAAATTCTGGAATGAAAGATTACCTCTGGACTGGTTGTTGGAAGACCCAACCTGTAGTCCCGTCTATTTGTAACTGGGTTTAAGGAGGGTTTGATTTATTTACCTATAGAATGAGGTTAAAGAATTCATAGCCTGCAAATAAAAAACATATTAGTGTAATTGTTTGTTGAAATGAAATTTCACCAATAATGCCAAATTTCCCCTGTGTAGTATCCCCCCAACCTCCTTAGAGTGTCTCCAAGAAAGTACAGGACTCCAAGGAACATACTATGAGAAGCACTAGATCAAATGATGTTTACAGTATCTCCAAAATTGTTTCATTTTCTCCACACTAGTTATATTTGCTTTATGTTATAATATCTCTTATATATTTAAAAATTAATGTCATAAAGATTTCTTTATGCCTTTATGTTCTGAATGTATTACCTCCATTAAAATATTTGTCTTCTGATTTTTCTTAGCTGTTTAATTATTTTGATCACTTGTGTAGTGTAAGTATTTTGATCCCACAGCAGTTTTTTCCATAACTCCTAGTATGAACTGCCTTTTACTAAAACTAAGTATTCATAAACCAACTCAACCAATATGTATTGAGTATCTACTTTATGTCAGTTACTGTGTTAGAACCTAGGATGTAAAAGCAAACAAGACATTGTCTTCACCTTCAGGGATCTCACAGTCTGGCCAAGGAGAAAGATAGGAGGCAGATAGTCATGACACCATGTGTTAAGTGCTGAACCCCAGCCTCTTGAATCTAGCCTCGTGATTAATTTATCTTCTTGGATGTTTAATAAGAATATCAGATGTGGCCGGGCCCGGTGGTTCACAGCTGTAATTCAGCACTTTGGGAGGCCGAGACGGGTGGATCACCAGGTCAGGAGATCGAGACCATCCTGGCTAACACGGTGAAACCCTATCTCTACTAAAAATACAAAAAATTAGCCGGGCATGGTGGCGGGTGCCTGTAGTCCCAGCTGTTTGGGAGGCTGAGGCAGGAGAATGGCATGCACCTGGGAGGCGGAGCTTATAGTGAGCCGAGATCACGCCACTGCACTCCAGCCTGGCGACAGTGCAAGACTCCGTCTCAAAAAACAAAAAACAAACAGATGCAATCTATCTAAGTCATAGCTCTTAATATATCAAACAAAATCATTCAAATTTGTTCCTCTCCAATTTTTCCTATTTCAGTGAATGGCAGTTTAAGAGTCACTCTTAATTCTTATCCTGTCCTCATCCCATGCATCAGATGTATCAGCTAGTTCTACTAATTCTAGTTGTAAAATAGATATTGATCCACAGTTTTCCACCATACTAGTCCTAGTCATCATTATGTCTCACCTGGTCACTGTCGCAGTCTCCATATCACCTCCATTTTGCCCCCACCCCTTGACAACACTCCTGTCATCTTAAATGGCAGCCATGGTGTGTTAGCTAGCGTATTGGTTTGCCTACTGAAAAAGAGGCAAAAATGACATGTCTTAGAAAAAAATAAATCGTTTGTTCCTTTCTCATGTGTAATGCAAGCTGGTAGATGGATGGGCTGTGCTGCATGAAGTCCTTCAGGTTCCTGGGTTTCTTTTATCTGGGGTCCCTCTCTCTCCTTGGGTATTGCCATCATCTACATAGTAGAAGCTGGGTAACCACCACAGCATCAAATTCCAGAAATCCAGGAGCTTCTTCCTAAAGGTGTGACCTAGAAGTTGCACACTTCCACCCATATAATTTTGTCCAGAACCCTGTTACATGGCCAGAACAAGATAATAAGGAGATTGGGAAATGTAACCTCTAGCTGGGTCACTGGGTGTTCATATAAAATTCAAGAAAATTGATTGTTTATTGGAGAAAATAGAAAATGATTATGGGGGCAGGCAGTAAGTAAACTCCATTGCCCAGGGTGGTTATTTTAAAATGTCAGATTATGCTGGTCCCCGTGTATCACCCTTTGATAACTTGCAGTATACATTGACTAAAAAGCCAGATTCCCCTAAACACACTGTATCAAAATATGTGGAATAGAGCTAAAGCAGTGCTTAGAGGGAAATGTATAGCATTAAAATCTTATACTAGAAAACAAGAAAGATTTAAAATGAATGATCTATGCGTTCATACTACAAAGTAGAAGTATAGAAGCAAATTAAATTGAAAGCAAGCAGAAAGAACAAAATGATAAATATGAAAGAAGAGATATATGAAATTGAAAACATAAAACCAGTAGAAAACTGCGATGAAATCAATAGCTGGTTTTTTGAAATGATTAGTAAGTGTGATAAACATCTAGCCTGACTTACTAAGAAAAGAAAGAAGAGATGTCACTTTCCGTTCTGAAGACATTAAAAGGCTAATAAAGGAACATTGTGAATAAATATATGCTAATAAAGTTGATAACTTAGATGAAATGGACAAGTTCCTTGAAATATACAAACCTATTAAAGCTTATTTGAGGAGGTACAAGTAACCAATCTACTGGGGAGTGGTATTGGTGAGGGGCATTTCCAACTATTTTCTTTTAAGCCTAAAGGTGTGTGAGCAAGGTCAATAGAAGGACAAAGCCAGTATTAAAATTTTGGATTTTGAAGGAGACTCCTATTTCCTTAAAGAATATCAATTGATGTCATCTTCTGGTAGTAAGTTGTTGGTAAGTTGGATGACTTGGAACCTAAAGGACACAGGGGAAGTTTTGAAGTGAAGCGGTGAGTAGCGTGCAGATCTGACCATGGTAAATTAATATTGAAATTAATGAATAGCACTGAGGCCCAATTTGAGGTTTAAAGTTGTTGCATTCACCAATGGATGGTTATCATAGAAGTTTCCTGTACCAATCAGGGTTCAGTCTGGTCAAAACCACACTATAATTTGAACAAGGATGGCTTAATATACTTGTGAACTATTTACAAGGGATTTGCTACTAAAAGGATATAAAAGAAAAATCTGAAGAATACCCTGAGGCTGAGGGAGAGAACCCAAGAAAGAAACCAGCGTGGAAAGGCTCTCCCTCGCCAAGTTCAGATTCAGAATCTCATTGGAGAAGGAGTGGTGTGGTCCACTGGGTGATGGAGAGGTTCATTGTGTTACCCTGGGCCAGATCTGGCCCATAGCAGCAGGACAGAGGCTGGTGGCGTGAGATTCCAGGTCAGCATTAGCTCACTGGTGGCTTCCCTCTGGGTGCCAGTGGGCCCAGGTTGGTGGGCAGGGCATTGTGAGCAGGAAATCCCCTCCTGGGTTCTAGCAGGCTGAGGCTGGTGAGCCAGCAGGGAACTGCTGACAAGGGCTGGAAAGCTGGAAGGTGAACACCACTTCGTGGTGGGTGCACTGCTGGGAACACAAGCCACTGGATCAAGATCCTTCCTCGTTCAGGGTCCCTCCAGCACCATCTACGGACAAAACTTAGCATCTTGTCAGCTGGCAGGGGAGAAATATTCCAATATCACAAGGAGGCAATGGAAGATACCCTTGGAGTGGAACAGCATTACACGTAAGCAGAAACTTAAGGTCTACCCTGAGCACTAATTAAAAATTTCAAAGGCTTTATTTTTTTAAATCACACATGAATACATATCATTTTATTATTAACCAAAGGAGAAATAAATCAATCTTACACATTGTGGGTCAAAGGTTATAGCTCCTAGTCCAAGCAAGATGACAGCTGAATTCCAATTCAGTTGACTTGTGGTCAGGGCACCCTGGAACATAAGCAATTTAAACTGAGTTTTCTACACTTGGATAAAATGGCACATTTTGGCAGAATTTTAAGGTTTACAGTTTCACATTCCAAGGTGTGGCTGTTGTACCATTCTGACACAGAATTGGCATCTCTAATTAACGTTATGTAAAACAGAGGCCTGTGAGGCAGAGCTGGAGGAGACCGTTCCTTGTGAGGCAAATAGTGGTATTTTTAGAACCAAACCGGATTTTTCTTTTGGGGTCCACATGGCACTTAACAGATGGTGATGTGGGCGACTGTGGTTTAAGATCTGACTCGGTTCATAAAGACACCCAGTCTTGTCCTGGTCCCACCCTATAGGCAGTGATGGCTCCAGGCTCATCCAAACAACTCTGCAACAAGATGGTGTCAGCCATCCACGTGGGTGGACACCGCTGGACCCCGTAGACAGGCAGCGCCTGGACTGCAGGGCATCTGGGAACTCAGCCTGCTTCAGCCTGCTGGCGATGTTCAGAATTAGCATAAGCATGCTTATTTTAATTTGGAAAAGAACTTGAAGTTTTTCCCCTCATGGCTCTTTTTAGTTCTTAAAGAATATAAGTTTCCATTGAAACTACCCTTCCCCAAAGGCTACTACCCTTCTTTGAATTGTTCTTTAATATTCCATTCTGTCTGCTATATAGGCTGCATTTTTTCAGAAACCAATTCTGGCAAGTTAAGTAGAAAGAAGAGAGAAAGCCATTTAACATGTGCTCATTTTCTTTTTTCAGAAAACATTACACATAACTCCTGGATAGAAATTCCTTACTACCAACACACGTGCTACTAAATTCATTTTCTTAATTTGATCACATTTTATTTTTAAAAATAATTTGTTCCCTATATCAATATCCTGTTCCACTTATTTGAAATTTATTTGATCTTGTCTTTGTGATTTGTTGAATTAAAAAGTACTCAGAATTCCACTAGATTTTGGAAATATGTAAATTTAAAAATTAAAGTTATCTCCAACCTCACTATAATTCCCTGTCTGGTAATGTTTATTAAAACTTTCACTTATATATTTTCTTTTATGCCCATGCAATCATTCACATAAACAGTATGTGTTTGTGAGTGATGTGTGTTTCACCCCAAAATGATACAAACATCGTTTTCAACTTGCCTTTGTCACCTAAATCAGTCACGGATAGCTTTCTCAGCAATTTCATATAAATCTTCATTTTGCTTGAACAGTTGCATAATGATCCATTCTATGGCTGTTACATATTTATCCCACCTATTCCTGAAAATTTAGGTCATGCCAATTTTGTTTTTGTTTTTGTTTTTACTGTCATGGAACGACAAGCCTGCTGCATCCTTGTTCATACTCAGAGCTTTATGCACTCATATGTTATCTTGGTAGAAACGATTCCTAGAGGAGGATTGCTGGGTGCACTTTGAACATTTTTATAAATTTTGACAAATAATGCTCCAGAACTCTTGAACCAGTCTACACTCCCATCAGCAGTGATACATGCACCCTCCCATCCCACCTTAGTGCCAGTGTTACTGACTCTCCACTAGAAGCTGCCCTCTGCCTGGACTGGTTGGCACTTGAGTTAACATTTTTGTTCAACCGTGATTTGCTTTCCTAAGACACAATAAACTCAACAAAACCTGGTTTTCAATCTTAGATAATTTGCCGCAGTAGCATTATTCCCTGGAGAACAGTATCAGACCAGACTTTCCTGGGACTTACCAAAGCATACACTGTGCATAGTCAGGTGTGGGCCACACCACTAAGTTAACCAGGGTCAGTTTTCCACATCCCATGGAAAGGGAGATTAAGTTATGTTAGTTATTTTCTACACCGTATGCATTTCCAGACAGAACACTGCTAGACACATTTATAAAATGTATAACAATCAGATAACTGTTACCAGTAATTGGCAGCCAAGCAAATCCACCCCAGCTACAAATCCACCCACCACAGGAGCAAAATAAATGTTATTTTTCCTTTTTCCCAGATGAATAGAACCCTCAGATTCATTTCAGCTGTATAGAATGAAAAAGCCTTCCAGCTAGCAGCTGTCAGTAAACTGTTCTTTTTTTCTGTATAGACAATATAACATCAATAAAGATAGTTTGTGAAAACAGGAGGGAGGAAAAAAAAAACAAAAATCCTGACAAGTACTTTATTTTTATTTTTACACATGTCCTTCTATGTCCATCTGTCAGTATCTTTATGTGCTTGAAATCTTTTTATGAATACATTTTTACATTATATTTTCATTATAAACACAATATTTCATTAGATACTCCATGTAAGAGTTGCAGCCTTTGTGGTCAGTGTGTGTATGGTTCAGTGAGGGATGGTGCTGACCTCCCCAGAAAAGACTTCTGCTTCTTTAGATATTCCAGTATTGGATTAGGATTGCTCATTCTGGGTATACCAGAGCCTTACAGGGTGCCTAGAAATGGGAGCCAGTGCCGGGAGAAGGCCAAAAAAAAAAAAAAAAAACAAACAAAAAAAAACAGTGGATGGTGGAGGCAGCATTCGTTGCAGTAATTCCACTCAAGAATTTGTTGTCTGACACTTCACAAAGCTCTGCTAACTCAAGGTGAAGCCAGCTAGCAACCTGAAATTGTGAATTTAGTGTGGCTGGCGGGATAACCAGAATAATCAAGGGTGAGAGAAAGACAGGCAGGTGAGGAAAATGAACAAACAGCTACCTGAACAAGCAGTGCAGCCTGTGATCTCAGTTTAGAATAAAGACCAAATGTAAACTTTCTTAAATTCAGACTGCATTTGAAGTCATTGTTTGAGGTTTCATGTGTTTTTGTTGTTTGTTGTTAATTTTGCTCCTTCCTTCCCTCCCTCCCTTCTTGTATTTGTATTATGTCCCCCAAATGCCTATTATTTGGCAGTAATTTTTTTTTCTTAAAGCCTTTAATATCAGAATCTCAAAAAGACTGGAACATATCAAAGTGAGTGGGGGAGAATTTGCAGTTGGAATAAGCATATTCAGTTTTTCTTTTTCTGTCAGGATACTTGATTACTTCTGAAATTTTAAATAACAGTCATGAAAGGCTTAAGGGTTTTATATTTAAAAGAGGGTATTGAGTTAACTAAAGTGTAGAAATGCTACTGTACAAGAATACAAAGTTGTATTCCATGTTAAATTTTTACCTCTTTATGTCATTCTTTTTAAAAATTTTAATTACTTTATCAGGGTATAATTGACATACTGTAAATTGCATGTTTAAGGTGTACAGCTTAAGTTTTGACATGTGTATAATCCCATGAAATCATCACCACATTCAAGATAGTGATCTATCCATCATTCCCCCTCAATTTCTTTGAACCTCCTTGTAGTCCCCCCTTTCCTTCCCTCTTTCTGCTTCCATCCCCAAGCGACTACTGATCTGTCTGCTGTCACTGTAGATTAGTTTGCATTTTCTTAAATTTTGTATAATTGGAAACATAAGTTATCTACTTTTGATTTTTGCCCTGGCTTTTTTTAGTGAGCATAACTATTTTGAGATCCATCCATGTTGTTGCTAGTGTCAGTTGTTTATTCTTTTTTTTATTGCCAAGTGATATGCCATTGTATAGATATTTCACACATTTTTTAAACTCTTCACCTGTTGATGGACATTTTAGTTTCCAGTTTTGTTGTACCTTTCTATTACAAGTAAAACTGCTGTGAACATTCATGTAAAATTCTTTATGGGACATGTTTTGTCTTCCGTTGGATTCCCGTAAGAGTGGAAAGCTCAATCAATACGGTGGGTGTATGCTTAACTCTTTTAAAAACTGCCAGTCTGTTTTCCAGTGTTGCCATACCATTTACATTGCCACCAGCAGTGTATGAGTTCCAGTTGTTGTACATCTTTAATTTTAGACGTTTTAATAGGTATGAACTAATATTCCATAGTGGTTTTAATTTGCATTTCTCTAATGATTAATGGTGAGCATCTTTTCATGTACTTGTTTTCCATCTATATGTCTTCTTTGGTGAAGTGTTTGTTCAGATCTTTTGTTCCTTTTTTATTGGATTACTAATTTCTGATCATTGAGTTTTGAGAGTGCTTTATTCTGGATGAGAACTTTATCAGTTATTTGTAAATATTTTCTCTCAGTCTCTGGTTTGCTTTCTCATTGTCTTCACAGTTTCTTTTGAAGAGCAAGAGACATAATTTTGATGAAATCCCAAGAAATCTTGATCTACCCCATGGTCACAAAGATTTTCTTCTGTTTTCCTCCAGAGGTTTTATAGTTTTAGGTTTTATGTTTAGGTCTAGGATCGATTTTTAGTTAATTTTTGTTTATGGTGCCAGGGACAGATTAAAATTCCTTTTTAAATTTTATTTTTGACATATAGTTTTTTAATTTTTCCATTGCCATTTGTGGAAAAGACTATCCTTTCTCCACTGAATTGCTTTTGCAACTTTATTGAAAGTCAGTTGGCCATGTGTGTATAAGTATTCATAGACTGTTTCATCTTGATGTCAGTGCCACACTGTCTTGATTACCGTGGCTCTATAATAAGTTTTGAAAGTTAGGTTGTATAAGTCATTCAACTTATACAGACTTTTCTGAAGTTTGGCTATTTTAGATCCTTTGTATTCCCATGTGAATTTCATAATCTGCTGATCAGTTACTACAAAAAAAAAGCCTGCTTGGTATTTAAATGAGATTATATTGAATTTATAGATCAGTTTGGAGATAACTGGCATTTTAGTAATCTTGAGTCTTCCAATCTATGAACATAGTGTATCTCTCAATGTATTTATTCTATAATATCTCAGCAGTGTTTCATGGTTTTCAGTGTATAGGTCTTGCCCATCTTTTCACATTCATAACTGTTAATATTTTTATGCTATTGTAAATGGTATTTTTGTTTAGAATTCTAATGTTTCATTACTAGTATATAAAAATGAAATTGGTTTTTTTATATTCATATTATATCCTGCAACTTTGTTAAAATCAACTTATTCTAGTTGTTTTTTTGGTAGATTACATAGATATTCTATGTAAGTTATCATCTCTGTGCATAAAGGTAGTTTTTCTTTTTGTAGTCCTTATGTTTCTTTTTTCTCCTTCTTTTCCTTCCTTCTTTCCTTCCTTCTTTCTTTCCTTCCTTCTTTCCTTCCTTCTTTCCCTCCTTCCTTCTTTCCTTCCTTCCTTCCTTCCTTCCTTCCTTCCTCCCTCCCTCCCTCCCTCCCTCCCTCCCTCCCTCTCTCTCTTTCTTTTTTTTTTGCCTTATACTGGCTAGAACCTCCAGTATAATATTAAATGAGGTGGTGAGAATGGACATTCTTGCATTGTTCTTAAACTCAGGTGAAAAGCATTCCATCTTTAACTACTAAGGATGATGTTAGCTCTAGGTTTTTTGTCGATTCCCTTTATCAGGCTGAGGAGCCTGATACTGCTTGCAGACAATTGATACTGCTTTGCAGACAATTTTTATCGGGAATGGATATCAGATTTGGTGAAAATTTTTTTTCTTGTCTACTGAGATTATGATATCATCTTGCATCATCTTGAACAACAACAACAAAAAGCTGCTGTTTTCCTTATCTGTATCCTGGAATAGGTATTGTCCCTACCTGAGGCATGATACTAGGTGAGTTACTTAATAAATAGGGGAGAGGGTTGGGAATCACAGTCCTCAGCACCTAGAGGGTTAAGTGTCCATTCTGTGCTGGCTAAATAATTGAATGAATGAAGAAACTGCTTTAAAGATATTCTCTTTATCACTGGTTTTAAGCAATTTAATTATAATGCATTTTGGTGTGCTTATTATATTTTTGTGCTTGGCGTTCAGTAAGTTTCTGGATGTTACTGTATAATTTTCAATTTTGGAAAATTTTAGGCTATTGTTTCCTAATATATTTTGTTTCTGCCTCCTATTCTTGTTCCTCTCCTTTAGGGTCTACAATTACATGTCTTTTGGGCAAGTTCATTGACTGATTATCACATGACTCACTGATTCTGTTTTCTTTTTTCTGTCTCTTTTCCCTACTTGTTTCAGTTTGAAGCATTTCTGTTGCTACATCTGCAAGTTCAGTAATCTGTTCTTCTTCAATATCTAATGTATCATTAATCTCATTCAGTGTATTTTTCATCTCATATATTGTAGGTTTTATCTCTAAAAGTTTTTAAAAAATCTCTTTCATACCACTGCTTAACATGTATAGTCTTTCCTCTAACTTTCTTAACATATGGAATACCTATGTAATTTTCTTTTCTACAAAGTCTGTCATCTTTGTCATTTCTGGGTCACTTTGATTGATTCAGTTGATTTTTCTTCTCATTATGGGTTGTATTTTCTTTCTACTTTGTATGCCTGGTAATTTTTTATTCAATGCCATATATCGTGAATTTTTTCTTGCCAGATTCTAGATATTTTTATATTCCTAAAAATATTCTTCAGCTTGTTCTGTGACATGTTCAAGTTACTTGAAACTGTTTCAGCCTTTTGGTCTTGCTTTTAGACTTTGATGGGCAAGATTATCAAAGCTGCTGCATTTAGCCTAGGATAAATTTTTCTGCACTACTGAAACAAGATCCTTTTTAGCCCTGTAAACAATGCCTGTGAATTTTGAGATTTCCTACTCTGGCCATGGGAATAGGCACCATTGTCATCCCTGTGTGAGCTCTGTGCACTATTCCCTCAATATTTTGGGTAGTCCTTTCCCTAACTTTGAGTAGTTTCCTCAACTTTATGCACTGACATTACTTAACTGAATCATCAAGGGGACTTTCTGCAGATCTTCATAGTTTTCTCTTGGTACAGATTTCTCCTCTTTGATCCTCTGCTTTGCATATTATAGTAGCCTTAGCCTTCCTGGACTTCCAGCTATGTGTCTTCAACTCAGGGAGTTTTTCAGACTTCCTCTGGGTTTCTCCTGTCTGCAGATTTTCTTCAGGCAGCAAATTGGAGCAATCATAGATTCAACTTGTTTGTTACCTGTCTCTAGAATCACTTTTCTTTATTACCCTATATTTAAGTGCTTGAGGGCCATTATTTTATATGTTTTCTATGGTGTTGAGTTGCTTCAGGCAGGAAGGTAAGTTCAATGTCTCTTACTTATCTTGACTGGAAGGGGAAGTTGTGACTGATTCTTTATGTCCCCTAGCATTTAACATGATGCTAGATATATAGTAAATACTCCTCAAAGGGTAAAGATAGAGAGTCATTTACATAGATTCATATACAAATAAAGGGGTAGTGTGTAAGTGAAAGAAAAATATGTAATTTTTTGAGAGGGCGTAACGTTAAGTAGGAAATGTCAGACAACACAGCATTTCTGAGCAGGCTTCCTGGGATTGCACCATGCTCTGGCCAGTCACTTAGTGCACTAGTGGGGCAGAATTTTACCTTCTTCCAGCACTGCTGAATAACAGCAATAACGTGGGCATGAAACTACTTAATTTACTACCTAACCTGATTGATCAAAGCCAGTGGGAGAGGCAACAGGTTATCACTACTCTAGAAGTTCCCAAACACAGGCCTAGGTTTACATAGTAAACTGAACCCCAAATTTCTTTTTCCTTTGTTCTCTTCCTTTCTTCTTTGCAGCTTCCTGCCCACGGCCTCCCTTAGGGAGGTCTTACCAAGGCTTCTGATTTGTTCTTCAGTAGGAGATAGACCAGCTAGTATTAAACTCATCTATTTTCACTTTCTACTTTGAGTTCTGCTTTCTGGCAATGGATTGTTCTTTGCTTCTGTCCACTTGCTTCTACCAATTATTAAAACTTTGTATTTGACTTCATTACCTATGACTAACAATTTTATAAGCCCTGAAACTGAGTCAAGATTTTAAAGAAAGACATTCTAGAAATCATCAAAGGAAACTACCAGTTCATTTTCCACAGGGAGCTTTTTCTCCTTTCCTGTTAAAATGTCACTTTGGCACTAAGAAAATTTGAGCAATCTGGTTGAAACCTACGTTCCTGTCCTGGCAATTACCAGTGTTTTTAAGGAAAAATCTTTCTGTGGATCACACGGTCTCATTGCCTCTGTTTTTTTTTTTTTTTTTTTCTTTTTTTCTCTACTGCTTCTCCTTGATTTACCTTAAGTTAAGAAAGAGTGGTTCTGAGTTAGGAGAATCATAGTGTCTCACAATGATAATCACAAGCTTTATATAACAGAATTAATTGAGGGAACATGTAATGAAGACTCAATCTGAAGAGGTTTTTTAGCTTTGCACAGGAGGGAATTCTAGAGAGCATTTTCAACCCTGCATGAGTCTGTGTGACTAGCGAAATAACTATTAAAAATAGGGAAATTGAACTGGAAAGTAGGTGACCTAATTTTTTCTTCTTTTATAGTTACATATGTGGTGAGAGTACCTTACATAAACTCTTCTGGTATTTAAGCTGAGGACGGTTTTATTAGTTGTCAAGGTATTAGAACCTTGAAATATCACACTAGATGACATCTCTTGTCTGTCTACTTGTCCCATTACCAGAATTCACATTCAGTTTATCATAATCCAGTGCTGATTTTTGAAGTCACATATTAGAAAAACCAAAGTTTTAATACATACATTCCTGGTAATGAGGAGTTGGGGGTTGGGGAACAAGGGAGCAGAATTTAACTGTAAAATTACACTTTTTTGTTTATATTAAGCTGTGCACTAGTTGGCCCCCTTGCTTTCTCAAATTAGCTTATATTTCAGGGATTTTTCTCTTTTGCAACTCAACATTTTATTATAGACAAGAGAAATCTGAAACACAAAGGTAATCCAGAACAGAATTTGATATTACTTTGTGAACTTTTCGTTCCTTTCTTGGAGTCAAACATGAGATCATGTTTAGAATGATTTAGCCCATGTTCTTTTTCCAAGAGTTTTAATAAATGAGTTTAGAGTTACCAACTATAAAACATACAATGATGATGATTTTTCCCTTATTTTTATTAGAAGACTATGTTGTGACCAAGCTAAGTGTGATGTAGAGGTAGCAGTAGTATTAAACAAGCATAGGGATTCTGAAAGCACTAAGCAAGCTAATATATCAAACAGCCATACCATGGGTTCATTGTCATTAAAGTAGGTTAGCTGCCAGTAAAGGTTAGCTATGTGTATTGTTACTAATAGAAGTTTGTTCGATTTCAGATATAAATATTAAATTCCATTATGGTGCACGCCCCAGCATGGGTGAGGAGCCTGAGTGTCCACCTGCCTAGCTGTATGGACCGACCATTTCTAAAGATGCCTGGTTGACTGGGGCAAGGGCCAACTGTGAAATCCCCTTTCAGTTTTTCAAAGTCTATGATTAGTTCCTTGTTGATATGAAAATTCATATTGCTTGCTTGCAGCTAAGTCTTTGAAACCTATGTCCATTGTCACTAATTTTCCTTATTAGCATACTTAGTATTTTTCTCTTATAGGAGTCTATCTATCTTTATGTAATAGATAATATTCTGTGTAATGTGTCATTTGACTTTGCCTTAATCTATTTGTGTTTTTGCTAATTTTTTTTCTGCTTTATATGAAGTCCAGATACTTTAATCTCTTCTTATCTGTGTCAACCTTACTTGCCCATTGTTCCTCTTTAACAAATCAGATCAGTTTTCTTACTAATTAAGGTCATTCTTATTTTTCTTTCCTTGAGCATTAACTCCTTCCTCAAGACACTCCCTGTTTTCACTCCCTTACCCAAGTTCTGTACATTCTTCACTGCTATGGGGTCTTTAGCCCCAGGATGCTCTTCCTTTTCATAATTACTCTTCACTGGCAATTCAGATCAAACAGATTGTACTTACCCTATATGCCATCTGCTCCCAGAATTGCTCACAATAATTGAAGATGTATCCTGTAGCATTCATCTTCCCAATGAATAGGTTTGTTGGGTCTCCCTACCCCAGCAGAGTATGTCTTGGGTTTTTTTTTTTTTTTTTTTTTTTTGAGACTGTGTCTCGCTTTGTTGCCCAGGCTGGAGTGCAGTGGCATGATCTCGGCTCACTGCAAGCTCCGCCTCCCGGGTTCAAGCCATTCTCCTGCTTCAGCCTCCCGAGTAACTGGGACTACAGGCACCCGCCACCATGCCCGGCTAATTTTTTGTATTTTTTTTAGTAGAGATGGGGTTGTCTTGGTTTTTTTATACCTTACTTCATGGAATATGGGTATGAATCAGTTCTGTGTTTATATACCAAAAAAAAAAGGCATATAAACATTTCACAAAAATATTTGTTAGATTTTCAACAAGCATCCTAAAATGATAGTTGATGATTTACATGTTAGCAGATTACTATGTTTTAATTACATTTTGGGAAGTTGATTGGGATTTTGGGGTTGACATGTACTATATCAAAATATTTCTCATTTAAAGTAATGGGAAATAGGTTATCAGTATTTTCATGGAGAACATTGGCTTTTCAGATATGGATAACTGACCTAAAGTGAGCAATGCCTATATGAACCATCATTAAATAAATAGATCCCTGCTGCTAACACCCTGGAGGATGTTGTGTGGAGCTACATAGAGCTGCCCACAAGAAAAGCAGCCCTACAACCAGTATCTACCTTCAGAACAATGCCTGTAGGTTAGCACTTCTTCCATTATGAATTTTGATTTGAGAATATTTGAAAACCAATGTGTTTTCTCTGCTGACAAAACATAGTACTCTAACATGTTTGTTTCTACCAATCACCCTTTACACACGCCTCTCATTTTACCATGATTTTTTGTGGCCTTTCAGGAATCACAGACTGAATTTTGTATTCCTCAATTTAGACGGTCCTAAACATGCTCTCATATATTGATGAAAAGCCATCAAGCCATTATCCTAGGTGGTACAATGAACTAGATAGATACTTAAATTTAGATTATACCCTGTTTTATGGTACCATATGGCTCCAGCTAGACTATCAACCTCTTTTGAAAGTGAGTTATGCATTTTAACTACCCCTCCTCAGCCCACCCAACCTGGTTTTCAATTATTTCAGATGTTGAGGGAGTACTTCTTGAGAGCTTTGCAGTTCAGGTCTTAAGCAGAATTGTAGGGTGCGTTTGAAATTTGAATAACATATTTATCTCTGACCTTGCTGTGGCAAATCCACTGCTACTATGTATGCTAGGTAGTTTTTATATTCATCATCTATAGCATGTTTTAAGGTTTCGGAACCTAGATTCTATTAGAGGAATAGGAGTGATATTTTTTCATAAGCCAAACTTTCAAACAAAACTAAACAAAGCATTGTCTATAGTAACTTCGCATACACCAGTGAAGGCACAGAAGATGACCTAGAAGGGACCTTTGCGAAAGCCTCCCAAAAACTTCATTGGGCCTATTTTTCCTATTAAGAAAAAGAAGAAAGGGAAATAAGCAACAAAATGATATTAAGGAAGAAGGCAGGCAAAATTCCTATGGGGCTCTTTTTTGACTGTTCTTGAGCCCCCAGTGGTGTTTCCTTTCTTCACTTTATCTGCTGGAATGTATTTGTAATGAGCAAAAATAATTTAAGTACACAGGTCTATTTTCTATGAAGTTAATACTTCTTAGTGAGATATATTTCACTTTTTAAGAGTGATTGACTTAAGAATTTATTCCCCACTGTTTTCTCCAATAGAAGAAGCTCTTTAAGATATATAAAGGAAAAAAGCTAAGTACAAACTAGGTCTAAGTTCACATTAGAGGAAGGAAGAGAAAGTGGCTAAACAGATGGACATGATACAATATCCAGGGCATGCAGGGAGGATTTCTAGCTGGTGGTTTCTTACAGGGCTCAGGACTGGGCCTATGCTAACAGACTCACTTTTTATTAAATACTCTCAAATATTGTTAATTGTTATTTTGTTTTTCATATGTGATATTTTCCTAATAATTTTTAAAGTTGGAGTTTAAAATGCTTTTAGAGAGATGAACTCTTTTAAAACAAGGTATCTCCAGGTCAGCTTTCATATACACTTTAGGCTCAGCAGTAGGTGCTTGGTGGTGCTGCCTGAATGATGGACTTTTGGTCTGTGTATTGCTATTATTGATTACTTCAGATGGTCGATAGGTGTTTGTGTTTGACATAGACAGAATAAATGGGCACTGCTATATGATGGATGAGTATCACAGCGTCTGGAAGGGCTCTGCCTTCACATAACTCTTTTAGGAAGGGCTAACACCAGTGTGTTCTGATATTGCTTTTGTTCTCTGAGTAGGTGAATCTGTGCACAGAGATAACAAGCCCTTTTGAATTACAGGGCCACTAGGGTACAAATGCTAGCCAGCCTTCCAGATTATTTTCATAACTAAAAATGGGCTGCAAACCAGCTTCATCCAATTTCGGGGATTGGATGAAACCAAATTAGATCTACTGTGCATCAGACAGAGGTTGTGCTGGCAAACAGCAGACATATAAATGTGACCATGTTTCCTAAAAGAGGCATGGGGGACAGTGGTATTTCTGAGTGAATTTATAACTGATGACGTAAATGGCAAGTACATACATACTGGATAAATTTGAAATCTTCAGTACAAAGGAAGCAAAAGAAACAGGAAGGAAAGGAAGCCATCTTTGTTCTAAAGCCTGAGGAGCAGTGTGATCTTGTAGAAAGAACCTAGGCCTTTGGGTGTGAGCTCCCCATTCTTCTTCTTCCTCTTCCATTTACTAGCTGTTTGTCCTCATACAATGAACTTCACTTCCTGACCCTTGTCTGTATCATGAACATAAGAGAACTGTCTTAGTCTCTTTGAGTTGCCATAACAAAATACCATAAGCTGGGTAAATTATAAACAATGGAAACTTACTTCTCATAGTTCTGGAGGCTGGGAAGGCCCTGGCATATTTGGTATCTGATGAGGGCCCTCTTTCTCACACAAAAAAATTAATAAATAAAAAATATCTTCTTGCAGAGTCTACACATGGTAGAAGGGGAAAACTCTATCTCCTCAACTCCTTACAAGGGCATTGATATGGTTTGGCTGTGTGTCCCCACCCAAATCTCATGTCGAATTGTAATCCCCAGTGTGAGAGGAGGGGCCTGGCAGGAGGTGATTGGATCATGGGTGGATTTCCCCCTTGATGTTTGCATGATAGTGAGTGAATTCTCCCAAAATCTGGTTGTTTAAAAGTGTGCAGCACCTCGCCCTTCTCTGTCTCTTCCTCCTGCTCTAGTCACGTAAAACGTGCCTGCTTCCCCTTCATGTTCCTCCATGATTGTGAATTTTCTGAGGTCTCCCCAGCCATGTTTCCTGTACAGCCTGTGGAACAGTGAGCCAATTAAACCTCTTTATAAATTACCCAGTTTCAGGTATTTCTTTATAGCAGTGTGAGAATGGACTAATACAGACATTAATCCCATTCCTGAGGACTCCACCTTCATGGCTTAATCGCCTCTCAAAGGCCAAATCTCCTAATACCATCACATTGGGGATTAGGTTTTAGCCTGTGAATTCTGGGGGGACATAAACATTCAGACCACAGGAAGTGCCTAACTTATTAGGATCATTGTGATGATTGAAGATAATACATAGAAAGAGAGTTTTTAGCAGACAGAGCCTGGCATATAGTAAACTCCAATAAATAAGAAGAATTTGCTGTTCTTGTTGGCAGAGATGCAGCAGCCACTGTCCTGAGCTGGCTTTCTCTTCATCATCCCCATCATCCCTGGTAGACTGGCTTGCTCCTGTGAATGGACAGCTCCATTCAACTAATGGCTTCCTGGGACTACTTCTTTCATGTCTGTAACGTTAAGCTTTAGCACTCCTACTGCATCCTTACCCAGGGAAAATTACACCAAATAGATCTAGCTTTGATCTGTTTTCAATTTTGACTGAATTATGAACAATAATACATGATTTTAAAGTATAGCCAGAGACTCCAGGCTACAAAAATTCAAAATCTTTTTAGTCTTTTTAGATCTTGAAAGTAGATGATTAACCATTGTCAGCTCTATATTGACTTGGGCTTTCTTGGCTATTGAACTTCTGGCTCCAATTCACACCTCTATTCTCCCTTTAAACCTGTATAATATATTTTTTTGTAATGCCTTAATTTCAGAAGTACATATTTATGCATTGGTTTTGTTATTTTATCAAAATTATGATATTTGATATCATAAATCCTAAAAGCTGCTTTTAGCATAGTGATTACAAAGCATCCTATGACCAACAAAGGGACTACTAAAGGATTAATTATACCTTTCTTTACTGCTTAGGGCTTTCTTCCCCCAGAATGCCATTGCTGTGAAATACCATGCTAATAAGGCCTCTGGCAGAACAGAAATCCAAAGAACTCTTCCTATTCCATGACCATGCTGCATAACAAACCACTTAAGAATTCAGCGGCTTAGAGCAATTGTTTATTTTTGCTCAAATGCTCATGGATTGATCAAGGTTGGCTGACTCAAGCTCAGCCATCAACTACAGGTTAGGTCCAGAGTTGCTCCACATATTTTTCATCCCCCTTGGACCAGCAGGCTAATCAGGGCATGCTCTTCTCTGGTCATGGTAGAAAGATAAGAAGGGCCAATGGAAACCTGTGCTGCCTCCTAAGTCATATGCTTGTAACTGCCCCCTTTTACTTCCAGCCCCATTCCATTGACCAATCAAGTCAAACCTCCATGGAGGGATTGCAAAGTCCTATGGCAGAGGGTTTAGTTATGGGAATGGTTAAAGAATCAAGATCAGTAATAAACTGACCACATCTAGCTTTACCATTAACCATCAAGGGACTTTGAGCAGTCTCCAAGCCTCAGATTCTCAATGATTACATTCATTCGTGCATGCAACCAATATTTTTACCACCTACTCAATGCCAGGCATTGTCCTAGGTAATGAGAATACAGCATTGAACAAAATAAAAACCCTTGCTCACATGGATCACATATTCCAGTCAGAGAGATAGACAGTAAATAATGTGTGTGTACATGCATGCATGAGTATATAATATGTCAGAGAGTGAAAATGCGATAAGGAAAAATTAAGACAAGCGAAATAATTCACCTTTCCCTGCCCTAGAGCTTGCCACTGTTAACAGTTTGGTGCTTGTGTTTGAGGGGATGAATAGTGGAGCCTGACCACTGGGATTTGAATCCCTGTTCTTCCTTTTAATAGTTTTGCAATCTTGGACATGCCTATTATTTTTCCATGGTTGCATGACAAATTACCACAAACTTAGTGGCTTAAAGCAACATACCTTTATTTTGTCACAGTTTCTATGGGTCAGGTGCCAGGCATAGCTTAGCCAAGTCCTGGAATCAGGATCTTACAAGGCTACAGCGTGGGTGTTGGCTGGACTGCTTTCCTTTCTAGAACTTGGAATCCTCTTTCAATCTCATGCAGTTGTTGGTAGAATTCAATCTCTTATGACCATAGAACTGATGTCCCTAATTTCTCACTGTCAGCTACAGGCTGTTCTCAGCTCCTGGAAGTGCCGTAGTTTCTTGCCACATGATTCCCTAGAAGGCTTTCTCATACAGCACGGCAACTTGCTCCTTCAAAGCCAGTAAAAGATTTTCTCTCTCTAGTCTACTAAGTCTCCTATGACAGTGCCTTATATAACATAATGCAATCATGGGAGTGACTCTGCCATCACCATTGCCATATACTATCAACTAGAAGCAACATCACAGTTTCTGCCTGCATTCAGTGGGAGGGGTTTGTACAAGGGCATGACTAATGGATGCTCATCTTAGAGTTCTGTCTTCACAACATGGGACTTAACCTCTGTGTCCCAGTTTTCTCCTCAGTAAAATGGGAGTAGTAATAATATCTACCTGATAGGATGGCTTTGAGGATTAAAGAATTATTAGTTAGAAGTAAAGCACTTAGGACAATGCCTGCTGCATAGAAATTTCTATATATGATAGCTGTTTTTATTATCTACAAAATGTGAGGATTTTGTGAGATGATTTTTAAGATCCCTTCCAGCTCCAACATTATGGTTTTGTTGCCACACACTGTGATACAAAAATGAACAAGTACAAGAAATCTACTGACTAGAGAGATAGAAAAAGCATAATATAGAGACATGTTGAAATTAACCTAAATAGATTTTGCATTACAAAGAAGCAAGATTCATTCCTCTTTTATTTTGCCATCAGTGGACCCTCCATAAGTTCTTCCTGATTTGAAATTTTGTGGAACACCTTGTCAAGGGATCCCTTTGGGGGCCTGAATTCCTCCAAGTAAATATTTCTTTGTAAGAAACTTTCATTGGTCACCATACTCCCTCCTAAATTAATTGAAGCCTGTGACTCTTAAATATACTGTTGAATGATGCCATTGGATTGTAATATAACAGTTTGAATATAGGTGCCAGTGCTATGTTTAGTATATGAAAGTGTGAGTAGATTTTAACCAAATATTTTTAAACATGAATAACTAGGACAGTTCAGCCCCTAAATGCCCTCTTAGACCCACAGAAGCCCACAAAGAGGGGGCCTGACAGTCATCTCTCCAAGATGGCTGAGGAAACAGGATGGGTCCAGTCTTGCTGTTATGGCTACCTGTGCTGAGAGCTGCTGGTGAAAGCTGTTCCTCCTCCACCAGGCAGGAAAGTGCCAGAGGCTGAGGGACTGTGTGTAGAATCACTTCCATTCCCTGTCTCTTTGGGTGATATATTCTGTCTGGGGCAGTGAGGAGCCAAGAGGCAGCTTCAGTAGTTGTATAATTCATACTCTGTGTCTTTATGTTCTCTTCGTAAAGGCTCATCATTTAGAGTAGGGTTTCTCAGCTACTGACAATAGTTTCTCACTATTGACCTTTTGAGCTGGTCCTGTGCGTTGTAGGATATTTAACAGCAGCCCTGGTTTCTATCAACTAAATGCCAGTGGCATTCTTCTCCAAAAATGCCTACAGAAATTGTCAAATATCTTCAGTATATTTTACGTATTTATTTACTTGCTTATTTCTCATGCATTTTTTAAGTAAGGGAAATGTGCATGATTTTAATAAATCCAAACAATACAGTACCAAAGAGTAATAGTAAAAAATATTTATCTTATGCCATTACTCCAGCAAAATGTTCTCCCTTTTAAAGGCAAACACGTTACCATTGTTAAGGCTACAGGAGATCTCCAGAGATTGCACTGAATTTCATGTAAATGCAGTTATGGGCATATACTTATAATACATGCAGCTGTGTATTACATTTTTATTAGCAGCTTTTTTTTTCATTTGTGTTCAAGATGACAAGAAAATGACCAGAATGAATCTGCTTTAGTTTGTTTCCATTGTATTGTTTAAAAGCTCATTAGATCTTTCTGAGCTGATATGCTGCATGTAAGAAGAATTATTTCCTGCCCACTAGGAAGCTATGTCCTTTTAACTTATTCCCTCAGCCTCTGGAGCTTCTCACTATGGTCTCTTTAAAGACTGATGCCGTATGGCTAGAAGAAAAAACTCTTTGGGCTTCAATATTTCAAGCCTTTGAAGTATATATTTTTTTTTTTTCGTCTAATGAAACAACTGAATCCTTTGAAAGTACTAACAACTATTTTTTTGTTGGGAACATGTGAAACTTGGTGTTTCTTGATTTCCTCATGCTACTGAGAATGTCCACCATGATGATGTATTTTTCATATTATAGCACTACCTTATTCCACAGTGGAACATGATGTTCATGTCAAGACTTGTCCATTAATCAGTACACAATTTACTGTTTTTCATAATAAATGCATTACTGTTCCTGCTGCTCTGTAAATGTGTTTTCTGTATCCTAGTACCATAAACCCTAAGTTTGGTTTTTGTTGGTGATGGGATGGTGGTGTTCTTGATTTTCATGTCTTCTATGATATGTTATCACTCGGAAGATTTTTCAAAGAGACAATTTCTACTGTTGACAAGATGAAATAAGTACTTCTCAATACTCTTAATGGGATTATAAGTTGATATAATGATTCTACAGAATAGATTACTAAGAATTTTTAAATACCATTTGGCTCAGACACTAGACTTCTCAGAGTTGCTAAATACTCACTAAATGTAAAGATTTCTGAGGAGTTCAATTATAGGGAATAGATAGACAAATTATTTTAATTATTACCACTACTATTGTTGTCATTAGGGGACAAAGTACTATGCTAAGCATTTTTATGCATTATTTCATGAACTCTCACAATGTTGGGAAACAGGTGTTATCATTATCCCATATTCCATAAAAGGAAAGTGGTTTTTTGTTTTGTTGTTTTGTTTTGTTTCATTTTATTTTTGAGATGGAGTCTCACCTGTCACCCAGGCTGAAGTGCAGAGTGCAATGGCTCGATCTTAGCTCACGGCAACCTCCGCCTCCTGGGTTCAGGCAATTCTCCTGCCTCAGCCTCCCAAGTAGCTGGGATTATAGGTGCACGCCAACATGTCTGGCAAATTTTTGTATTTTTAGTGGAGACGGGGTTTCACCATGTTGGCCAGGCTGGTCTTGAACTCCTGACCTCAAATGATCTGCCCACCTCGGCCTCCCAAAGTGCTGGGATTACAGGCATGAGCCATCATACCCAGCCAGAAAGCGTATCTTAAAGAAGCTAAGCAACCCATCCAAAATGATGATGATGATGATGATGATGATGATGATGATGATGATAATGATGTCAGCTGATATTTACTGAGTGCCACTATATGTTATAATGGTATTTTTAGTACTTTTCATGTATTACCTTATTTAATCTTTTTACCAAGAATCCAGTGAGGTAGGTAGTCTTTGTTATACCTGTTTTATCAAAGAGGAAACTGACTCACGGGGAAGTTAACTAACTAGAATAAAAGAGTTTAAATTACTGGGTTCAAAATATTTAAGTTGGATGCTGGGCACAGTGGCTCATGCCTGTAATCCCAGCACTTTGGAAGGCTAAGGCAGGCATATCATCGAGGCCAGGAGTTCAAGACCAGCCTGGCCAACATAGAGAAACCCCATCTCTACCAAAATACAAAACTTAGCTGGGTGTTGTGGCACACGCCTGTAGTCCCAGCTACTCAGGAGGCTGAGGCAGGAGAATCACTTGAACCTGGGAGGCAGAGGTGGCAGTGAGCCGAGATTGTGCCACTGCACTCCAGCCTGGGTTATAGAGTGAGACTCTGTCTCAAAAATAAATAACTAAACAAGTTGGGACTTGAATGCAGATAGATTGATTTCGGCAGCCGCACTCTAATCGTAGTGCCTTTCCATGATCATGTGACTGGTAAGTAAGTGGCAGACCTGGACCCAAACCTAGGTCTGGTAGACTTTCTCTTAACCACTGAGCAGTATAGCTAATTAGTTCAGCTAAGTCTATTTGATAGGTTGTCTTTAGTATGTGATGTGATTATTTACCCTCTTCAGAGCTACTCCCATGAACACTCCTTATACCCCACTAATAGTTTTCTGCTAGTGATTGATTCCCTTACTCCAAATGCGATCCAGCCAGTTCTCAAATGCAAATACTGTTGAATAATTTTGAAGTAATTTAGGAATCAAGGATATAAGTCTTTTGGTGTTTGCTCAACTGCTTTGAGACACAGGCATCAACTGAAATGAAGGAGGCCTTGTTAAGAAGTGGGAGGGTCTGTGTAATTTTGAAGTGTTTGTTTCTAATCTAGTAACAGCTTTTCATGGCATACATTAATAAAAGATTCAAATTCTGTTTTATATTATGAATGCACCATAACAAAACTGGATTGCTTTGCACTATACTGCGGTTGTACCTGGCACTTTGTTCTTCTGACCTCCTAAGTCTAAAATCAGCCACAGATGAGCCTGTTAAGGTAGAGAAGGGTTTCTGCCAAGGGATTGTCCAAAGATTGTCCAAAGAAGTGTACATATTAAAAGGCATCTTGGGGAAACCTAGCTATTCCATTCAAGCAGGAGGTAGTTTAAGGCCTACTCAGTGAGTAATTTAGTAAAGAACAGTGAGTTTTATGACTTAAATCTCATGAAATGACATTAATGTAAGCATGGTTCATGGAATGAGAAAGTGATGAAAATGATGTTGATTGTTCTTGGACTCAAGTGTGGTACTTTAATGTATTATAGGTGGCCTTGATCATATGGTTGCTGCCTTCTTCTGACAAAGCTAGCAGGAGAAAGAAAGACACAAGTGGCTCTGTTTGGGCATTACAGTGTAGCCTGGAAATGCTACATTATTGAGGATGATCTTTTGAAAGTGAGAATCTGAGGCAACTGCCTGTGCACTGCCTGTGCCTGTCTCTAGAGCAGTATGGGAAAAAAAGAGTAGCAGTGAAGGTTTTCTTCCTTTTTCAGTTTAATTTTGTATATTCTAAAAGAATGAGTCCCCAGGTCTCAGGCAGGAGTTGCATTGTTGCCAGTCCTAATATTTTATCTTTCAAAAATGCCCACTCACTGTCAATGTCTTTTCCTCAACCTGTTGTGCTGTAAGCCTATTTTATTGATAAGAAAGAGCCAGACAAAATTGGCTGAAAATTAAAAATCTAGGTGACATATTTTAGAGGACTAAGTTACCTTTTTTTTTTTAGTGAACATAATCATTAGAAGACTTTGCACCTTGGTTGGGCTGTCCCTTTGCTCCTCTTTGTTGACAGGCAGTCTTCTAAGGCTGTCCTTTCTCCCTGTAACCTGTCAGCAGAATAGAGGCATAGTGGGGAGACAATGAGAAGAGCTGCCTTCTTGAGAGATCAGAGGAAGAGTAGAACAGAGGCACAGCGGAGAGACAATGAGGAGAGCTGCCTTCTTGAGAGATCAGAGGAAGAGCAACTGCTGACAATTTCAGCTGTGTAAGGAGGCCATGCCGTGTCTACTGTCTAGATTCCTAACTTTTGGGAAACTTTATCCTTTACTGAAAACAATAAACCATCTTGGCAATGTTTTGTGATGTGTTGATAATCCAGAGTGAAAACAACTCTTAAAGTAATCACAAGACAGGATAGTCTTATAGAAGTAAGATGGAAAATAGGAAGAGATACTCACTGTTAGCCCAACCTCTGATGTGTTAGAGTATCTTTGATCTTCATTCTGTCTTTCATATGAGGGTAAAATTCTCCATCAAAGGTCAACATATGTGTTTAAATTAATTTTCTAATATAATCTTAAGGGAAGATCACTAGAGTCCAGAGACCATCGTCTCTCCCCTCCCTCACCAGTCACCATTAGCTGCGTGACCTTCGGCAAGTTATGCAATCTGTTTCACACACCATTTATATATGTCTGCGTAAATCAGTGCTTCCCACTTAGGGTTTATTGTTCATTATATCACATTTCATAGTCATATATGGTGAGGCCCCCTCCTCCTAACTCCTCTGACCATTATAAATTCCCTGCCCAAACTATTATGACCATTATAAATTCTCTGTCTAAACTATCATGATGCTGGATAAATTAAAACGTCATGTGTTTCTTGCTGGAGCTCCTCTAGAACATGTTCCCCTCTTTGTTTCCTTGGTACACTTAGGCAAAAGATCTCTTAGGCTGCCTACTGCTACCCTTTCCTGCGTAACTGTGGAGATAACAGTATCAGTGTTCAAAAACCACTGATTAAAGGGTGGGGAAGAATTAGATGTATATCTACTTCAGCATTAGTCTCTTAGCTGATTCATGTATAACCCACAATACGTAACTGTTATAATTTCTAGATACTGGAAAATAATGGGCCAAATATATGACTGATGTAGAAATACATTAAAGTATAACATGTAGTTAACCAGGTAACTCACAACAATCTAAGCTGGTGCTGAGGAAGCTAAATTAACATCAGTTTACAATTTGAACCAAAACTAACAGCAACTGAGAGTTGCAACCAACTGATTGTAATACTGACAATTACCCCATATCTCAGTGTCATCCAGAGAACTGCAGACATCCACTCTCGTCGTGTGCCAGTGTTGTTAGGAGTGCCCCAAAGTTTCAGGACTTGCTTGGCAGCCATACTTCCTCGGAAGATGCCTCATTTTCAACTCTATGTAATTTACTAATTTTAGATTATGCATACCACGTTTTAGTATTGGGATTCCAAATACTGATTCTTGACCCACAAGCTTTTAGGAATAAGTAGCCCATTTGTAGGTGAAAGTCTGTACTATTGTATGTCAGTTGCCAAAAGAGCATTGGATGGGGAATGGGAGCTGATTCTTTTTTTGTTGCTGTTGTTGTTTTTCAATAGCTTTAGGGGTACAAGTGGTTTTTGGTTACATGGATAAATTGTATAGTGGTGAAGTCTGGGCTTTAGTGGTGAAATCTGGGCCTCTCCTCTCCCCTCCCCTCCCCTCCCCTCCCCTCCCCTCCCCTCCCCTTCCCTCTCCTCTCCTCTCCTCTCCCCTCCCCTCCCCTCCCCTCTCCCCTCCCCTCCCCTCCCCTCCCCTCCCCTCTCCTCTCCTCTCCTCTCCCCTCCCCTGCCCTCCCCTCCCCTCCCCTCCGCTCCCCTCCGCTCCACTCCCCTCCGCTCCCTTCTCCCCTTTCCCCTCTCCCCTGTCACCCGAATAGTGTGCAGTGTATCCAATAGGTGATTTTTTTTTATCCCTCAACCCTCTCTCATCCTTCCTGCTTCTGAGTCTCCAGTGTCCATTATACCATTCTTATGCTTTTGCATACCTATAGCTTAGCTCCCACTTATAAATGAGAACATGTGGTATTTGGTTTTCTGTTCCTGAGTTACTGCTCTTAGGATAATGGCCTCCAGTTCCATCCAAGTTGCTGCACTGCAAGACATTATTTTATTCTTTGTATGGCTCAGTATTCCACGACAGACACACACACACAAACACACATACACACACACACACCCCCCACATTTTCTTTTTCTGCTCATCTGTTGAGCACTTAGGTTGATTCTGTATTTTTCCATATATTGCATATTGCATAGTCCTACAATTAATGTGGGAGTGCAGGTATCTTTTTTATATGATTTATTTTCCTTTGGGTAGCTACCTACTAGTAGAATTACTGGATCGAATGGTAGATGTACTTTTAGTTCCTTAAGAAATCTCTATACTGTATTCCATAGAGATTTTACAAATTTGCATTCCCACTAACAGTGTATAAGTGTTCCCTTTTCACCCCATTCACGCCAACACCTATTTTTTGACTTTTTTAAAATGGCCATTTTCACTGGGATAAAGTAGTATATATCATTGGGTTTTAATTTGCATTTCCCTGATGATTACTTATGTTGAGCATTTTTTCATATGTTTGTTGGTCATTTGCATATCTTCTTTTGAGAAATGTCTATTCATGTTGTTTGTCCACTTTTAATGGGATTATTTGTTTTTGTTTTTGTTTTTGTTTTTTGCTGGCTGTCTTGTTGGAGTTTCTTACAGATTCTGGATATTAGTCCTTTGTTGGATGTATAGTTTATGACTATTTTCTCCCATTCCGTAGGTTGTCTCTTTAATTCTATTGATTATTAATATTATTATTGTTGCTATGCAGAAGATTTTTAGTTTAATTAAGTCTCATTTATTTATTTTTATTTTTGTCACATTTGCTTTTAGGGTCTTAGTCATAAATTCTTTGCCTAGGCCAATGTCCAGAAGAGTTTTTCCTAAGCTTTCTTAGAGAATTTTTATGGTTTCTGGTCTTACATTTACATTCAAGTCTTTAATTCATCTTGAATTGACTTTTGTATATGGTGATAGATAGGGGTCCAGTTTTGTTCCTCTGAATATGGCTCTAAATTTTCCACTTTTATACTTTTGGTTACTATGACCTTGTTGTATAATTTGAAGTCAGATAATGTGGTGCCTCCAGCTTTGGTCCTTTTTCTCTTAGGATTGGTTTGACTATTTCCGTCTTTTTTGGTTTCATATGAATTGTAGGATTATTTTTTCTAATTCTATGAAAAATGATATTGATCATTTGATAGGAATTGCATTGACTCTATGGATTGCTTTGGGCAGTGTGGTCATTTTCACAATATTGATGCTTTCAGTCCATGAGCATGGAATGGTTTTCATTTGTTTGTATCATTTCTGTTTTTTTTTTTAATCGGTGTTTTATAGTTCTCCCTGTAGAAAATTTTCATCTCCTTGGTTAAGTGTGTTCCTGAATGGGCTTCCTTCTCTCTCCTCTCCTCTCCTCTCCTCTCCTCTCCTCTCCTCCGCTCCCCACTCTCCTCTCCCCTCTCCCCTTCCCCTTCTGTTTCCTGCAGCTATTATAAATGGGAGTGAGTTCTTGATTTGATTTTCAGCTTGGTCATTATTGGTGTGTAGCAGTGCTACTGATTTGTGTACATTGATTTTTGTAACCTGAGACTTTGATTTTGTAACTGAATTCATTTATCAAATCTAGGAATCTTTTCAAAAAGTCTTTAGAGTTTTCAAGGTACAAGACCATATCATTGACAAAAAAACATAGTTTGACTTCCTCTTTTCTAATTTGAATGCCCTTTATTTCTTTCTCTTGCCTGATTGCTCTGGCTAGGATTTCCAGGGCAGTCTGTTCTTAACCAGAAGTAGGCTTGTAGGGCCTTGTGGCCCCAGAGAGTATGATGAGGATCACCCTTTATCAGGACCTATATTTTTCCATACTTGTATCCTAGCTTTTCCTAGGCAAAAATAAGCTCTCAATAACTTTTGAAAATAAATGGATACATATGTAATAGTATACACATATTAAAATTTTAATTGTATATATCTAAATGCTATATATACAGTTGCAAAAACTATAACAAAATATTGCAAATGTAGTACATTTTTATAGAACTATTTTGACCCAAATTTTTAAATAGATTTCCTAACGTTAAACTTACCAGAGGTTTAGTTGTAACTCACACATTCCTGCATACCTCATTCAAAGCCCTAAAAATAGCAGCGTCTTTTTTTAGAACAGGTAAATGTATGCATTTTCTTTCAGTATACAGGCTCTGACCTACATATTCCCAATATAGGACCAGTCCTTAGAGAGCAATAGTTACTGTGGGCATAGCACCCAGAGGCTCCATCCTGCTCTCCCTCCCAACCACTGCAGACACAAAAACACAGAGGAGGTGGCACCTCCTTTCAGTATTCTCCACCTCTTCCAAGAGCCCCATATTCTGCCTCTCAAATGCCCCATCCTAAGTGCAAGTAGGTGCCCCTGTGAAAGAGGAGGTAAGACTGTGAAGAAGAGAAAGAAAATGCAAGCCTGTCACCTGGTAGAGGCACCCTGCGGCTGCCTCCTGACCCCACCTTGCTGTTGATCCCCACTGACCAGTGCTAAAAATGCAGAGGAAACTATTCACTTTTTGACCATCCCTCACTCCTTCCACTAGAGTTCTTGTCACTTCTTCTAAGTCACCGTTCCCTTTCAGTTCTTGGCCTCAGAGTCTCCCTCCCAGTATCTCCCTGGGCCTAGAAGCCTCAGGCCAGCCTGTTCCCTCCCTTGGCTGGAGTTGCTGCCTCTGGCTAAGGCTAGGTGAGACTTCAGGAAAAGAAAACAGGAGCCTTGTCCTGCTGCCTGGTCTGCTTCTATAGGAGTGCTGTGATTTCCCTGGTGGGTGCATTTTCATCAGGAAGGCTGTTGTACCAGAATGGTTTGGCTCTGTCGTCCTTTTTGGTTTATTATGAATTAAGCAGCCTTCTGTGCATCAGCCAGTGGACTAACCACCATGTAGAGAATTGTTTCTTCGGGGAAATATATTGTGAGTCTCAAACAGCTCTGAATCTGTTGGAACACAACTCCATTTTAGGTGCCAATATTTTGTTTTTGCACTGTGGAATTTTATAGTGGTAAAGGGACAATAAGATGATTGCTGCTAGGCTTTACTTGCTATTTTTGCATGATGTGATTTTCCTTTCTGTATCATGAGCAGAAACCCATAAACAATGCAAATGCTCATCAGTAGGCAAGCAGATGAATAATATTCCCTTTCGATAATCGTCATACAGGAGTTTGGACGAATCTTAGCAATGTAATGTTAAGTGAAAAAAAAATCCCAAAATATTAGATACAGCATTATATCTTGTATGTAAAATTTAAAATAATTAATATTATTTTATAATTGTTATAAGGACAACAAAGTTACCTAAAAAAGAAATGTAGAGAATAATGAACATGATTCAGGATGGAGCTTACTTCACTTGGGGGAGGTCAGGAGATTGCATGGGGCCTTAGCCAAACGATTAGATGTGGATTGTTGTTAAATGACGTAGTGAGTTCATGGGTCCTTATTAAGTTAATTAAAATAAAATTCCCTGCATCAGGTTCAAAGCAAGAAAAAAATAACAAACATGTTCTTTTCTCCTTAGTTAAGGATAAACACTGTTACATTTTCCAGGATGAAATAAGAATAAATCACAAACTTGGTTTTCATAGGAAATATCCATATGGGAATGTCGCTCCTTGACTTTGAAACCAAACAAAGTATGTCCAGTAGGTCAGCAGAAGCACAGCAGCACCTGCTGGGAGAAAAGGAGTCATTTAGCTAGTGAGGTCACCCAGTTGAGCACTCACCTTCCGTCTGTCAGTCTTTGCCGGCCTTGCATACATAAGCCTCTCTTTGTGAGTCAATCGAGATGAATTAACAGTCCTATTAGTAGTCTTTTACCAGACAGCAGGGGGAAGGGCACCTCATAAAGGGTCATACATCCAGGTTGCATCCTGGTTCTGTTCTTCTCTTCCAGGGCACCTAGGCAGGGTCCCCTCTTAGCTTTCATTATTATGTCCTATTTCGTTGGGTTGATGCACACTCATAAAATAATAGGTGTAAAATTGCAAATAGTAAACCAGCTTATGAGAAGTTGTTATTCCTGTAACTAGACATATTTCCCCAGATTTTTCTGTTTACTTCATATACCTTATATGTATAAACTATCCTTGTTGAGTATCATTTACAAATAATATCTTGTAAATGGTAATTTTACTCTGTAGTAGGTTAAATAATGGATACCCAAAGATAGTAAGTCCTTACACCTGGAACCTATAATCCAACCTTATTTGGAAAAATGGGTCTTTGCAGGTGGGATTAAGTTGAGGGTCGTGAAATGGGGTAATTATCGTTGAGTATCCAGGTAAGCCATAAGTTCAGTCATTGATGTTCTTATAAAAGAGAGGCAGAAGGAGATTTGACACAGAAGAGAAAGCAGTGTGAAGAGGGAGGCAGAAATTGGAGTGATGCATCCACAAGCCAAGTAATGCCAGCACCCACCAGAAGCTGGAGGAGGCAAGAAACTGCTTCTCCCCTAAACCCCCCAGAGGGGACAAGGCCCTACTAACATCTTAGTTTCAGCCCATTGAAAACAAGTTTGGCTTCAGGCTCCAGAACTGTGAGAGAGCACATTTCTCGTTTTAAGCCACCAAGTTTGTGTTGTTACAGCAGTCACGGGAAATCAATACATTCATATTAACATATTTTTGAAGATAATATAATTTTCTAAAACACAATTGAGGATGTCAAGCTTTTGAAGTGTTCTGAATCAATTCAATAACTTTGTCGTATTTAATTTTGATGTAACTGAAATGAATATTTAAATTAAAATTTTAAAGCACTACATTTTTCAGGGTAAAGGTTGACAATCAGCACACATTACAGAACAACAAGATGGTGAGCAATTTGGGCATGCCTATGTATCATTTTGACATACGCGTGAGGATTTTCATTGGCCTCAAGTTTGCAGCTGAAGTAAAAGCATCGTGGATGAATTGAGCATTTTTATTATTATGTCCTGCCAGCTTCCAGAAATGATTCAAAACCTCTTGGAGCTACCTAATCTATAAGGCTGTTAAAGGTAGAAGAGCAGGTGCCTAGAGGTGAGCTGTGACTTGCAGAGTGCCAAGCCAGTTTTCCATGCAGTCTTTATCATCAGTGGTAGCTCCTGACACCACAGAACTTGAAATTGCCCTCAACCCTTCCTTTACAAATGCTATTTTAAAGAATAATCTTACATAGGCACTCCAGATGAAGGTGGACCTGTGACCATAACTTCCTCTCCTCTATTCGTGCTTTTTAGGTCGAAAAGTCCAATTAGAATGCATCTTTTAAAGCAGTACTTCTCAAACTTCAGTATGCTTGTAAACCACCTGGGGTTCTTCATGAGCTGTAGATTCTGATTCAGCAGGGAGTGGGACCTGAGCTTCTGCAGGTGGTGGTGATGCTGCTAGTTCATGGACCACACTTTGAGCAGCAGGGCTGTAGCATCTAGTGCTCCTGCTTACAGGTTTCTCCCTGTTTTTCCCTATTTTGAGGCACAGTTTCAGGCAGTCAGGCTGGTTCTGCTGCATTTGCTTGGCAACATCACCTCCCTCCAGCCTCTGCAGCTTCCACCCTTGGGCTGCTGCACGTGCACGTACATTTCCACTGCTGTGGCTCCCACAGTGCACAGTTGGGGACTGAGTCTGAAGCTGTGTCACAATAACATCACTCAGTCTGAAAAGAGAGAAAAGTTGTTGAGATGAGAGTGAAATCCATAAGGGAATCAGGGTTTAGAGAGACAGGGAATATAAAAACAGTAGGAGAACAGGGAGAGGGAAAAGCATGAAAATTTAGTTGGGGAAAAACATTTGAAATGTGCTACTTTCACTGCAGAATTTTCCAGGCACTAAGAGCATTTTCTGGAGTAATTTTAGATTTATTTATTTGTTATCCTCGACTTTCTTTAGCAGCCACCTGCTTGTTGTGTTCATTCATCCACCAATCTTTTGTGACCTTCTGTATACAGGCTGAAAACTTTTTTTAAAAAAATCTCTGAACTGTATAACTAAGTGCTGCAGCCTCTGAGAGACTGTCTAGTTAAATTGGGCCAGACAGTGGTCCCAACCGGGCTGATGTTAGAATCACTGAGGAGGTTTAGAAAATTCTGCATATCTTGCTGCACCTTGGACCAGTTAAATAGGAATTTAGGGGATAGGTCACAGTCATTCGCACTTTTTTCTTTTTCTTTTTTTTTAATCAGTATTTTAAAATATTCCTTAGATGATTCCTGTGTCCAGCCAAGCACCACTAAATGAGACAGTAACCTTCTAGCAGGTGAATTGAACTCATTTTTTAAAAACCCCTAAGAGCTGTTTTTCTGTGTGTGTGTTGCTTCCTATATAAACCTTTGCAATGTTGAAAACTCTACATAATATTTTGGAAACACCCTCTCCTTCAATCCATCACCTGCAGCCAAGCAGCTGATTAAATATTGAAGCTGCTTTCTGAAGCCCTGGCAGCTTTTCATTTTCTCAGTCCAGTGGCTCCCCCTGCTGTCTTTACCAGGTAGAGTTCACTTCTCTACAGAACCTCACTACAGATTCTGCTGCTCCGCAAAACACAACCCAGAATCATAGTATTTTAAGGAAGATTTTCTAATCCCACATCAAGCCTGTATGTTACTGCCAAAAATGAACATTCAGAATACTCTAATCTCTTACCTAGTGGTAGTTTAGGTAAGGCCTAGGGAATGATGGAAGAAAGGAACTATATATATGTAAATAGATAAACTCACACCTGTGTACACACACACACACATACACATACACACACACACACACACACACACACACACACATTGATAGCTTATCTGGCTACCAGAAAAATATTCTGTTAGCCATGTGATTGTGCTGGTTCCCTGCAAAATAATTAGCATTGACACTGTAGAAAGTGGGGAAGGAAAGCTTTCATGACTAACTTCTCTGCCCTCCTTCATCTAATTATACCCTTCCTTATCAACCCACTTCTCCCTGTCTACCCTCTAAGCTGTAATTGCAGCCACATAAAAACAAAAGTAAATATATGGGCATCTGTGTGACCTCATCTTGTCACCCAGACTCTGTTGTATATTACCTCAGGATTAAACTAGTGCACTGTGTCTATGGAGGCAGAATTTGATCCTTATTTTGTCTGAATGCAAAATGCAACCTTAATTCTGCCTAAACCTCATAAAGGTGCTGATTCCATTTTACACAGCTTTTATCGTTAGAATGCCCTTCTTTGCTGTATATCAATATCTTTACCCCATTGGTCCTTGTTGTCATGTGGCTCCGCATAAGTCAGTCTCCCATTCACAATGTAGCACTTAATCTATTCAAAGCGATATCCCAAAACATTTTTTTCTCAACAGCATTTCCAGTCAGCCCAATGGGACATGGGGCACACCCCTCCCCCCACCCCCAACCTTTCTGAATACACTCCACAGAGGACCGTTTATTTTTGTCCCTTGTCACATGTAGCATCTGGTACTGGCACAGCAATCCAGATGTGTTCTGACTAGTATATCATATGATTAAATGATTACATCTGTATGAATTGTTTATTGCTGCATAACATTAACAAAAATGTAGTGACTAAGGCACATTTATCATCTCTCAGTTTCTGTGGGTTGGGATTCCTGGCATGACTTAGCTAGGCCCTCTGCTTCATGGTCTTTTTTTTTTTTTTTTTTTTTGAGACGGAGTCTCGCTCTGTCGCCCAGGCCGGACTGCGGACTGCAGTGGCGCAATCTCGGCTCACTGCAAGCTCTGCTTCCCGGGTTCACGCCATTCTCCTGCCTCAGCCTCCCGAGTAGCTGGGACTACAGGCGCCTGCCACCGCACCCGGCTAATTTTTTGTATTTTTAGTAGAGACGGGGTTTCACCTTGTTAGCCAGGATGGTCTCGATCTCCTGACCTCGTGATCCACCCGCCTCGGCCTCCCAAAGTGCTGGGATTATAGGCGTGAGCCACTGCGCCCAGCTGCTTCATGGTCTTAAAAGGCTGTAATCAAGGTATCAGCTGGGGCAGCAGTCTGACATGAGGGTCGGCTGGAGCTCATGTGGTTCTTGGCAACACTCAGTTTCTTGCAGGCTGTGGAACTAAGGACTCAGGTTCTTGCTGGCTGTTGGCTGAAGCCACCCCCAGTTCCTTGCCTTCAGGCCTTCCCAACGTGGCTGCTTGCTTCCTCAAAGCCAGCAAGGGAGCAAGTCCACTAGCACAATGGCTGTTATCATTGTACACAATATACAGTTGACCTGTGAACAACACAACTTTGGAATTCACAAGTCCACTTAGATGTGGATTTTTTTTCAATTAAAGTTATACCAAATGTGCCTGTCTCTCCTGCCTCCCCTTCTGTCACCTCCATGTCTTCCACATCTGCCCCCCTTGAGATAGCAGGACCAAGCCCTCTTCCTCCTCCTCAGCCTACTCAACATGAAGATAAAGATGAAGACCTTTATGTTTCACTTCCACTTAATAATTAGTAACTACATTTTTCTTCCTCTTGATTTTCCTAATATTCTTTTTTTCTAGCTTACTTTATTGTAAGGATATAGTATATAATAAATATAACATATATATAGTTGGTAAGACTTCTGTTCAACAGTAGGCTATTAGTAGTTAAGTTTTGGGAGAGCCAAGAGTTTTATGGGAATTTTTGACTGTGCATGGGGTTGGTGCCCCAACCCCTGCATTGTTCAAGGGCCAGTTGTAATCTCAGAAGTGATATCTCATCACTTTTGCCATATTCTGTTGGTTAGAAGTTCCTGCTCCCACCCACACTGAAGGCGAAGGTTGTGAACAGCAGGAGGTGGGAATCACAGGGGTGAGCTTAGAGTCAACCCTCCTAATCTCTTTTGACTTCTAGTAGGTGATCTTATAGAAGTTTTTATTCAGCTAAAAACCACAAGTCTTTTTTTATGCAGCTTGCTGCATGCCACCTGTTCCCATCTTGAACGATCAATTAATAGAATCTAAGTACTGGACTTTATGTTTATAGCTATCACATTTTCCTGGTGTTAGGTTCAGCCAGTTGTTCATGCCTTATTAAATATTTTTGAATCCTGGTTCAGCCATCAGAATACTACACATCCCTTCTATTTCACGTCATCTGAAAAATGTAAGACATCCCTTCTGTCTTCCTTCAAGTAACTGATAAAAATCCTGAAGAGGATGATACCTAACATTATACAGAATATACATGTACACCTGCATCACATGTCTTATAGACATACACGTATGTATGTGCATGTGTATGTGTGCGCGCGCATGTGTGTGTTGAATGTGAGGGAGAGAGAGCATGAAAAAAACCTCATTCTGATACTCAAAACCTCCTTCTAGGGTGTGGTCAGGTGGATATGAATTGTTTAACAACATCTGAGCCACATTTCTCAGCCAGCTTCTCCTAGAAGCAGATAGTATAGCTCTTCAAAGCATGGTCTCTCTAGTCACACCAACCTGATACAGGATTCCAGCTGCCCCACTTTCTAGCTGTGCAACCTTGAACAACCAGTTTGTCAGTAAACTGGTTATAAACCTGATATTGCACACATGATATCAATAAAGGATAGCTTATTTTCTTGATGCCTGGCTAAAATCGACATATGCTGGAAGAGCAAAGGTTACTGCCCAGACGCTCTTCTCTGAATTCAGGATGTTGACAAGTTTTGTTTGACCCATCTTATTTAGTTTTTGTTTTAAATTTGAATTAAGTAATTTTTTGTAGAAATTTGAATTAGGTCATAGGATTAAGGTACTTTCACAGGAAATCCAGGTATTCTCCAGTTCCCTTAGTGAAATGAAAGCTACAGCAATACTGGGGTCCTGCACTGTGCATGGCAGCCTCTGGCAGAAGCTGAGCAGTCGCTGCTCTCTGTGGACAGGGCCTTGTCACATTCAGTCCTGCCTTCTTTCTCCCCAGCCCTCTCCCTCAGTCACCTGCCTGACTGCTTCTAGAAGAATTTTAATTTGCATTACCATTCTGCTCCAGGAAGGTAGAGTAAGGTAGGAGGAAAAGCAGAAATCTTGAAACTGAAGACGACTCTCTTCTACTTTTTAAAAAGGTTAGTTTAACATGACTTTTTATTTAATGAAGTCATGATAATTTGTCATTTACAAGGATCCTTCAGGTCTATATAGTTAATTAAACAAATATGTAAGGAGTGCCTACTTTATGTACTTTGATAAAAGGAATATAAAGTAAACAAAAATTTTAAAAAAGACATGACCTCTTTACTTATTAACACTTAGAGTCCAATGAAAGAAATAGACGTTTATCAAATTTTCACAGAAATAAATGTAAAGTTTCAACTGTGACAATTTTTACTAAGAAGCCTACAGTGCTATAATGGTATATTATGGTGATTGTGCCCCAATATGCAGGGGCTTGTCCTGAGAAAAGGATGTTTCAACTCAGAGATGAAAAATGAATCAGGAACTAATCAGGTGGAATGGGCACAGATGTCCAGGCTTTGGAAATACACGTGTAAAGGCCTTGTATCCACACCTAAATCTCATCTTGAATTGTAACTCCCACAATTCCCACGTGTCATGGGAGGAACCCAGTGGGAGGTGATGGAATTATGGGGGTGGGTAATATTTCTCGTAATAGTGAATGAGTCCCATGACATCTGATGGTTTAAAAAATGGGAGTTTCCCTACACAAGCTCTCTCTTTGCCGGCCACCATCCATATAAGATGTTACTTGCTCCTCCTTGCCTTCCGCCATGATTGTGAGACCTCCCCAGCCATGTGGAACTGTAAGTCCATTAAACCTCTTTTTCTTTCCAGTCTTGGGTATGTATTTATTAGCAGCATGAAAATGGACTAATACAGGGGTGTTCCCAGAAGACAACACCAGATCACTTAGAGTTGGCACACACACATGCATACCTCTGTATCTTTACACACACTCTCTTCTGTCTGGAGTGTCCTTCTCCTACTCATTTGCTTGACAAGCGCCCAGTCACTTTTGAAGTCTCAGTTTTAAGGCTTCATTTTCTTCAAGCTGTCCCTTCACCTCTTTTCCTGGGCCCCCACCGCGCTCATTACACCCCTCATTGAGCAGCCTTGTCATGCTGACTTTCTGTTTCACATGCTTGTCTCTTTGTCTCTCTCTCCAGACTGAGCAACTCCAAGGCAGACACTTTTTAAAAAAATCGTTTATCTTCTACACATAGGAAAGGGGTGGTCATGTTGTCATCACTCAGTACATTTCTGTTTATTACATGGATGGGAAAACATAATTAACAGTTGAACAACATGTATATAGTATAAAATGAAAAAGATACATAAGGATGGCCAGTGAAAAACGTGGGTCCCCTCCACCTCTGATTTCCAGCCACCCATTCCCCTTTCCAGAGACCACTGCTGTTACTAGTTTATTTGTTTGTTTATTTTTTAGGGATATCCTTTGCCTACTCTAGAAGTTATCTACATAGAGAAAATGAATATTTGATTCAAGTATGCAATTGGCATTTTTTAAGATTTCCATGCCAAAATTTGCTCTCTTTGGTCATTTCCATCTGTCCTTGGCCACTCTTATAATTTCCTCTTACTTGCATCTTTCCCCTTCCCCTTAATATACTCCATCCTTTCAACCTCTGCTTTTTCTATCACTGTACCCTCCTCTTAAAAAATTTCCTTCTTGGCCGGGTGCGGTGGCTCACACCCGTAGTCCTAGAACTTTGGGAGACTGAGGCAGGTGGATCACTTGAGCCCAGGAGTACAAACCTGGGCAACACAGTGGGACCCCATCTCTATAAAAAATAAAAAATTTAGTAGAATAGGGTGGAGTGTGCCTGTCATCCCAGCTACTCGAGAGGCTGAGATGGGAGGATCACTTGAGCCTGGGAGATTGAGGCTGCAGTGAGCCATGGTCACACCACTGTTCAGCCTGGACAACAGAATGAAATCCTATCTCGAAAAATAAAACAATTCCTTCTCACCATCACCCATGAGGCCACTGGATCCTGAAACCTTTCTCCTCGCCTTCCACCTGCCCTGTCTGCAGCACATTCGTTGTACTGTCGGGGGCAGTGCAAGCTCCAGGTGGCTCCTCTGCATTTCCACCTGATTATCGTTTTTCCAGGTGGAGAGTGCACAGTCAGGATCAGAATTAGGCGGTTCTGCTTTCTCTCTCTGGCTCTTCTGGGAACTTCATACCATCTGTTCCAGAGCAGGGTGTATAATATTGCAGCTGAGTTCTGCTGAGCCACTTCACAGGTTTCTTTTAGGACTTCTCACTAAGGAGCTAGAAAAAAATCTTCCAGATCCGAAAGTAGTACAGCTGTGAAGCAATCATTATTTTAGAGATGTTATATGTGTGGACTTTCAGAGTTGCAGCTTAAAAATAATCAGTTATTAGGTTGTTCTGAAGTCCCTTAGAATCCACAGCTGAGTCCATTTAAAATCCACATCGCCACTGTAGTCCTGCCCCTAAAACTTAAAGCCTTGAAGTGGGAATCTGGTGCTTCCCATATCATTTCATTAGGACACAACTTGTGTGAGCCAGTTTTGTGTCCCATAGGCCAGAATTCCTCTGTGCTGTAGTCTTTGTTAGAGACCTCTCGGTCCCCTTGACCCAGGAAGAACCGTTAGCAGGTCTTGTTGTACTTAAATCACAGGTGTTCAGGGAAAAGCCCATGGACTCCTGTTGAGCAGCTCTGAGGCCTGTGCAAAAGCAAAGACTAGAAAGTGAGAGAATTGGTGGAACTAGTGATAGTTTAGAAAGATAAGTAAATATTTCTGACAAACACTAGTTTGTTAGAGTTACTCTGAGCTCTAGAAGTTTAGAATTTGCTTTTCTCCTGTTATTTGGAGTAGATATTTTCACAGCGAGGCCCTCTTTTTCTCAGTATCTTCTCTGCCCGACAGAGGCTGACATAACGGGCAGAACCTGGGCCACACCTGCCAGGGCAGAGGCACACCTGGAGGAGTGAGTATGGGGCCATCATTACCTCTTAGTTCCTCAGGGTCAGGGGTGTAGACCTCCACGGATAAGATGAGCTTGTCCTTTTTTTTTTTTTTTTAACAGATGTTAAATAGTCTAAGAAATCACAGAAAAGACTTCTGGCAACTGTATATTTCTGAACAGAGGGACGTGAGACCATTTTGTAGCTTGCATTTTGGCATTTGCTATTTGTTACCATATGTGTGCTGAAGAGTTCCAAATGTTTTTCTCCCTCTGAAATTCCTCTCCCAAGATTCAGACCTGTATTTCCAGCTGCCCAATCTTGACCTGCAGGCATTTCTAACATTTAATAGATCCAGAATGAAACTCATTGCCCTCAGCCCCCAAACTTGCTTTATGTCTGGCATTCTTGATTTCAGCTAATAACTTCTTCCCTATATAAGTGGATTTTAAACAGCAGAATATACATTTTACATCATGACTCACTATGCACACACACAAAGATGTAACTTGAACAACAGTTTCATAAAACAATATGTATCTTTACATTTATGTTGCCCTCTGATATCTTCTCTTGAATTCCATCTTTTGAAAAGTGCCGATGTCAACTCCCTTGATGAATTTTACTTACAATCCCCCAACCAGTCATGTGACTTGCAATTTGTGAAAACCTTAAACAGATATAAAATGCAGTCTCCTTGAATTCAGCGTCTGGCCTCTGCTTCCTTCCCATCCTGTAGCCCAACCTGCAGTCTAGCCACAGTGTTATCCAGACACACCATTCATTCATTCAGTCAGTCAACATTTACTGGGTGCATATCTGGTGCCGGGCACATGGTGCACTAAGTATCCAGAGATCAACATCATCCACTCTGAGGACCACAATGCGTAGACAGATGAGTAATCTAGCAATTACCGGGTAGTGGTTAGGTTCTAAATAGAAGTTTGCATAAAGCACTCAGACATCACAAAAAGGTAGCATGTAACTTGGACCAGAGAGTCCAGAAGGTCTTTCAGGAAAAAGTGACCCTTGTACTGAAGCTACAAATAGAGGTAGGAGTTCAGCTGGCAAAATTAGGGCAGAGCGTTAGGGAAGAGAATTCACTATGAGAAGACACGGGGGCTGAGCATCGTGTTAATTTGGAGAGCTGAAAGTGTTCTGATATAAGCCTCTCCTTATAACCGTATACTCTACTGTCACTCCCACCCTTTCTTTACTTGGCAAACCATGACTCAGTGTTCCCTCTCCCACTAAACCACCCTCTCCCGGTAGCATTTCTCCCTGCACCCAGGGAGACTCAAGCCTCCCTTCTTTAGGCTCTGACCTCACTCTCCCATACCATCAGCTTTGTTTTGTTGAAGGCCATTCATCACCACCCCTGTTCATCTGCATCACTAGACCAGGAGCACTTCAAGGCAGAGTCCAAGTCCTTACATCTTCTGTGAGGAGTACAATAAGTGTTAGCCAAATAAAGAGCTGAACCAATAAAAGAAACAGGAGATGGACAAGCCACAGACACAAGTTTAGGGTAAATCTGCTTAAATGGATGTGTAGAAGACTTTTCAGTATATCACAGATGGAAAGGGGCTTCAAGTGTCATGAACCTGCTTATTTACAGAGCTGGGGACCACATTTTAAGTGTTCGTGGCACCTCAGTTGCAATTTTCTTTTTGTTTCATTTGCAAAAGATAATTTTTGACTTTTAGAAAACATTCTTTTTCTTCTAACTTAAATGTGTCTTGTTAATGGAACTTGTTAGTGAATTAATAGAAATGAAAATCTGGCATCAGAGACCATACATACTCTCCTTAGTGCACAGGTAGCCAGTCATTGCTAATCATACATTAAACCCAAACAATTTTTTCCAAAATGGCTTTTACAGGAAGCAAAATTAATTTTTAATTATTCTTTTCCTTTGCCCACTTTCTGCCCACTTTGCCTTTTCTGTGTAAATGGTTCAGGGTTGTAAGCAGGACAGTTTGAGGTCTGGAATCTCAATAGTTAAGCCTATAATTGAAAAAGAAAAGTCTAATGTATTTGTTTCTTTCCTGGTAATTTTTATGGTATGACCATAATATATCATAATCACTTTGAAACAGAACACTGGATATGGATGAGGATAATGCCTACAAAAAAGTTTTGCTAACGCAAGCATTGTAGAAACAGAGGCAGCCAGGAAAACAATTGTACTTTATTAGGAGCAAGAGAACAGGGCTCAGATTCTGGCTGGACTTTTCATTGTTTATAAAACTTCCATAGGGTCTGTTTTCACATGTGACAGATTGGCTGTGTTCAAATTGTGCTTTTGAGCTGACATTTCCTCCCTTTGTTGCTAAAGTTTAGTACTGTTGAACTCCTTTGTCCTTGATGCAAATTTTAGTGAGAACAAAGTGGAGCATTTCCAGATTAGCTGTATGTGCTGCCTGCAAACTTAATTGTCTCCTCTTGAAATAATGGTTGGAATTATTGAAAAGAAAGGGAGAAATGCCTTTTGCAGACACTGTTATCATAATCGTTTATGTCAGAGACAATGCTTTTGTCTCTTTTCTCATGTTACAACTCTTCAGCCCTCTTGCCTGCCTCCTTCCCCTTCGTCATCCAGCCCATCAATAATGTGACCTAGTTTGTGTAGATCTATCTATTGATGTTAGTATTAATTAGTGCTGGAAAAAGTAACCAAGTATGAGTCTTAAAAGAATTTTTATTTTCTCATTTGTTGATGCTGGATTCATGTTTCAGCCAGGAACATAAATACATGTATTTAATCCTGATTCACCAGAGTAGGAAGCAGGGAGTTTGGCACTTACTGTATATGTGCCACTCTGACATCACTGCCATGTCACCCACTAGTAAATAAATGCATGAACAATTTGAGCCCTGTATTACCTTATTGCCTAGTAGTGCCTACAAATCCTCGGATAAAGTGAATATGCTTCATTTCCTCTGTTGACAAAGAGTCAAACTCTGTAAAATATTTGAGGAGATTTATTCTGAGCCAAATATAAGTGACCAATGGCCCATGACACAGCCCTCAGGAGATCTTGAGAACATGTGCCCAAGGTTGTCAGGCTGCAGCTGGGTTTTATGCATTTTAGCGAAACATGCGACATCAATCAATACATGTAAGATGTATATTGGTTCAGTCCAGAAAGGCAGGACAACTGGACGTGGGAGCTTCTAGGTCATAGGTGGATTCAAGGATTTTCTGATTGGCAATTGCTTGGAAGAGTTATTACCTAAAGACCTGGAATCAATAGAAAGGAATGTCTGGGTTACCAAAAGGGGTTACCAAAAGGGTGGAGACCAAGGCTTTATCATGCGGATGAAGCCTCCAGGTAGCAGGCTTCAGAGACAATAGAATGTAAATGTTTCTTACATTTACAGACTTACAAAGTCTGTCCTATCAGTCTTAAGGCCTGTGTTGATGTTTCTGCTGGTCAGCTGTGCCTAAATTCCAGAAAGGAGGCAGGTATAATGAGGTATGTCCAGCTCCCCTTCCCCATCATGGCCTGAGCTGGTTTTTCAGGTTAACTTGAGAATGCCTTTGGCTGAGAGGAGGGGTCCGTTCAGATGGTTGAAGGGCTTATAATTTTATTTTTGGTTTACACCTCTCATAATATCTAGTGGTCCTTCTTCTCCTCTGCTGGTTTCCAGCTTTATCTCTTGCCCTTTCTAACCTGTTTGTCTATCCATTTATCCAATATAGTTGGAATGACACCATCTGGCACTCCCTTGAACATACAGTCCCTGTGGAAGAAGTGGGCAGTCTGAATTTTCCCACATGGCTGGAGCCTCCCTGATCCGAACAGACCCAGTTTTCTGCGGGTTCTTTGAGTAATACCTAATACTGACATAGTGCTATGTGCCAGGTAGCGTTCTCCACACAATTGAGGTAGATGCTGTTAACACCCTCCAGTTTACAGATGAGGAAATTGGAGCTCAGTGGGGTTATTTCTCAGCCCAAGCTTACATGGCTGGTAAATAGGGGAGCAAGGATTTGAACTCAAGGTGTCTTCAGAGCCTGGCCTCTTAACCCTGAATCTCCCCTTTCTAGGTTCTTAACCCTGAAACTCTGTTCTCAGTCAGTGATTTGCCATGATCATTGAGTGTAAGAGCCATAGATCATGGAACAGAATGTTCCAATGGAATGTGCCCAGTTACATGTGAGCTGAAATTGCCCATTAGTTCCTTTCCCCAGATCAAACATTGTAGTGATAGAAAAATAGATGGAGAAAGAAGGTAGACATATGGATAGAAAAAGGAAAACATGTAGAAAGAACATTATTTTGGCAAAAGGAAACTGTAAATCACGTAATTACAGATTTTAACTGTAATGAGAGAATTTGAGCATTCTAAGCTGTCGACCCTGCCTCTTTGAAACATTATGATGCTCAGACAGAGGATGTGGGGTAGAAATGGAAGAATTGTTGGAACTGTTAAATGATGAGACATGTGATACTGGAGTGAAAGACAAAAGCTCATGAAAGAATCATGAGGGACACATACAAACTTCATTCAGCAGCATGAAGATGACAGCTCATTGTTTGATTCCTTAGCCTACTTATTAAGTTTGGACTTGATAAAATATAGCAGATTTAACTTGTCTTACCACATTCAGCTGTATTTGTTATAACACAGAGATTCATCTTGGGTGGCTCTTTAGCTGGGTTTGTTTTTACTGAAATAAAATCTCTGGCATACGATAATGGAAAAAAAAATACCAGAGTTTCATAATATGTAGTGTACTATTTTTCTACACTTGAGAATTTTGAGTGCTTTGGAAATAATAAGGCTGTTTCCACAATCTCCTACTCTCCACTAGGTTCTTGGAACACCAAATGAGGACACATGGCCTGGAGTTCATTCTTTACCACATTTTAAGCCAGGTATGTTTCATTAATTACAGATGACTAGGTGCTTCCTATATGCAAAAGGTGAGTATATAAATGTTCCCTCTCAAGCAATATACCACCTTGAAAAATTCTGGTTACTTTTGCCATTGTGTACTTTGTCTATTAATGGAATTGTCCTTTTATTTTCACAAATTATTTGTCTGTGAAGACAGAGTTAAAGACATCCCTGATGATTTTCACCATATATACTTTATTTTATTTGACTGGTTGATCTTGCAGTAACCATTAATTTCATCATCAGTTAGACTAGCATCCATGTCTATAAAAACAAAATTTAAATTGGGTTGCTGTAATCCATCTGTGTCACTTCTTGTAGTAAGTGACCAGGAAAAGTATTAAATTGTAAAAAGGAAAAATCATATTTTTATTTTTTTACAAAACTAGTAAATATATGGTCTATAATTTGAGTTTAAACATGTAAGATGCTCTGAATGTTCTATTGTACAGCATTCAATATGTTTTCATGTAAAATATTTAAACCTGAACACTGAAAAATCTGAAAGAAATGTGAACTTTTAAAGTAAGTTGTCCTTTTTTTTCACCAGTAGGTGTCAGGCGTGAAACTTTGTTTTAATAATTACACTTAACAGATGAATCTCAAATATGGTCTGATTTTTATAAGAGAAGGGAAAGGTTTGGAATTGAAAATTTAATAAAATCAGTAGAATGAATTATTGTAAAATGATTCTCTTGCTGGTTGTTGTGTTTTTTTTTCTTTTCTCAGTTATAAAACATGGCTTACAAAATGCAGACCCACCATAAAATTACTGAAAGGGATTTTATAGAAGCTCTAATAGTCTATTATCCTATGAGGGAAAAGAGCTATGAATAATATCTGTTAGAGGAGCCAAGTGTATTATTTTGCTTCTCTTCCCCTCTTTTGGGGAACCATCAGGAATAAATTATCAGTTCCAAAGAATGACTGAGTTGGGAAACTATTTTTACTCTTAATATTTTTCTTCTGAAAGTGCGCAGTGTGTTCAGAATTCTTTTATCTTCTTCAGCTGCCCTAAAGACTCTTTGTACTTTTACTGGAAATTCTAAATAACTTCTATGTTCTGAAAGACTATAGAAACCTAACAATTTTAAATGGACTGACTTTCTTTTTTAAGCAACTAAGAGGCATCCTCTAACTGATCCACGTGTTCTTAATGGAGTGAAGAACACAGTTCCTTATAAACGATCCAATTGTGGGCTCTTAAAGAAGGTTAACTTCCCTGTGTTAGGACCTAAAATTTATGTCCTAGGCAAATGAAACAGGAGACTTTAAAAAGATTTGAAATGAATAAAGTTAGATGCAAAAAGGAACAATTAAGGTGAAATCATTTGGCCAGCCTAGTTTCTGGATTAGAAAACATGGAGTAATTTATGTGTTTTGGTGGGAATAGAATTTATCTTCATCAACAACATACAAAAGCATTTATTAGTTGTATTTTGGAAAGTACGAGGATGTGGTACCCATTAAGCTAACAGATTGTGAACTTCATGACACCAGGGACTGTTCATTGTACATATGTGGTGTTCAATAAATGTGTGTTGCACTTGATCGTATTGAATGTTAAAACAGACATTATGTATGTGACTCCTCTGGTGGGCATATACAAACTAGAATATTTATGTTTAAGTTATTAACATTATGTGTAAGCCCCACAACAGACACATAATGCATAGAAGGTAATGGGGAAACAGAAAAGTAACATATGAAGATGGTGGAAAGCATGGGTGGTGATGAGCAAGATGGTTATTCCAGGCAAAGCTCAGGGCTGTGAACCACAGCACATAAGTGTTTCCTGAGTTTGCTTGAGAGGAGTCAAGAGGAGACACAACAACAGACTGAGTCAAAGGAAACAAATTTCCAAGTCCTTCCAAGCAGCACTTACCAGACCATCCAGGGGAGCCCCAGTCCCTGACCTCATAGATCTCATAGTCCTGGGGAAGAAAATATACAAGCCCAAAAAGGAAAATATCAGTGCTAGGGTCCGCCTGTCCCAACTCCACTCTCCAGCTCCTTGATTTACCCCGAAGTGTGCCCTAGAGAATCTGGAAAAGGTAATCTGAGACATAAGGACAAACTTTGTTTAATTTTCTAATAGATAATAAATTTAAGCAATTAAAAATATCAAGCAATAGGAACAAGGAGCGTAGTGCAGAGCCACCTCCCCTCTGCCAACTTCCCCTGAACCACTGACCCCACCACAGGCCCTCAGCATATTCTTATATTTCTTTCCTTTATGTAAATGTAAGAAATTAATATTAATTTTTAGTTTTCTCATATTAAACACAATTCCTCATCTTGTTTTTCTCATTAATGCATCTCATTGATCTTCTCATGTCACTGCAAGGAGGAGGCCAATGTGGTGTCCCTCTTGTCTCGTAGAGCACCATTGTTTTCTGGATTTAACCCATTCACTAATTAGGGACAGTTGGGTTGTTTCCAGTGCTTTGCTATTATAAATATTAATGCATTGAGTACCCTTGTGCCTATACATACACATACACATTGCATATATGTAAATATCTCTGAAGGATAAGTTAGGAGAAATAAGGATAAAGAGCCAACAAGTATAGACAATTATAATTTTGACCACTTTCATCAAACTGTTGTCCAAAGGGGTAGTATCTGTTGTCTCTGTTGCCAGAATACAGGAGAATACTTCTTCCCACAGCTGCTTCTCCTCTCTATGCTATGTGACCAAACTTTTGGATTTTGCCAGTTAGATGACAAAAGGAATTTCAGTAAAGTTTTAATTTGCATGTGTCTTGTGATGAGGTTGAGCATCTTTTGATATGTTTCAGGATCATTTGTATTTCCTTTTCTCTGAATTCTTTTTATCTTTTGGCCAATTTACAGTTGAGTTGTGTTTTTTTAAACCTATTTCTAGAAGTTCTTTATATTTTATTTTATTATTTTATTTTTAGCGATGCTGCCCAGGTGGGACTGCAGTGGTGCGATTACAACTCACTGCAGCCTCGACCTTCCAGGTTCAAGTGATCCTCCCTGCTCAGCCTCTCAGGTAGCTGGGACTAACTATAGGTGATGCCACTATGTCTGGCTATTTTTTTTTTTAATATTTTGTAGAGATAGGGGTCTTGCTATGTTGCCAGGGATGGTCTCGAACTCTGGGCTCAAGCAGTCCTCCCACCTCCGCCTCCCAAAGTGCTGGGATTACAGGCGTGAGCCGCCATGCCTGGCTGAGTTCTTTATATTTAAGGGAAATTATCCCTTTGTCCATGAAAACTTTTGCTTCTTTGAGATTTGAAAAATGATCCTTTCTAATTTTTAAGCAATTTTGAAAATAATCCTTGTCTTATGCTCTCTTGTCTTCCTTGACTTGCCTAACTGAATAAGTTTTGCCTTGAAAAGAAAAGCCCATGGTGTTTTTAGAATAGTGGAGTTATGATTTAAAAACAAAAAATAGAGACAAAGTCTTGTTATTTTGGCCAGGCCAGTCTTGAACTCTTGATCTCAAGTGATTCTCCTACCTCAGCCTCCTAAAGTGCTGGGATTACAGGTATGAACCACTGTGCCTGACCACAATTTTTTTAAAGACCAATTTCTGTTATAGGTGTATGTACAAATTCATATATGTGTATCTGTGTAAGAAAAACCAGTTTGGGTTTTCAAATGTATTGCTTTATGGCTATGATCTAGGCCATGAATAAATCTCTTGGTTTTAACATATGCTAACCTAATTTCCCAGTAGTTATTTTTTAAATAACTTATTTTTTAGTTAATGTCTATGAAATAAGTTAAATACACTTATTATTTCAGCAATATTTCCTGAGCACCACTTATATGTCTAGGGACTGGAGATGTTGCATTGAACAAAAAGCAAATGATCCTTACAGGGAGAGACATATAGTAAGTGAAATATATCATATATTGGGTGGTGATAAGTACTGTGGAGGAAAATAGAGCAAGAAACTGGTTCAGGAAGTTCTGAGAAAGGGGAGGGGGTGATTTACAGTTTAAATAGGGTAATCAAGGAAGGCCTCCCTGAAAAGAAGACATTTGACTGAAGAATATGAGAGACAGAGCCAAGAAGATATTTGAGGGAAGAACTCTTCAGGCAGAGACAAGAGCAAGTACCAATGCCCTGAATGGGGAGGAGTGGAGGGCTGATAATGAAGTCATAGACGACGTGGGGCCTTGAGGGATACCCTGAGTCCTTTACCATTGATCTGAGTGAGATAGAAAGCTCTAGAAGATTTTGAACAAGGCAGCACAGGAGCTGGTTTATGTTTTAGTAAGACCACCCCAGCTATTATACTGAGAATTGGGGGCCAGAGAAGAAGCAGGGGGACCCCTTAGGAGGCTATAACAGGAATCCAGGGGAGAGGCGATGAAATGTACTGTGAATAAAATGACCTCCCTTTTTCAATTCCTATGATTATCCCAGAACTCAACATGGTTTTCCCTTGGAAAAAAAAAATATATAACAAAAATGGAGAAACATTTTTAAAATAATTATTGAAATAGTGAAAGAACAATTAGTTAAAAACTGAACTTTATTCTTTACTATATAACCTGTATATCTTCTTCTGTGCTTACACAAAACTTAAGCTCAGCATATTCCCATAGCAACCAGGCAACTACAACAGGTCACAATGGTATTATATATTATAAAGTATGTGCATGTTACATACAATAAGGAGTCTGTGTAAGTCTCATTTGTGTTGCTATAAAGGAATTCATGAGACTAAGTAATTTACAAAGAAAAGAGATTCAGTTGGCTCCAGGATCTGCAGGCTGTACAAGAAGCATGACACCAGCATCTGCTTCTGGTGGGGGCCTCAAGAAGCTTCCAATCAGGAGAAGGTGAAGGGGGAGCATGCATGTCACATGGTAAAAGAGGGAGCGAAAGAGAAGAGAGGACTTCCCTAAAGTTAGTGTCAGAGGTGAAAGTAGATCCCATGTCTCCGTGGGTCTTAGTTGAGTGTGCTTTTGCTTTTACTTTTGTTTTCCAGCCTCCATTATGAAATAGCATTCTACTGAATGTGCATCACAATTTCTCATTGTCCTTCTAAAGAACAGTTTACTGGCAATTAGACTATTTTAAAAAGCAGAAAAGTAGAGAAGATCTGATCTCTGGGAAAATATGTACAGTAATACACACAAATATTAAAATATTACACCAATACAAGGCTCTTTTTAACAACCAGATCTCTCACCTGAATTAATAGAGCAAGAACTCACTCATTATCCTGGAGAAGACACTGAGTTATTCATGAGGGATCTGCCCCTATGACCCAAACACTTCCCACCAGGCCTCACCTCCAACATTGGGGATCACATTTCAACATGAGATTTGGAAGGGACAGACATCCAAACTATATCAGAGTCTAACCTTGGAAGCTGCTATTTTTCCATCATTTACTTCTATTTAAATTTCTCTTAAAAGAAATGGAAAATGGGCTTGTTTCTTTTTTGAACCTGATTACCTTCCTGTTTCTTTTCCCTTACCCTCAGGGTTCTGTGGTTAATGGTCTTTTAAAAGTAGGTCTCCTTGTGTCTCCCTCACTCTCTCATTCCAGAGTGTTTCCTTTTGTCACTGTGTTCAGGATACTTGCTGTGGGAAAGTCTTGAGGTGAGAGATTGTGCTGTGGTGTTCTCAGTATTTCAGTAATTCCATAACTTGGTGTGAGATTCATCACAGGCAAACCCATGCTCTAACACAAAGTGAGAGTCCACTGTAAAAATAAATCATATTCCTTTTCATGGGTTCATAGTTATTCACTAACAGGAGGCTTTTGCATAAGGCTCTCTGCTATAAATTCCTCCTGGGATAATGAGAGGCTCCCCTATGTGAATCCCAGGATCACTTTCTTCTACCAGGTTTACCCCCTGCTACATCCCATCGACAGGTGCTGTGGTTCATATGTCTCTGCTAAAGTGACAGTGCAATTTTTTTGTTGCTGTTATAAGACAGACTTATCATTTTTAAAAGATGCATCTTGCATGCATGTTTGAGGGGTTGTTTAAGCTTCATAGAATTGTGGTAACCCCAGATCAGGGCGGAATACACGTAGACATTTGAGGTTCTCCAGACCAGTAGAATCAGAGTAATGGATGAAGAGTTCTGTCAAGGCTTTGTAATTTCTAGCTGTCAAAGAGTACCCTGGGGCTGCATGAGCTGAGAGTGCGAGTGGTGTTTGATTGTGCCTTAAGCAAAGTGAATGTTTGAGCTAGAGGGAACCCCAGGGAGCATCTAGTCTGGCTTTCTTCTTGTGAAGTTAGGAACCTGAGGTCCAGAGATGTTAAAGAACTTCCCTAACATTAGTGTCAGAGGTGGAAGTAGATTCCAGGTCTCCCTGGGTCTCACTTCCTGAGTGTGTTTGTGTTTTTGTTTTCCAGCTTTCATTATGAAATAGCATTCTACTGAATGTGTATTACAATTTCTCATTGCCCTGCTAAAGAACAGTTTACTGACAATTAGACTATTTTAAAAAGCAGAGAAGTAGGGAGGATCTGATCTCTGTATTTGGTAAAATATCTACACAAAACCACCAATAACACTTCGTATAAAATGGTTTAGCACTGAAATAATGTGTAGATTCCATGTATGATACTTTCATCTCTCAAATGCTTCCAACAAAAGGGAAAGGTACATTCAAAAACTATTTAATGGATTATTCAGATGCTCAAAAAGGAATACACTGTGAAGTTCAGTGAGGAAAAAAATGCTGCTAGACCAGAAGCAATTAAAAGTGATGAAATTTAGAATAAAATAATTATATTTTCCAAAATCAAGCAAGAGAATAGAGCATTTCTAAAGTGGTTATATTACTTCTAAGGAAAAGTTAGCCAATGGAAAAGACTATTTGATTCAGGAAACTTTGAAGAAAATGGACTGTCTCCCAACGAATGAAATAATATAAAGAATTTGCCATTGGAGGCAATTGGGGAATGGTGATATTTTAAACACACTCTGCTAAAAACTAATCCTACAGACACATTGACCTTAAAGGGAATGTTTACATACGGACTTAGCTGTATCAAGGCTTTGTAATGAGGCAAAAAAAAAAGCCGTCTCTTTAAGTCCTTCCTCTTCTCTGGCCTGACTGGGACCCCAAAACCAAACAGGTCCACACTTTTTTGTTCCAGAGGGAGGAAGTAAATCATTTCAGAAATAAAATACTATGGTGATAACACCTTACGTTTTATGCTATATTTTATTATTTACAAAGCATTTTAATATATTATCTCATTTGATAGTTAGAATAACTGCATTATAATAATGCTTTTTTCCTAATATTGTTATCCCATTTACAGATGAAGAAACTGGGAAATTGAGGCTCAGAGAGATAGTGTGGTTTGCCCAGAGATCTCATCCCTCCAGGCTGTAGCAGAGCCAAAACTCAAACCCAGGTCTTTCAACTCTAAGCCATTCTCAGTGATGCCTCCTCCTCTCTTTAAGAGAGCTTCCCTGCCCACAGACCTAGACCTACGAAGGAGAATTGTCAGGCTCTTCCCAACTCTGTCTTGTGGCATCTTGGAAAAGACCTCTGTCTTCTTGTACATACCAGATCCACCCTCCACTTGCTAGGTATGGGCATATTCTTCCGCCCTTTAAACCTATGCCTCCAATAAATCATCAGCTCCAAAATCTCCTCTGCAGATGTTTAGTCTCAGATGTGTAGTCCTTAACACATACTATCGGAACTGCCCACTTTCCTCATTTGCAGATGTGAGGATGTTTGAACCCTTAGCCTTTATTGACATTCTTGGCTTTTCCTGAGTCTTTTAGAAGGTGATAGAAAAGCTGTGGATGCAGCAGAAATTGTTGTCGGGGTGGGATATTCCATGCAGGAAGACTGCGGGGGGGCTCTTTGTGCCATGATGTTGCCCTGCACAGACCACACCTGCAGTGAGGGGAGGCCTGTGAAGTGCTGAGATACCTTCCTTACTCTTCTAGAAGAGTCATGTCTGCTCCATCCAGCCTACAGACTTGCTACGTAAATTAAATGAGATAAACTATTTTTACATTCCCTTCAATATTTGTTATTTATACTCTACCTATTTTTAAGCAGATTTGAGCTAGCTGACATAATTGATATAAAAGTACTTTTAAACTGTTAGGGGCATGTAACTGCAAAATAATTTTTTTTTTTTTTTTTTTTTTTACCATTTATATACCATGTGCTCTGCCTGCTATCTCCTTTCCCACTTACTCTTTACACTTTACCTCAGGAATTTTAAATTATTTTTATGATTGATAGCAACTATAATGATTATGGGTTAGGTCTAGGTGTATGGGCTGTAACTATGTGATGGTTATTAAAATGGACTTTAAAAATTATTACGTAAATATCTGCTTTTTATCTCAGATTTTATTGCTAAAAGCCTTGTGGGTCTGCTTGACACAAGCCTTAGGGTATTTAGAGCTCTCCCCACCCACCATCAGCTATCACCTTTGTGAACTTTGCTGTCCCTCCTCCCACAAATAAATGCTGCTTTAATCACATAGTGAAAAAGCCAGTTAATTACTAAATTTATGAACTATGTGAACATTATAAAGCTAAGGAAGTAAAATATGTAAACATGACAGGAAGGGCAGACTGCACTTTCTGGTTGAGCCAGCCATACTGGGAGGTCACTGGTGGTTGCTGGAGAGCAGATGCTAAAGTTGAGAGTCGGTGTTTGCATCAGCAGTAACTGCTTTACATCTGCTTATGAGCTTGGATTCCTGTTGAGTGCTTACTAGGTGCCAGGCAGTATTGTGGGTGCTAAAGATGCAGTTTGAACAAAGCGGATGAATCCTTTTTCTTGCAGAGCTCACATGCTAGAGAGGGGACTAATAATAGACAAATTACAACTTACCATGCCTGTGAGCACAGGGACAGCGGCAAGAAACAATTCAGGGGGGCAGGTCCTTGGAAAGCCAAGGTGAAGAGTCAGGATTTTACTTGAAGTGTGAGTGGAATCATCGGAGGGTTTTGAAGAGAGGAAGAAATCAATGCTTTATGTTTTCAGAAAGACCTACAGGCTACAAAAAGTCACGGACTCATTTCAGAGCTGGAAAGAGGTTTCATCTGAAGTGTGAAATCCTCTTGATTGGTCATTTCTGCCTGCAGCCCTGGGTCAAGAAGGGTCTATAAAAGCGAGTACTAACTCACAGGGAAATTATTCTCCTACCAGTTAGCAGTGATGCCAGAGACACAAAGGATATTTTTCCTCATAGGTCCATAGCTGACCAGGGATTTGTTATAAAATAAATCGTAGATATGGCCAACGATATGAAATAAAAATAAAAAAGAAACAACCAAAAACCTTGATAATCACTTAAAAATGTAAAATTAGCAATTCATTTCCCCTACAATAGGTAGGTTAAGAAGGGAAATCCCTGTAGGAATGTTGTAAACCCATTTCAGTACAAAGGAGGGACAATCTGTACTTTGTCTGGATGTACTTGAAGAATTTCACATTTATTTTCACTAGAGGGCATCAGTAATGATGGAGACTAGCAGAATGTCTAGAAAATGCCAGAAAAAAAAGTAGTAAGATTAAATTTTCAAGGGAAAATGAAGTTCTACTGATAGCAGACTTATTTTTAAAAATCCCAAATAAACTGGTTTTATTAGTTCTACTCGCTGGAATTTTGTAAAATTTATTTTGGGAGTTATTCACACCTCATATCGCTAAAGTTGATATAGAGGGCCAATCACCATATAAAGACTTCTTTACCTCTTCAGTAATTCCAACCCACCTAAGAGTATTAAAAGTCTTGTATACTGTCCAATTTGTATAATTTGGTTAAAGTCATATTGAAGAAAAGAATTTAACTTTTAGCCTAAGAATTTATAGCAGAATTAAATGAAGACAGGGACGATTTACTTGATACTGAAAGAACTGTCATCTCTTTTAAAATAAAACATTTGGTTGAGTTGTTATATACCAGTGGCATTTCCATAAACTGGCCGTACACTTTTAATTGCCTTCCTAAGTTTGTAACCTAATGTTTTATGTTTATCCTTCCCACAAATTAATGCCGGCAAGTATATAACTAGGAATCTATGCATTGTATAAAGTCCTCCATAACTCCTCACCCTGAACTTTTAGGTCCCTTTCCAAAAACTTTTAAAAATCAAGATCTTAGGAAGGGAGATGAGGGGATTGGAAGTTTGGATGTAAAACAAGAAAACGTTGTCCCTCGTCTTCAAGGTGGGTGTTGACCACAGTACCTTGAGTAGGACACTGTATCTTTAGGGAAGAAGTGGGACTTCACTAAGCCAAAAGCTTGCACAGCTGTCCAGTTTGACCGGGGATTCCACACCACTATGAGAGATTCGTGACTAAGTGGTTGACCCAAGGGTAGGATGAAGATTTTCTCTCTTAGGTGCCTGGAAATATTGGAAGCACAGAGAACAGCATGGTGTTCGGTAATCTGAATATTCATATAAATTTTTCAGCATGTGAAAATTCTTTTTTTTTAATTATACTTTAACTTTTAGGGTACATGTGCACAATGTGCAGGTTGGTTACATATGTATACATGTGCCATGTTGGTGTGCTGCACCCATTAACTCATCATTTAACATTAGGAATATCTCCTAATGCTATCCCTCCCGCCTCCCCCCACCCCACAACAGGCCCCGGCGTGTGATGTTCCCCTTCCTGTGTCCATGTGTTCTCATTGTTCAATTCCCACCTATGAGTGAGAACATGCAGTGTTTGGTTTTTTGTCTTTGCGATAGTTTGCTGAGAATGATGGTTTCCAGCTTCATCCATGTCCCTACAAAGGACGTGAACTCATCATTTTTTATGGCTGCATAGTATTCCATGCTATATATGTGCCACATTTTCTTAATCCAGTCTATCATTGTTGGACATTTGGGTTGGTTCCAAGTCTTTGCTATTGTGAATAGTGCCACAATAAACATACGTGTGTACGTGTCTTTATAGCAGCATGATTTATAGTCCTTTGGGTATATACCCAGTAATGGGATGGCTGGGTCAAATGGTATTTCTAGTTCCAGATCCCTGAGGAATTGCCACACTGACTTCCACAATGGTTAAACTAGTTTACAGTCCCACCAACAGTGTAAAAGTGTTCCTATTTCTCCACATCCTCTCCAGCACCTGTTGTTTCCTGACTTTTTAGTGATTGCCATTCTAACTGGTGTGAGATGGTATCTCATTGTGGTTTTGATTTGCATTTCTCTGATGGCCAGTGATGATGAGCATTTTTTCATGTGCCTTTTGGCTGCATAAATGTCTTCTTTTGAGAAGTGTCTGTTCATATCCTTCGCCCACTTGTTGATGGGGTTGTTTTTTTCTTGTAAATTTGTTTGAGTTCATTGTAGATTCTGGATATTAGCCCTTTGTCAGATGAGTAGATTGCAAAAATTTTCTCCGATGCTGTAGGTTGCCTGTTCACTCTGATGGGAGTTTCTTTTGCTGTGCAGAAGCTCTTTAGTTTAATTAGATCCCATTTGTCAATTTTGGCTTTTGTTGCCATTGCTTTTGGTGTTTTAGACATGAAGTCCTTGCCCATGCCTATGTCCTGAATGGTATTGCCTAGGTTTTCTTCTGGGGTTTTTATGGTTTTAGGTCTAATGGTTAAGTCTTTAATCCATCTTGAATTAATTTTTGTATAAGGTATAAGGAAGGGATCCATTTTCAGCTTTCTACATATGGCTAGCCAGTTTTCCCAACACCATTTATTAAATAGGGAATCCTTTCCCCATTTCTTCTTTTTGTCAGGTTTGTCAAAGATCAGATAGTTGTAGATATGCGACATTATTTCTGAGGGCTCTGTTCTGTTCCATTGGTCTATATCTCTGTTTTGGTACCAATACCATGCTGTTTTGGTTACTGTAGCCTTGTAGTATAGTTTGAAGTCAGGTAGCGTGATGCCTCCAGCTTTGTTCTTTTGGCTTAGGATTGACTTGGCAATGAGGGCTCTTTTTTGGTTCCATATGAACTTTAAAGTAGTTTTATCCAATTCTGTGAAGAAAGTCATTGGTAGCTTGATGGGGATGGCATTGAATCTATAAATTACCTTGGGCAGTATGGCCATTTTCACGATATTGATTCTTCCTACCCATGAGCATGGAATGTTCTTCCATTTGTTTGTATCCTCTTTTATTTCGTTGAGCAGTGGTTTGTAGTTCTCCTTGAAGAGGTCCTTCACATCCCTTGTAAATTGGATTCCTAGATATTTTATTCTCTTTGAAGCAATTGTGAATGGGAGTTCACTCATGATTTGGCTTTCTGTTTGTCTGTTGTTGGTGTATAAGAATGCTTCTGATTTTTGCACATTGATTTTGTATCCTGAGACTTTGCTGAAGTTGCTTATCAGCTTAAGGAGATTTTGGGCTGAGACGATGGGGTTTTCTAGATATACAATCATGTCATCTGCAAACAGGGACAATTTGGCTTCCTCTTTTCCTAATTGAATACCCTTTATTTCCTTCCCCTGCCTGATTGCCCTGGCCAGAACTTCCAACACTATGTTGAATAGGAGTGGTGAGAGAGGGCATCCCTGTCTTGTGCCAGTTTTCAAAGGGAATGCTTCCAGTTTTTGCCCATTCAGTATGATATTGGCTGTGGGTTTGTCATAGATAGCTTATTATTTTGAGACACATCCCATCAATACCTAATTTATTGAGAGTTTTTAGCATGAAGGTTGTTGAATTTTGTCAAAGGCTTTTTCTGCATCTATTGAGATAATCATGTGGTTTTTGTCATTGGTTCTGTTTATATGCTGGATTACATTTATTGATTTGCATATGTTGAACCAGCCTTGCATCCCAGGGATGAAGCCCACTTGATCATGATGGATAAGCTTTTTGATGTGCTGCTGGATTCAGTTTGCCAGTATTTTATTGAGGATTTTTGCATCAATGTTTATCACGGATATTGGTCTAAAATTCTCTTTTTTTGTTGTGTCTCTGCCCGGCTTTGGTATCAGGATGATGCTGGCCTCATAAAATGAGTTAGGGAGGATTTCCTCTTTTTCTATTGATTGGAGTAGCTTCAGAAGGAATGGTACCAGCTCCTCCTTGTACCTCTGGTAGAATTCGACTATGAGTCCGTCTGGTCCTGGACTTGTTTTGGTTGGTAAGCTATTAATTATTACTTCAATTTCAGAGCCTGTTATTGGTCTATTCAGAGATTCAACTTCTTCCTGGTTTAGTCTTGGGAGGGTGTGTGTGTCTAGGAATTTATCCATTTCTTCTAGATTTTCTAATTTATTTACATAGAGGTGTTTGTAGTATTCTCTGATGGTAGTTTGTATTTCTGTGGGATCGGTGGTGATATCCCCTTTAACATTTTTTATTGCATCTATTTGATTCTTCTCTCTTTTCTTCTTTATTAGTCTTGCTAGCGGTCTATCAATTTTGTTGATCTTTTCAAAAAACCAGCTCCTGGATTCATTGATTTTTTGAAGGGTTTTTTGTGTCTCTATTTCCTTCAGTTCTGCTCTGATCTTAGTTATTTCTTGCCTTCTGCTAGCTTTTGAATGTGCTTGCTCTTGCTTCTCTAGTTCTTTTAATTGTGATGTTAGGGTGTCAATTTTAGATCTTTCCTACTTTCTCTTGTGGGCATTTAGTGCTATAAATTTCCCTCTACACACTGCTTTGAATGTGTCCCAGAGATTCTGGTATGTGGTGTCTTTGTTCTCATTGGTTTCAAAGAACATCTTTATTTCTGCCTTCATTTCGTTATGTACCCAGTAGTCATTCAGGAGCAGGTTGTTCAGTTTCCATGTAGTTGAGCGGTTTTGAGTGAGTTTCTGAATCCTGAGTTCTAGTTTGATTGCACTGTGGTCTGAGAGACAGTTTGTTATAATTTCTGTTCTTTTACATTTGCTGAGGAGTGCTTTACTTCCAAGTATGTGGTCAATTTTGGAATAGGTGTGGTGTGGTGCTGAAAAGAATGTGTATTCTGTTGATTTGGGGTGGAGAGTTCTGTAGATGTCTATTAGGTCTGCTTGGTGCAGAGCTGAGTTCAATTCCTGGGTATCCTTGTTAACTTTCTGTCTCGTGGATCTGTCTAATGTTGAAAGTCGGGTGCTAAAGTCTCCCATTATTATTGTGTGGGAGTCTAAGTGTCTTTGTAGGTCCTAAGGACTTGCTTTATGAATCTGGGTGCTCCTTATTGGGTGCATATATATTTAGGATAGTTAGCTCTTCTTGTTGAATTGATCCCTTTACCATTATGTAATGGCCTTGTCTCTTTTGATCTTTGTTGGTTTAAAGTCTGTTTTATCCGAGGCTAGGATTGCAACCCCTGCCTTTTTTTTTTTTTCCATTTGCTTGGTAGATCTTCCTCTATCCCTTTATTTTGAGCCTATGTGTGTCTCTGCCCGTGAGATGGGTTTCCTGAATACAGCACACTAATGGGTCTTGACTCTTTATCTAATTTGGCAGTCTGTGTCTTTTAATTGGAGCATCTAGCCCATTTACATTTAAGGTTAATATTGTTATGTGTGAATTTGATCCTGTCATTATGATGTTAGCTGGTGATTTTGCGCGTTAGTTGATGCAGTTTCTTCCTAGCCTCGATGGTCTTTACAATTTGGCATGTTTTTGCAGTGGCTGGTACCGATTGTTCCTTTCCATGTTTCTGCTTCCTTCAGGAGCTCTTTTAGGGCAGGCCTGGTGGTGACAAAATCTCTCAGCATTTGCCTTTCTGTAAAGTATTTTATTTCTCCTTCACTTATGAAACTTAGTTTGGCTGGATATGAAATTCTGGTTTGAAAATTCTTTTCTTTAAGAATGTTGAACATTGGCCCCCACTGTCTTCTGGCTTGTAGAGTTTCTGCCGAGAGATCAGCTGTTAGTATGATGGGCTTCCCTTTGTGGGTAACCCGACCTTTCTCTCTGGCTGCCCTTAACATTTTTTCCTTCATTTTAACTTTTGTGAATCTGACAATTATGTGTCTTGGAGTTGCTCTTCTCAAGAAGTATCTTTGTGGCATTCTCTGTATTTCCTGAGTCTGAATTTTGGCCTGCCTTGCTAGATTGGGGAAGTTCTCCTGGATAATATCCTGAGGAGTGTTTTCCAACTTGGTTCCATTCTCCCCATCACTTTCAGGTACACCAGTCAGATGTACATTTGATCTTTTCACATAGTCACATATTTCTTGGAGGCTTTGTTCATTTCTTTGTATTCTTTTTTCTCTAAACTTCTCTTCTTGCCTCATTTCATTCATTTGATCTTCAGTCACTGATACCCTTTCTTCCAGTTGATCGAATCGGCTACTGAGGCTTGTGCATTCGTCATGTAGTTCTTGTGCCATGGTTTTCAGCTCCATCAGGTCCTTTAAGGACTTCTCTGCATTGGTTATTCTAGTTAGCCATTCATCTAATCTTTTTTCAAGGCTTTTAACTTGTTTGCCGTGGGTTCGAACTACCTCTTTGAGCTCAGAGTAGTTTGATCGTCTGAAGCCTTCTTCTCTCAATTCGTCAAAGTCATTCTCCATCCAGCTTTGTTCCGTTGCTGGTGAGGAACTGCGTTCCTTTGGAGGAGGAGAGGCACTCTGATTTTTAAAATTTTCAGTTTTTCTGCTCTGTTTTTTCCCCATCTTTGTGGTTTTATCTACCTTTGGTCTTTGATGACGATGACGTACAGATGGAGTTTTGGTGTGGGTGTCCTTTCTGTTCATTAGTTTTCCTTCTAACAGTCAGGACCCTCAGCTGCAGGTCTGTTGAGGTTTGCTGGAGGTCCACTCCAGACCCTGTTTGCCTGGGTATCAGCAGCAGAGGCTGCAGAACAGCGGATATTGGTGAATAGCAAATGTTGCTGCCTGATCGTTCCTCTGGAAGTTTTGTCTCAGAGGAGTACCCGGCCTTGTGAGGTGTCAGTCTGCCCCTACTCGGGGGTGCCTCCCAGTTAGGCTACTTGGGGGTCAGGGACCCACTTGAGGAGGCAGTCTGTCCATTCTCAGATCTCAAGCTGCAGGCTGAGAGAACCACTACTCTCTTCAAAGCTGTCAGACAAGGACATTTAAGTCTGTAGAGGTTTCTGCTGCCTTTTGTTTGGCTATGCCATGCCCCCAGAGGTGGAGACTACAGAGGCAGGCAGGCCTCCTTGAGCTGCGATGGGCTCCACCCAGTTCGAGCTTCCTGGCTGCTTTGTTTACCTACTCAAGCCTCGGCAATGGTGGGCACCCCTCCCCCAGCCTCGCTGCCACCTTGCTGTTTGATTTCAGACTGCTGTGCTAGCAATGACCGAGGCTCCATGGGCTTAGGACCCTCCGAGCCAGGTGTGGGATACAATGTCCTGGTGTGACGTTTGCTAAGACCATTGGAAAAGCGCAGTATTAGGGTGGGAATGACCTGATTTTCCAGGTGCTGTCTGTCACCCCTTTCCTTGGCTGGGAAAGGGAATTCCCTGACCCCTTGCACTTCCCGGGTGAGGTGATGCCTCTACCTGCTTCGGCTCACACTCAGTGCACTGCACCCACTGTCCTGCACCCACTCTCCGACATTCACCAGTGAGATGAACCTGGTACCTCAGTTGGAAATGCAGAAATCATTTGTCTTCTTCGTCGCTCACGGTGGGAGCTGTAGACTGGAGCTGTTCCTATTCGGCCATCTTGGCTCCACTCCCCCAGCATTTGAAAATTCTTAGAAACACAGAATAATGGCAAAAATTTTAAGTGTCACATAGCTGATGATGCTAGTTTGCATTGCATAGCTCTTTCCTGTGTATCAAATGCTTTCATGGATGCTATCTCAGGAGGTCCTCTCACTAGGGAAGGTAGACAGGGCAGATGGACAAAGCCGAAGCTCAGTGAGGAAAATACTGTTTCATGACACAAAAACAAACCACCCCAAAGGTGTACTATACCCCACTAAGTATCTGGCAATTACTACACCTGTGTGGTGAGCTGGGTTTCAGCTGGTGTTGGCTGGGCCCTGCATTTCTGGGCTTCTAGCTGCAGGTTGGGTTCAGGTATGTTCCACACCCCTCTAATCCTCTTTGGAGTGGCAACTATGGAAGAATGTCCTTCTTACAGTGAAAGGCAGGGCACAAAAGAGCAGACGTAATGCCACAGTCACATTTCAAATCTGTGTTTGTGTCATTACCACTGTTTATGCAAACTGTCAGTGGGGCAGAGAAGTATCATCCACTCATGAAAGTTGGAAGAGAGGAGGGAGTGATTATTTGCTGAATAATCATCTCATCTCCCATAGTAGGTTCTGACTCCTAGGCTTGTCAGCTACTCCTAGCTAAAACAAGTGAGTTCATTTTTTGCTGTTTAAAAAATCCTTTTAGGCCATTATCACATAGCTCCTTCAAGACAAATGCATGACTATGGAATAATAACTCTTATTCTAATATATAGGAGAAAGAAAAAAAACTTCGTTTCCAATACTTAAGATGGAAGCACTGTTTTGCCCCCAAAATGTTAAAGTCAGACCAACAGGATGATAAACTGACTACTAATTATTCGCTCCGGCGTAAGATCTGATAAGATTTCCTTCACGTACACTGTCCTTCATGCAGCACTGGCAGAGAGCACCTTTGTAGCTAACAAACAATAATACTCCCAATGGAGATTGTTTAAAAAGGACATAAGTATGTATGTAAACAGATGCTCATGCCTTTAGAGCCAGCTTTGTAAATCCAATTAATAATCTCTCAACTGTAAAAAAGGAGGACAATTGACATCCTCTCAGAATGCCAATCCTCACTCTCCACTAGTGTATTAGAATCACAGGATTATATATCGGGAGTTAGAGGAGCATCAACGTATTTGTGGATTTTATTCATTTGACTGTTGCCTCAAAAGGAGTAATGTAGGATAGATGAAGCATTTGCCCTCCCTGGAGTAATACTGCTTTCTATATACCATATGTCTCCTTCTGAAGTATATAACTGTAAAAGATGGTCAGTTTTTCAAGTATATTATTATTAATAGTTTCAGTGGCAATATTAATAGCTAACAGATACTGAGTGTTTTTTTTATGTGTCAGGGACTTATCAGCTCTTGAGATGCATTTTCTTATTGAACATTCCTAGTAACTATGAAGTGGGTACTGCTGTTATCCCAATTTGAGATATGGGGAAACTGAGGCATGGAATGATTAAGTAATCTGTTCAAGGTTTCTAGAATTTGAAAGACATATGTTTATCATTCCCTGTAAACAAAAGACAGATTTATTCTCCTAGACTTAAAAAGGTAAGGCACTCTGACGCAGGTGGAAAGAGAGTTGGGAGAGAGGAATGTTGAGAATCTTGTTTGTATGCATGTTCTTATGCATGTTTTTCGTTGCTGGTCAAGGAGTTTTGATCTGTTTGTTCTGCTACTAGCTTTGTGCATTATCAGGGTAGCACTTCAAGTCTCTACCATTTAAGACCCAGAGGGGTGTCATGGTATAGTGACTAGGAGCACAGACTCCAGATCTACACTGTCTAAGTTCACATCTCTGCTCTGTCACTTATGAGCTGTGTAATGTGGACAAATTGGTCAATGTCTCTGTACCATTTCACCATGTAAAAAATGGAGATAATCATACCCCTACCCATAGCATTATTACATGGATTACAGTGAGTTCATATTTGCAAACCACAGAGGATACAAGAAACATCTGTTAAACATCAAATAGGAGTCGTGGGTATCCTAGCTCTTTGGTAAGAGTAGACTGGAGTAGAGTCCTGGTTCAGTCTCTGTCACTATAGCCCGCATCACAGCCTCAGGCAACTCAACCTTTCTAGCCTCGGTTTACCCATTTGTAAATTAAGTGGTTAGGCCACTTGGTTGCTTGGGTCCCATCTAGCACTCAGATCCTCTGGAGCTGCTCTATCTTCCCCTTTAGAGAGTTTGGATGGGGGATTTGGAAGGGGAAGGGGATGCACAGAGAGTGAGACACAACATTTTTCTCCTGCTTTCTTTTCTGGGAGCTGTAAATTTGTTCTTGTTTATGAATAGTATGCTTTAGACTTTAATAAATGCCTAACTTAGTTCTCTAGAGAAAAATGTCTTGTGGAAAGAGAAGTAGTCTATGACTTTTAGGTAGAGAAAGGTGTAGATGGTTTGGCGACCTCATCTGGGAACATGCATTGACTAACCCCACAATGTTATTTCTATGTTAGAAACACAAATGTCATCACAAGCAATAATGTTTAATGAATACAGTAGAACATTTGTTTCCAGAAGTTGCTCAAAGATTACTCATTTAGAAAAGCATGCTGTTAGTAATTGAAGGATGATTTCCTATAGCCAGGGCAAGTTCAGATGCTTTAGCCTCACGGGTAAAGGACTGAAGAGGCTGCTCAGCATTTTAAGGTAGCTCTACTGGGTGGCAGTGACAGGGCAGTGCAATTCTGTTCAGCATTGATGTGTTACATCAAAACCTCTCACTGATAATGCTGGGGCTGTGTCAAATCTGAGCCATTAAATATCTTAGGAATATCAAGTGTTTTAAAGGTGTGGATTGCAGTTTAGAGTAACATACATATTATTCTAAAATGCCTGTTGGAATCACCATGCCCTTTGGGAGTTAAGATATATAAAATCCTAAAATTTTGGGAAAAGTCTGGCCCTCTTTATTTGAGGTCAACTCTTTTCTGCTGTACACAAATACTGCTTTACTTCTGTTCCAAGGACTATAGATTCAGCTTTTAAAATATCTTGATCAGAGTGTTGACTGAAGTGTTCACTGATGGCTTGGTTTTCCTAACAGATATAAGAAAGTAAAGTGTGCATAAAAATTCTTGTGAATACTTGTGAGTGTAGCTTTCTTCTATTGAAGGCCTCTCAGTATTGGTTCGCATGATTTGTTGGAGGCTACTTGTGACCTTGTATGTTTGCTGCCCCACTGTATTCACAGTCCCTAGCAAGTTGCAGACACACAATAAGTACTTGTAGAATGAATGAATAAAATACTGTGCCTTCTAGCCAAAAGGATTTGAGTGTGTTATTTGTAACATAAACAAATAATTAGGGTAACTGTTTGAAATGTAACCAGAGTGATTTATGACAGTGTTAATTGTTCATCCTTGTAAGGGACTGGAGCCTTTTGCCTTCATGGAAGCAACCCCCAGAAAGGTACTGGGCTCAGCATCTCTACCAGATGATGAAGCGCCCTTCAGTGTGGCCACGGCTTTTTGCTTAAATCATTGCTACTTTTTTTTTACCAGCTCAGTAGGAGTGAATGCATGTGTTACAACGAAAAATAATCCTAAATTGAAATTGTGAGTAACTGAATATATGATTTAGAAGAGTTAATTATGAAGAACAGCTAGAATTTCATGTGGCATTTAGATGTACTCATTTTTATATTGATTTATAAACTAATGCTTGTTCCATGGTATTGTTTATACTATATGATGTCAAAGCCATTTGCAAAAGATCTACTGAAGTTTGAGCCTTTTTATGATCCTTCTATGGACCCCCCTCTTTGTCTGCTCACTCCCACTCCTCCCAAAAAAAGAAAGAAAAGTGTTAGCTACAAATCTAGTTTCAGCCTTTCAAGTCCTTTGAACATATGTGAAGTTTTTTATTGGTTGTTTGAACTTTTTATTCATGTCTTTCTGTCATTGAAGTTAAAAACACAGCAGTATAAGATACAAAAACATTGGTGAGAAGAGAATAAGGAAAATTAAAATTAATCTCCTGAAGTGTACACTGCATGCTTATATGCAAATGAGTAAAATCCAATTTGGGTTTTATCTTCCTGTGGGTTAAAGTTTGCTTTGTAGTGCCTCAAGACATTTCAGGTGTAGCTTTTTTAAGCCAAGGGACTTTACAATATGCAGCATTGTTCTCCAGTTGTTTTCCTGTGGAATGTCAACGAATTGCAGTGCTTACGTGCATGGCGGTTTGAGAGAAAACCTTTCCAATCTTCTGTTCCCTGCCCTGTCACTTAGCAAGTGATTTCTTCTCGGCAAGCTCTCCTACCTGATCTCCTGCTGTGTTGGGATCATCCTCTGCAATGTCCCTGCACTAAGAGGAGAAGGTGAAAATCAGCCTGCAGGTTCAAATTAATTGCACTTCTCAGTTATGCTGTGAGTTAGCCAGTGCTTTAAATAATGACATTCTAAACTTCTAGTTTAAACATAATTGGAAAGAGAAAGTTGACATTAAAGTAATAAGTGAGAGTAAACTTAAGTGAAGGAGAACAGTGTAAAACATTCATATGCAAATACTCAAATACTCTTGATAAAATTATTCATAGGCAGTTGACTATTTTATTAAATATGCTTGTTGTCAACTTGGGGCACCAATTTTAACACCTTTTTGTTTTCAAAACTTAACGTGGCTAATTATGTTTTTTCATCTAATGGAACATTACTTTTATTTATGATGGAAGTAGTTTGTAAAATAAAAATTTTATTCTAATTATAAATGTCATGTTCGTGGCAGAAAACATTAGAAATGCCTCCATTTGAAATCATGTACTTTGGCAGTTATGATCTGAAAGCTGTTGGATATAAATGATGAGGCTCTGTGTGTTCCTGGAGCTAGCTTCCGGTGTTTGAGTTTGTCCTGTCTTCATTTGGAAAAGAAACAGATGCAGTTAGTGTCTCTAGCTGTAGTCTCTAGTGGGGACTCTGTCTGTATCCATACTGTAGCATTTTTCATTCTGTATCTGTAATTCTATATTTAGTTTTCAATGCCACCGAACTGTAACCAGGACTTAGTTATTTTTATGTGCCCATTGCCCAATGTAGCACCTGGCACACAGGCACATGCCCAGGCAATATTTGCTAAAAGAATTAAGGTTTTATGTGAATAAAACCTCATAACATGCCTCACATGGCATGTTTCACTATCAATTTAGTCTCTTTTGTGCACAGCTAAAATTAGCATTGTATTTCTGGAAAAAAATTATATTAGCATATCCTGTCAAGCTCTAAAAGAGGTAATTCTTAGAACTAATATTTATGTGCAATTAATTGCTAAGAATAATAATTTACTTATAAATGCAAGATTGTATTACTTTTATCTGTAATAGAATTCCTATTCATCCTGAAATCATAGCAAATTATTAAGCTTGCTTTGCGGATAGTACAAAGTTAAGGAAATCAAATTTGTTTTATGAGGGCATTTGACTTAATTAATTTTTAAAATGTCTCTTGCTTTCTTAATACCAAACTTTAGATAATTTTTTAAAAAAGAACTTCATACAAAGAACTGTTCCTCCTGTTTCTCCTTTGTCAGTTAATCCTCAAACCTAGACTATGCCCTTAAATTCCTATTCTACACCAACTGGCTGAATTATGTTGCATCTTGTAAAATGCAGCCTAGTAGAGAATAAACTCAGAAATTAGACATTCCTTTGAAACAAATAAATACACATTTGTTGGTAAGCCCTTTTGCCTGTGTCTGTAGAACAATGGATGTTTGTAATCGGGGCTGATCTTCAGCTAATGCACACCTTTATTGCATAATGGCTAGTTTCTGTTCTGACTGGTCAATGCCTGTGCCTAACAGGTTATTAAATATTTTGTCAATTACCCCTGTTTGATTGATAACTCCAAAACTCCAGGAGAACTCCTCTTTATATACCTTCTGAATTACCACAGAAAGATTAATTTCTTCTCCAAATAATAATTGAGTTGTGTGTGAAATTCCACATCTTTGTAACCTGGAAATTGGAGATCAGTCAGTGCTCTATGAATCATCGACTCCTCCCTTTCTGTCGCACTTCATTTCTAACTCACCAGCAGATCTCACTTGTTCATCCTCCAAAGCATTTTCCGACTCTGATCTCCTTCTCACTGCATTCACTCGGTTCCCATAGCCCAAGTCATATTGTCTCTCTCCTGGACAGTAATAACCTTTTGTTGGGCTCCCTGCTTCCAACCTTGCCTTCTGTAGTGTACTTTCCAAATAGAAGCCAGAGTGATACCTTATATTAAAAAAAAAAAAAAAAAAAAAAAAAGCCCATACCAGATCATATCTTAAAGGCCACAAACCCTTCTGCCTGTCTCTGTCTCAGCCTCCACCTCTCTCTCCTGGGTTCTATGTCATATGCAGCTATCCTGGCCTCCAGCACATTCCAGCCTAGCATACTCGTTATGGGAATGCAAGCCCCCTGCAAATAGAAAGGTTTTTTGGTTTGTTTCTCTGCTGTGTCTTCAGCCCCAAGAATTATATACCTGACACACAGTAGTTGCTCAATACATAGTAGTTGAAATGAATGAATAAATAATTGCATAGTGTTTAAAGATAGGAAACTGAGTGTGTGTTTTTCTTTTTGTTCTTCTTATCCAATGGTATTCTTGTACATGAAACATACCATAACAAAGCAATATAAGTCATTTTTATTTTCTCCTTTAAAAACTTATAATTAAAAGCAGACAAGAAGTCAGGCACAGCGGCTCGTGCTTGTAATCTCAGCTACTCAGGAGGCTGAGGCGGGAGGATCGCTTGAGGCCAGGAGTTTGTGACCAGCCTGAGCAACAGTGAGATGCCATCTCTAAAAATAGATAAATACATAATTAGTCAGGCATGGTGGTGAGTGCCTGTAGTCTCAGGTACTTGGGAGGCTGAGGTGGAAGGATCCCTTGAGCCCAAGAATTCAAGGCTACAGTGAGCTATGATTGTGCCACTGCACTCCATCCAGAGTGAGACACCATCTCTAAAAAAATTTAAATTTAAATTTAAAAAAAGCAGACAACACTGAAAAAGGACACCAACCATTATTAAGCAGAATTAAGCCTAATAAGTATTAAATCATTAAAAAGAAATAAGATCAATACTTTAAAAAACTAATGTTACTGAAGGATGTATATGTGAATGCTGTCTAAATAGAAAGACACAAACGTTTTACATCATCCTTTTCAGGTTAATATATATTTTAATAGGACACAATCAGATTTCCAATGGAAACATTTTTTAAAATTTTTTGTTTGTTGTTTGTTAGCACAGGGTCTTGCTCTGTCACTCAGGCTGGAGTACGGTGGCACAATCATGGCTTAGTGCAGCCTCTACCTTCCAAACTCAAGGGATCCTCCCACATTAGCCTCCTGAGTAGCTAGAACTGCAGGTACACACCACCACACCTAGCTGATTTTTCAATTTTTTTGTAGAGGTGGGTCTCCCTGTGTTGGCCAAGCTGGTTGCAAACTCCAAGGCCCAAGCAATCCTCCCACCTCGGCCTCCCAAAATGCTGGGATTATAGCCATGAGCCACCACACCCAGCCTGTGTATTGTGTTGACTAACTGTTTTATTTTAAACTGGTCTGTCCTTATAAGAAGAACCTAAAGTGTTCTCACACTGGTCTACATCAGATCTCCTTGTTTGCTTTGCTAGAACACTTACCACTTTCTAAAATTAACTCATTTATTTTGTTGTTGCTGCTGCTGCTGCTGCTGCTGGTGGTGGTGGTGGTGGTGGTGGTAGTGATGGTGATGGTGGTGTTTATGTTTTTATTGTCTGTCTCATGTTTCTAGAATAAGAGCTCCGTGAAGAAAGAGACTTGTTCTGTTTTGTTCATGCCTATATTCTCAGCATGAGAAGAATCCTTAGCACATATTAGGAACCATTAACTATGTGTGGAATTAATGAAAAAGGAAATGTTCAGGCTGGGCTTTGTGGCTCATGCCTATAATTCCAGCCCTTTGGGAGTCCAAAGCAGGAGGATTGCTTGAGCCCAGGAATTTGAGACCAGCATGGGCAACATAGTGAAACTTCACCTCTACCAAAAAAATTTTAAGTTAGCCAGGCATGGTGGCATGCTCCTGTAGTCCCAGCTACTTGGGAGGCTGAGGTAAGAGGATCAGTTGAGCTTGGGAGGTCAAGGCTGCAGTGAGCGTGATTATGCCATTGCACTCCAGCCTGGGTGACAGAGCAAGACCTTGTCTTTAAAAATAAAAAAGGAAATGTTAAAAAAAAGAGAAAGAAATGTTCAAAACTTGCCCCAATAATTTTTACCAAAAAAAAAAGAATACTAGTAAGAAAAGACATTTCCTAGATAAGAAGAGCCACTCTAATTAAAACACTATGATACTGACATAAATAGATAAGTATTAAAGAGTCCAGGCTCTTATATATTTTGGAAAGTAATATAGGATAAAGGTGTCACTTCAAATTATCAGAGAAAGAGTGATCCATAATGATTGATTTTTACCGAATCCTGGCATAATTGTCTGTCCTCCTTGAACAAAGAAAATGTCATACCATATTTACAAAATAAATTCCAGATAGTAAAGCCAAGAAGTAACAATTTGTTAAAAAAATAATAATAAGTAGGAGAAAAATGAAGTTATTGTTTGTATAAAATCAAGATCAGGGTCTTTTTCTTTAAGCAAGACAAGAAAGCCAAAAGAAAAAGAATAATTTGGGGCAGGGCCAAGATGGCCGACTAGAAGCAGTGGTGATCTGAGGCTCTCATCAAAAAGAACTAAAACAGCTTGCTATCCTGCACTGGCAACCAAGGTATCCAGGTTCTGTCATGGGGACAGACCAGGCAGCTGGCATGATCCACCGAGAGGAAGGAAGAGCAGTGTAGTGCGGCGGCCCACCTGAGAGCCACATGGGGCAGGGGACCCCTCACCCCCCCAGCCAAGGGAGGCAGTGAGTGAGCGTGCTACCCAGCCTGGGAAACTGTGCTTTTTCCACGGAACTGTGCAACCCACGGATCGGAAGATCCCACTCATGAGCCCATGCCACCGGGGCCTAGGGTCCCAACCATGGAGCTGCTCAGATTCTCAACAGCCACTAAGCTAGAATCTGCTTAAGCCTGCCAAGCTCCTGGTGGGAGGGCCGGCCATCACCACAGCTGCGGGTGCCTGCTGTCTAAGCCCTCTGTGCTCCTTCAGGGAGGGGCAGCAGCCAACACTGGGACTGCTAGCTGCCTAACACACTAAGCTCCCAGGGCGGGGTAAGGGCAGCAGCCATCTCTATAGCTCTAGGCCATGCTCTTCCCCTGCTGAAGCCAGGGAGGCTGGATGGCTTGGTCCCAAGAGGGATTCCCCACAGCCCAACACACTGGCTGTGGCAGATTGTGGCCAGAGTACCTCTTCAGACCTGACCCTGACTCATCTTTTCTCATGGGGACGGGGCATCCCTGCAGGAACTCCAACAACTCCAGGCAGGGGCTCAGGGGCAGAACTCTGATCTCTCTGGGCCTGAGCCCCTAGGGGGAGGGGTGGCCATAGTCTCTGCAGACCAGCAGACTTAGTCTTTCCTCCTGCTAGTTCTGAGGAACCCAGGCAGCCCAGATGAGTAGGTTTCCATCCAGCTCGGCACACCCCCTCCACCAAGGGACAACCAAAGTGCTTCATTAAATGGGTCCTGCTCCCCGTGCCACCCAACTGGGCGAGACCCTCTTAACGGGTTGTCAGACACCCTATATAGGAATGTTTCTATTAGCATCAGGTAGGTGCCCCTTGAGGTCAGATATCTCAGAGGAAGGAGCAGGTACCCATCTTTGCCGTTCTCCAGCCTCCTCAAGTTCACTCCAGGTGCAGGAGTGAAACAGATAAATAGGGCCTGAAGTAAATGCCCAGCAAACCACAGCAGCCATACAGAAGAGGGACCTGACCATTGAAAGAAAAAACAAACAAACAAATAGAAAGCAACAACAGCATCAACAAAAATGTTCCCGCAAAAACCTCCTCCAAGGGTCAGCAGCCTCAAAGATTGACACTAGACAAACTCATGAAGATGAGAAAGAATCAACAAAAAGATGCTGAAAACCCAAAAGGCCAGAGTGCCTCTACTCCTTCAAACGATCGCAACAGCTCTCCAGCAATGGCGCAGAACTGGACAGAAGATGAGATGGATGAAGTAGGCTTCAGAAGGTGGGTAGTAATAAACTCTGCTGTGCTAAAAGGAGCATGTACTAACTCAATGCAAAGAAGCTAAGAACCTTGATAAAAACCTTACAGGAGCTTCTAACTAGAATAACCAGTTTAGACAGGAACATAAATGACATGATGGAGATGAAAAACAGCATGAGACCTTCGTGAAGCATACACAAGTATCAATAGCCAAATTGATCAAGCAGAAGAAAGAATATCAGAGTTGGAAGGCCATCTTGCTGAAATAAGGCAGCCACACAAGATTAGAGAAAAAAAGAATGAAAAAGAACAAACAAAACTTCCAAGAAATATGGAACTATGTAAAAAGACAGAACCTACAATTGATTGGAGTACCTGAAAGAGACAGGGAGAATGGAACCAAGTTGGAAAACACATTTCAGGATATTATCTAGGAGTACTTCCCCAACCTAGCAAGACAGGCCAACATTCAAATTCAGGAAATACAGAGAACACCATAAAGATACCAACCCCAAGACACATGATCAACAGATTCTTCAAGGTCAAAATGAAGGAAAAAATGTTAAGGGCAGCCAGAGAGAAAGGCCAGGTGACCTACAAAGGGAAGCCCATCAGACTAACAGCTGATCTCTCAGCAGAAACCCTGCAAGCCAGAAGAGAGTGGGGGCCAATATTCAACATTCTTAAAGAATTTTCAACCCAGAATTTCATATCCAGCCAAACTAAGCTTCATAAATGAAGGAGAAATAAAATCATTTTCAGACAAGCAAATGCTGAGGGATTTTTTCACCACCAGGCCTGTCTTGCAAGAGCTCCTGAAGGAAGCACTAAATATGGAAAGGAAAAACTGGTAGTAGCCACTGCAAAAAACACACCAAAATATAAAGACCAATGATGTTGTGAAGAAACTGCATCAACTAGTGTGCAAAATAACCAGATAGCATCATGATGACAGGATCAAATTCACATGTAACAATATTAACCTTAAATGTAAATGGGCTACATGCCCCAATTAGAAGACAGACTGGCAAACTGGATAAAGAATCAAAACCCATCGGTGTGCGGTACCCACGAGACCCATCTCATGTGCAGAGACACACATGGGCCAAAATAAGGGATGGAGGAAAATTTACCAAGCAAATGAAAAGAAAAAAAAAAAGCAGAGGTTGCAGTCCTAGTCTCTTGACAAAACAGACTTTAAACCAACAAAGATCAGAAAAGACAAAGAAGGGCATTACATGATGATAAACAGTACAATTGAAAAAGAACAACTAACTATCCAAAATATATATGTACCCAATACAGGAGCACCTAGATTCATAAAACAAGTTCTTAGAGACCTAGAAAGAGTTTTAGACTCCCACAAAATAATACTAGGAGACTTTAACACCCCAGTGTCAATATTAGATTAATGAGACAGAAAATTAACAAGGATATTCAGAACTTGAACTCAGCTCTGGATCAAGTGGACCTAATAGACAGCTACAGAACTCTCCACCCCAAATCCACAGAATATACATTCTTCTCAGTCCCACATGACACTTTTTCAGAAAACAACTAAATAATTAGAAGTGGAATCACTCCTCAGCAAATGCAAAAGAACTGAAATCATAACAAAACATTCTCTCAGACCACAGTACAATCAAATTAGATCTCAGGATTAAGAAACTCACTCAAAACCACACAATTACATGGAAATTGAATAGCCTGCCCCTGAATGACTCCTGGGTAAATAATGAAATTAAGGCAGAAATCAAGAAGTTCGTTGAAACCAATGAGAACAAAGAGACAATGTACCAGAATCTCTGGGATGCAGCTAAAGAAGTGTTAAGAGGGAAACATTGCACTAAATGCTCACATCAGAAAGTTAGAAAGAGCTCAAATCGACACCCAAGTATCACAATTAAAGGAACTAGAGAAGCAAGAGCAAACAAATCCTAAAGCTAGCAGAAGACAAGAAATAACTAAGATCAGAGGAGAACTGAAGGATATGGAGACACAAAAAAACCCTTCAAAAGATGAATGTATCCAGGAGCTGGTTTTTTTGAAAAAATTAACAAAATAGAGCACTAGATAGACTAATGAAAAGAGAGAAGAATCAAATAGACACAATAACAAATGATAAATGGGATATCACCAGTGACCCCAGAGAAGTACAAACTACCATCAGAGAATACTGTAAACACCTCTACACAAATAAACTAGAAAATCTAGAAGAAATGGATAAACTCATAACACATACACCCTCTCAAGATTAAACCAGGAAGAAGTTGAATCTCTGAATAGACCAATAACAAGTTCTGAAATTGGGGCAGTAATTCGTAGCCTACAAACCAAAAAAAGCCCAGGACCAGATGGATTCACAGCCAAATTCTACCAGAGATACAGAGAGGAGCTGGTACTATTCCTTCTGAAACTATTCCAAACAATTGAAAAGGAGGGACTCCTTCCTAACACATTTTATGAGGCCAGCATCATCCTGATACCAAAACCAGGTGGAAACACACACAAAAAAGCAAACTTCAGGCCAATATCCTTGATGAGCATTGAAACAAAAATCCTCAATAAAATACTGACAAACCAAATCCAGCAGCACATCAAAAAGCTTCATCCCCAGGATGCAAGGCTGCTTCAACATATGCAAATCAATAAATGTAATCCATCATATAAGCAGAACCAATGAAAAAAACCACATGATTAACTCAATAGATGCAGAAACGGCCTTCGATAAAATTCAACATCGCTTCATGTTAAAAACTCTCAATAAACTAGGTATTGATGGAAGTACCTCCAAATAATAAGAGCTATTTATGACAAACCCATAGCCAATATCATACTGAATGGGCAAAAGCTGGAAGCATTCCCTTTGAAAACCGTCACAAGACAAGGATGCTCTCTCTCAACACTCCTATTCAACATAGTATTGGAAGTCCTGGCCAGGGCAATCAGGCAAGAGAAAGAAATAAAGGATATTCAAATAGGAAGAGAGGAAGTCAAATTGCCTCTGTTTGCAGATGTCATGATTCTGTATTTAGAAAACCCTATTGTATCAGCCCAAAAACTTCTTAAGCTGATAAGGAACTTCAGCAAAGTCTCAGCATACAAAATCAATGTACAGAAATCACAAGCATTCCTACGTACCAACAATAGACAAACAGAGAGACAAATGATGAATGAACTCTTATTCACAATTGCCATAAAGAGAATAAAATACCTAGGAATACAGCTAACAAGGGATGTGAAGGGCCTCTTCAAGGAGAACTACAAACCACTGCTCAAGAAAATAAGAGAGGACACAAACAAATGGAAAAACATTCCATGCTCGTGGATAGGAAGAATCAATATCATGAAAATGGCCATACTCCCCAAAGTAATTTATAGATTCAAAGCTATCCCCATCAAGCTATCATTGACATTCCTCACAGAATTAGAAAAAAAAACTACTTTAAATTTTATATAAAACCAAAAAAGAGCCTGTATAGCCAAGACAATCCTGAGCAAAAAGAACAAAGCTGGAGGCATCATGCTACCTGACTTCAAACTATACTACAGTGCTACAGTAACCAAAAAAAAAAAAAAAAAAAAAAAAAAAAAAAAAATCATGGTACTGGTACCAAAACAGACATACAGACCAATGGAATGGAACAGAAACCTCAGAAACAATGCCACACATCTATAACCATCTGATCTTCGACAAACCTGACAAAAACAAGCTATGGGAAAAGGATTCCCTGTTTAATAAGTGATGCTGGGAAAACTGGCTAGCCATATGCAGAAAACTGAAACTGGACCCCTTCCTTACACCTTATACAAAAATTAACTCAAAATGAATTAAAGACCTAAATATAAAGCCCCAAATCATAAAAACCCTAGAAAAAATCCCAGGTAATACCATTCAGGACTTACGCATGGGCAAAGATTTCGTGACAAAAATGCCAAAAGCAATTTTAACAAAAGCTAAAATTGACAAATGGGATCTAATTAAACTAAAGAGCTTCTGCACAGCAAAAGAATGAATAGAGTGAACAGAATGAACAGGCAACAGAATGGGGGAACATTTTTGCAATCTACCCATCTGACAAAGGTCTAATATGTGGAATCTACAAGGAACTTAAACAGATTTACAAGGAAAAAACAACCCCATCAAAAAGTGGGCAAAGGATACAAACAGAAATTTCTCAAAAGAAGACATTTATACAGCCAACAAACATATGAAAAAAAGTTCAACATCACTGATCATTAGAGAATTGCAAATCAAAACCATAATGAGACCATCTCATGCCTGTCAGAATGGCAATTATTAAAAAGTCAAGATACAGTAGCTGCTGGTGAGGCTGAGGAGAAATAGGAACACTTTTACACTGTTAGTGGGAATGTGAATTAGTTCAATCATGGTGGAAGACAGTGTGGTGATTCCTCAAGGATCTAGAACCAGAAATACCATTTGACCCAGCAATCCCATTACTGGGTATATACCCAAAGGAATATAAATGATTCTGCTATAAAGACACATGCACATGTATGTTTATTGCAGCACTATTTACAATAGCAAAGACATGGAACCAACCCAAATGCCCATCAATGATAGACTGGATAAAGAAAATGTGGTACATATTAACCATGGAATACTACGTAGCCATAAAAAGGAATGAGATCATGTCCTTTGCAGGGACATGGATGAAGCTGGAACCCATCATCCTCATCAAACTAACACATAAACAGAAAACCAAGCATGTTCTGACTCGTAAGTGGGAATTTAACAATGTGAACATATGGACACAGCGAGGGAAATATCACACACAGGGGCCTGTTGGGGAGTCAGGGGGCGAGGGGAGGGAGAGCATCAGGACAAATAGCTAATGCATGCAGGGCTTAAAACCTAGATGACGGGTAGATAGGTGCAGCAAACCACCATGGCACAAGTATACCTACATAACAAACCTGCATGTCTTGCACATGTATCCTGGAACGTAAAGTAAAGTAAAAAAGAAAAATAATAATTTATTTTACTAAATAAAAATTTAAATTTTTATGTGGAAAAAAGTGTATACTTATTTCACTTTTATACACACACACACACACACACACACACACACACGGGCAAACTTGATCATATACAAAAAAATTCTATAAACTGATTACCAAGAATCCAATATTAAAATTGGTACCTTGATAAAAAACCAAGAATCCAATATTAAATTTGGTACCAGCTATGAAAAGTGAAATTTGAAACAGTAGAAGAAATGTAAATGGCCAGAAAGCGTATGAAAAGAAGTCCAAGAATGTTTTATCAAGTGTAGCTTTGGCAACATGTAAAAAACTGATAACAACCAATGCTAGAAGACGTATGGAGAAAGTGACATACTTTTTCATCACTGGTGGGAAAATGAAAAGTACTCTGTCGGCATTTATTAAAATGTAAAATATGCATACCGTTTGCCAAGCAATTCTATATTGGGGAATCTATCCAACAGAAATGAAAGCATCTGTAGGTAGAGAGACATGTACAAGGATATTTGCTGAAGTATTGTTTGTAAGGGAAAAGAAATTGGAAACTACTTAAAGGTTCATCAATGGGAGAACAGTTAAATAAATTATGGTACTTCTATTTTATAGAACGTTATACGATTTTAAAACAATTGTTACAGGCCAGGCGCAGTGGCTCACTTGTGTAATCCCAGCACTTTGGGAGGCCAAGGCAGGTCGATCACCTGAGGTCAGGAATTCGAGACCAGCCTGGCCAGCATGATGACACCCTGTCTCTACTAAAAATACAAAAATTAGCTGGGTGTGGCAGCACATGCCTGTAATTCCAGCTACTTGGGAGGCTGAGGCAGGAGAATCGCTTGAATCCGGGAGGCGGAGGTTGCAGTGAGCTGAGATTGGGCCATTGCACTACAGCGTGGGCAACAGAGCAAGGCTCTGTCTGAAAAAAAAAATTGTTACATATATTCTTGATTTGAAGGACTATCCAGTATATTTTGTTAAGTGCCAATAGAGTTTCAAGGGTAATGTTTATTGTAAAATCCGTTCAAAAAATCAATGGTATATATGTTCGTACATAAGGATGGGTGTATTTCATAAACAAAAAAATATGTGAAAAGGGACATAGCAAATCATTAACAATTGGTATATCATCAGAAGTGAAAGAATTTGCAGCTGAAGAGATTATAATGTCTATTCTGTATCACTTGATTGTTTAACTTGGTAAAACAAACATGTTCCTTTTTAAACTAAAACAAATCTAAAGATTGTTCACTGATAAATGTAAATATACGGTATAGGACCCTGGTAGTTTGGCTTTGAGCATGTATAAATACCATACAATATAGGAAAGGAGACCCAATATTATTGTATTTGGTCAGAGAAATCATCATAGGAAAAAAACAGCAAGTCTCACTTGACGAAATGTGTTGATATGCTTTTGTAAATCTACTTACAGGTTGGAGGTTTGGAATTTGCATTTCTTTTTTCAACTCAATTAAAACTTAGTTGTTCTAAGAAATAGTTATTAGGAAGCCAAATTATGAAATAAACCATCTTAGACTAAAGAAAACAATGCTTCACCGTTTAATATGTTGTTATCTTCCTGTTTTACTCTTTATAACTGCCCAGTATAAAAGTGAAGACCTTACTATGCTGGCCTAACTGACTGAGTAGCCCACTCTTTTTTTAAAGTTGAAGTTTTTTCAACATACTTGTAATATATACATTTGATACAAAGATTGTTTATCATTTTTCTTTTTTATTTCAGAACGCTTTACCCTGTACAGCTCTAAAAACCTTAGACAAGCATGGAATAAGTAAGTCTTTATACAGATTGTGCTCATTCTCTTTCTTTCTCTTTTAATATTTACAACTCTTCTCATACGTTTTTCATGGCATTGTTGATTCATCCTGCTGTGTATTTATTCATTCATTTAACCATTAAACTGCTGTTAAACCTTAACTGTGTGCTAGCTACTATGTTCAGCCTGAGCCAACACTGTATGAATTTGAGTTCCTAGAGCGATGTGGCATTGCTTCAGAACTGTAAATCCTAAAATTCCTTGTGGTCAGCCTTCTTGCAGCTAAATTCCAAGAAATATTTTTGTATCAGCAACATAGCATTTAGAAAATATAATATAATGACTGACTTTCTAATATAAATGATGTTGGTGACAACTTTTGAGCTAAAGTTGATCTTTCAGATTTTTTCACTTCGCATATTTTTCCCTTACGCCTTATTGGGAAGCTAAATGCATTTATGACTGAAGTGTGTGTTCTCCATTTATTTCATGTCTGTTCTCTCATCTGACCTTACTTCATTTTATTTGTTGTTTTTGAGATTTCATAAAATCTGAAGATCTGGATTTTGTAGTTACTCAGGAGACTTTTATTGCAAGCCAATGTGTTAGAAAATCATTAGAAGTGGGAAACAGTAATTTAGTCATTCCCGTTTACTTGTGAGTGTCACATTTCAAGGTTTATGCTGGATAAAAGACAACTGGAACTGGTTTGATTAAATAAACTGTAATTTGTCATAAAATTTTGTCTACTTGGAATTTAGTGTTATACTCACATTTTTTCACTGTTATCACGTTTAATTTTGGATACTCCCAGTTATGAAAAAAATAACAAAAAACTTTTTCATATTAAAATGCTGCTAATCCGTGCTCTCAGTGGATACAGTGGACAGCTAATGGCGAGGAACTCATGAAATGAATACATTAAATTCTGCGGTAGTTTACTTTAGGGATTTGGCCATTTATTTTTATTAAATTTGTACCTCGAATAACACATAGGTATAATCATTTTTGTCTAACCTGGGGCTTTGCATGTGCCATTTGAAGAGCCAGTTCTTAACCTCAAGGCTCCCCTGGGAAGCATTCCCTCTCCTGGGAGCTTCCTGTGCATGCTCCTCTTCTCTGCCTCCCCATTTCCTGATCACTGGTCTAACATATTTTAATTAAGTGCTTTTATACACCAGATAATATATACAGTATACAGTTCCTACCTTAATTAAATGATCAAACACATTCCTCTCATAGGAATAAGACATCATTCCTTCCAACCAGATAACCACTTTATGAAACAATTCTTGATAAAGCCATTGAATCTCTAAACCTACATTTAAAGTAACAGGAAAATCTGAAACTATCATACTGTAGCATAGCAGCATTTCTGGAGAATAGGTAATTAGAATTACAGAATTACAGAATTTATCATTAGAATTAATTCAAAGGCATTTAATAAACTGAGTCCCACCATTAGTCCCACTTTTTAAATATTTTAAGGAAAATGATAAAAGCTGAGCTTGAGGTAAGATTTTAAAATTATGAACATGACTTGTTTAGAACGATGCTATTTTTAAGTCCTTGTAAGTTTTGCCTTAAGGGTTTATTTCAGAAACACTAAGTAATAAAATCATTACTAAAAATATTAAAATGCTACTTTCTGGTATTCCAGTATTAAGTGCTGAATCTTTAGAGCCAAGCTGTAGCCTCTAGCCAATTCAAACCAAGGCAATTTAAAGAGAACTAAGATGCAGAGACGTTAATTATATTATTGATTCTTCCTCCAAATGGTCCTTGCAACCATCATCAGCATTTCAGCATCTTTCACTTAAGGAGTGAGATCAGAATTCAAAAGAACTACATTAAAAGACTATTACGCGAGTGATGGTTTTCTCTATTTCCAACTAATTTGCTTGTCTATAGCACAATTACTAAACTGAAGCAACTGTTAAATTCTCTTGTACAGTGGTAATAGGTTTAAAATAAATTGAACTAATTTGCAAGAACTAATTTGAATTCAGTTTAGATGGGTTAATATAAGATAGGTGGGTTAATATAAAAAAGTAGGTCACTGTTCAAAATTAAGTAACAATGCTTTTAAAAATATGTATTAACCTAGGTATTGAAGCTAGTGGAGATGTTAACCTGCCTAAGAGAGTAGGAATTTCTTGAGAAATGAATCCTTAAGTTTATTTGAATAGCTATAACAAAAGACCCAGTTTATTTTGGGGCCAACTCTGCCCTAAGTAACACCTAGGCAATTCCCTGCTGACTTCATTTATGTCAGCAACCATGGGCATAATTTCATCCTTTGAAAGATATTTTTATTGTTCTGGGAAAACAAAGCAGCAATGGGAGAAAATATAAGATCCAACAGATATCCAAATTCAAAAGAATAATAGAAAGAAGAAATCTTAATTATGCGATTGAGAATAATAAATATATATTAAAAAAAAAGGAAAGTCCTTTTATTCCCTCATACTAGAAGTGCATAATCCATGTGGGCTCTTCCTCCATAAAGGGGATTGTGGATTAAAGGGAGACAAATCTTAATTTTATAAAAACATGTACTGTTTTCTGACTGCCTTCAAACCATTCTATTTTATTTCATTGCAGTTATACTCTCCCTATTTCTCTTCCAAATCTCTCTATTTATAGTTGTCTGACATTGGCATGTATGTGCAATCAACCAAGAATTTTAGCCACTTAAAAGATCTTTTATTATTTTGGCTGGAGAAGAAGCCTTAGTGTATGCTCTCCAGCAAAGTTAAGGGGAAGATTCCAGGAACACATTTGCTTGTTTTGGAACTTTTAAACAGCTGAATGATTTCGGAGGTTTGAAAGTATCAAAAAGAGAACTAAGGATAAACCACTAAGTCACAGAAGACAGATCTGGAAAAGACCGCTTGTGGCTGGTAACAAGAAGCACGTCTACAGACTTGAATAGGCACAGGTTAACCTTTTCCTGCTTGTTCCCACACATGTTATGGTTCTGCTTATCCTCTCTTAGTTAAGTAAAACTGGATTTCTCCTAAGAACTTATAAAAATTGGTATTCTAAATTGTGTAGTAAATACAGAGACATTTAAACAAAGGTACCTTTCTGGAAACACAAAAATAGAGAAGAAAAATCTTACCTGCTACAATTGAATGTACCAGCAGAGTCTCCAACCTGAATTTAAAAGATTTAGAAATGTTTCCTAACTTTGTGTTCTTGAACTTTCCTTGAGTATTTTATCTGACTTGATGTTTAACTTCCAAGACATATTTTAAAGGTGACTTGCTAGATAGTTGAGTTACATATGCATAAAACATAATGTATTTAAAATAATATTCGGAGGAATAACGTAACTTTCACTCTGTATTTATGTTGGTGGTGCTCTATTGTATTTTTCTTGTCATTATAGCTGATGTGTACCATTAAGATTTAAGTCAGAGAATTCGCAACAAACTGAAAGACCCTGTTTTCCATTCTCCCTAATGTTCTAAGTCGATCTAAAATTTTCTAACATAATAATATATTGCAAAGTAAGCTAGAGTTGTAAATGTCTTTCCCTGTTTAAAAATGTGAGAGGAAGGTAAGAACACTGTTATTTCACTAGGAGGAGCAGTTGAGTTGAGTGAGTTCTTAAATCATCTTTCCCCACTTTCACTTTTTTTTTTCATTGTTGATCATTTTTGTTATAATTCTATTTACTTCAAAGTAACAATTTTAATTTATTTAGTGCCTGGAGACTTCTTCTTGTAATATTTTCAAAGAAATTATTCTATACATCACTATTAAATGTTTGAGGGATGGGTTTATTGGATGGATAAACTCTAAAGCAGACACTAAAGCAGACCTTTTGGAATTCCAGTCTTATAACTCAAAGGGTGAGCTGCAGCTGTCCACTGCCCAGCTCTATGGATTTGAGTTCAGCATTAGAACACTGCATGAGGTGTAGTTCTTCACCACATGCCATACCCTTGAAAATGTACTGTTTTCAATATGCAGACAGTCCAATCCAAGCAGGTCTCTTGTCCTGACCCTGCACTGCCATACATAGTATTGTTTGGAGGCCCCCAAAGGCTCACCTGCTTGCTTGGAAGTTGCAGTTCATAGCAATTTCTGGAGACATTTGTTTTCATAAGAATGAATCATTAGTTCAGTTACTAAAAGCATTATGTGGATATGATGTTTATCAAAACCCCCTAAACCCCTTGCCATCTAATAGAAAGCAGCTCTTCTAGGAAATTGCAGATAGGATTCTTGAAAGGAAAAAGAGGAGGACCTAAAATAGGAGATGCTTTCCAGGCCCTGGTGGGAGTCCTAGAGAGCCTTGGAAAAGACAATAAAGATCTGTCCAAAGATTCAGGTTGCAAGCAGGTGCCAGGAGGACAAAGAGAAAACTATCTGAGTGGAAGATGGTAAATTTGCCAAAGGCCTAGCCCTGATCACTAGCAGTGGCAACAGCATAAATGTGAAAGCATATGAAACGGACATAGTCAAAGGCCTGACATGCAACTCATCTCCACAGATATAGTTGTGATGGAACTAACAGTTAGCCTTTTGCAATGTACATTGTCACATCCCCACATATGCTTATGGCAGTCTTTTGAGGTAGGGCAGATATTATCATCTTGATTGTATAGCCTAAAATTAAAAACAGGCTTATGAGATCAAATGATCAGCACAATTGAAAATAACAACTAGGAATATATGTACTCCAGTGAATCTTATGAAGGGAATATTATCCATTTTAAAACCCCATATTCATGGGAGCTTATCAATATCTAATTTTATTTTGTTCTCGCCGCAGCCATGGGTGGGGATATCTCTTCTGGGACCTGATGTCATTCCCCATCTAGATTTCATGCAGCCAGGAGAGCTGGGACAGAACAGAAGCCTGACTTCCTCTGTCCTGGGGAAAACAGTGTTTGCAGCTGGCTGACTGCCCACACCACCAACTTGGGCCTCTCCTGCCCACTGCTGGGTAATGCACCATGGGAAAAAGGCTGGCTTTGTGACAGTCTAAGTGCCAGAGATGACAGGCCTGCCTGCTACCCACTCACACCCTACCAGTGAGGTTTGTCACCTCTTCCACACAGCTCCCACTGCCCCCAAGAGGTTAAGCCCTGTCATTTTGTGTCATTGCCAGATTTCTTATCCATGTCTCTTTTTTTGTAGCAAAGAATTCAGTGTCATTAATAACCCCTGGTGATGGCCAAGGGCAGGCCCCATGCTATTTGTTATCTGTTGGACACGCGTTTTTTGATCCCCTTCTGATAGACAGAAAATACCCATCTTCTCTCTTACTAATTGGCAGTATGTGCCAGGCTTGGGAGTTGGCAACAGCCATTGCTTTTCATCCTTTCAGATTACGTGTTGGACTCCTCATCCAAAAGTGCACGCTTACGATGCGGCTAATACCTTCCTCCTGCCATCCAGCTCATTAAGGAATAAAACCCAACCCTACTTCTGAAGTGGCACAGAGCTTCTAGAGGCAGCTGGGCTGCTCATTTCCCTGAAAGGAGGAGATGGAATTAGGCTTTCTCGAAGTCTTCTCCAAACAGATTCTAGAAGCATAAACTGTAGGAGTTCCTCTGTTCTCCCAAATATGCCATGGGTGTTTGTATTCTGCGACTGCCATAACAAATTACCACACATTTATTGGTGTAGAATAGTACAAACATGTTACCTTACAGTACTGTCAGGCAGAAGTCTGGAAGAGCTGAGCTGATTTCTTTTCTCTGGGTCTCACAAGGCCAAAATCAAGATGTTGACCAACTTGGGGTTTTATCTAGAGGCTTTCGGGGAGAATTTACTCCCATGCTCATGCAGGTTGTTGGCAGAATTCAGTTCCTTGGGGGGTATGGCTGAGGTCTCACTTCCTTGCTCGCTGTCTCCACCCGCTCAACGCCTCCTGCATGCTTCATCACATAGCCACCTTCTCCATCAAACAAGCTTCTGATCTCTCTGACTTCCTGTCTGCCCCATTTCCTCTGCCTCCAGCAGGAGAAAGTTCTCTGCTTCTGAAGGTTCATGTAATTAGATTGGGCCCACCTGGTTAATCCAGGTTACTCTCTCTGTACAGTCCCTTTTGCTGTGAAAAGTTACCTGTTCACCAGCTTCAGGGGTTAACAGGTGGACATCTTTGGGGGCCATTTTGCTTATCAGAAGTGGGTACTAGAGTTTCCCATTCAATCCGGAGTCATGGAGTGAAGCAGAGCACAGGGGAGCAAATCCAGTCCTAGCCAGGTCAGACACCGTCTATTTTGCCTGGTCTCTGACCCATCAGGTAACAGGCATAGGCTTCTGACTTCAAGTTGCCTGGTTCACAACTGGTATCTTTAAAATTATGTATAAGGAAGAAATCAGTTTTTATCTCTAGCACAGAGGAAAAAGAGATTATGCTCAAGAAGGCCGCTGGCCTCTGAGGTAACTGAAAGTTTGGCCCGACATTTCTAGGTCTGTGCTGACAAATGCAGTAGCCATTAGGCCTCTGTGGTTCCAGGGCACTTAAAATGTGACTACTGTGATTTAGGAACTGAATTTTTTTACTATATTTAAATGTAATTAACAAGAGTTAAGGGCCACATGTGGTTGGTTGCTGCCATATTGGGTGACACAATTCTAGATCATTTAAATGCTCGTCAGTGTAATACAAATGTGGATGTCTGCTGCTTTGGAAACACTACACTAAAGAGTCATTGCATTTTGCACTCAAGTGTCCAGAGATCTTGCTTTTTATTTTTGCTTCTCACCCCTATCTTTTATTTGTAAACACCCTGAGTATAATAGCTCTGGAGTACCCAATAAGCATAATAAATCTGCAGGGGGAATAGTGGAAATATCAAAGAACATCAAGCAGACATTCCTTTCCCTGCCTCCTCCCCTCCAGAAGCCACGCTGTTCCCTCCTGAGGGGCGCAGCCTGTTGCAAGTGTCTCTATTCCTTTCTCCTTCTTGTGTTGTCTCTCTCTCTTTTCTGTTGGGAACTGTTAGGGGTTAGACACACAGCTCTCTACCCTTTTTGAACTCCCTTAAGAATTCACCTCTCTGCTGTTGTTCCCGATCTCCTTGATCTCCCCTAACTCTACTCAGAAAACACCGTAAAGGCTCAGCTTCCTGTTCATCACATATGAGATGCTATTGAGAGGGGCTCCATTTTCTAAATAAGCCTTCCAAATAAAGAGCTGATCCAGGTCTTCCTCACTGGGCCCCTGTGGGTGTGTGTGTGTGTGTGTGTGTGTATATATCTTAATTCTTAAGTTTTAGGACATTGAAAACTACCACATTTTACAAAGTGAAGCATGAACAGAAATGCAGTCATTTTTACCTCTCCTTATGTAAAAGAAACACATGATATGTGATACCTTTCCTCAAATTTATTGATATCATTTTCATTTGATTAAGAAAATATTTACAAATTTAGTGAATGTTCAGCCTCAAAATAAAGATGAATATAAGAAGTCACTGGAGAAAAACACTATTCGCTTTTAGCGTTTTTGTTTTGTTTTTTTGCAGCTTTATTGCCCAGGCTGCAGTGGCATGATCATGGCTCACTACAGCCTTGACCTCCAGGGCTCAAGCAATCCTCCCACCTCAGCCTCCCAAGTAGCTGGGACTATAAGTACCTACCACCATCCCTAGCTAAGAAAGAGATGATTTTAACAACAATGTCATCCCTAGTATCCACTGTTACCCATTCCACCTTCTACTTATTTGATTTTCATGAAACAATATATCCCTCTCTTCATTTGGGGAGACTTTATAATACTGGGGCTCAATTTCTATTCATTGTGAGGATAGAGCTCCTAGAGTATTCTTATTAACACCTGCATCTAACATGTTGTGTACATAGTGGTCTTACTGACCTAAGAATATACCATCAATAAATAGTATTGACATAGCAAAGAAAAAAACAGAAGAGAGGAAGGAAGGTTGCACAAGCTAATTATTGACACAAATAGCAATTAAATGCTTGGAGCCAGCATCATCTTTGGTAGCATAGGAACCAGGTTCATCCCTAGTTCCACTACTGAGCTGTGTAATATTCAGGAAGCTCATTAACCTCTCTGAGCCTCAGCTTTTCAATTTGTATAACCTCTTGGCAGGATTATTGTTTAATCTTTAAGTAAGGTAAGGGTATAAATTACTGGGTACCTTACTAGACACAGTCCTTTGGCAAATATTAGTTTACCTCCCTTCTCTTTTTCAGTGCTCCCTGTCCTACCTCCCAGTGAGAGCGTTTCATTCAGCTCCGAATAAGCAATTACTCTTGAACATGGATACCACTCCTACATAGAGTCCCCAGACATCTTCTGGAATATTCTTTTTACCTTCTTAGGGGCACATGCTGAACTGCTTGGTCACCAAAACTTTTTTTTTTTAATGCTTGTTGTGTAAAAACAAGATTTCCCCTTCCTCAACAGTTTCTTCCTAAGAGTGGTGTGTTAACAAATAGCGTTGTACATAATTAATGCAATACTGTGATTTGTTCTTAGTCTTGAAACACATTTTATTAGACAGTTTTCCAAATTAGATTGAAAGAAACCCATAGACAGGTCACTGTTACCAAGTTCAAATGTCTATTGGACCTTTTCTTGTAATATAACCTGTACACAAACTGATGGATAACCCTAAGCCAGATGTGTGGGATCTGGGCATCCATTTGGCCCAGTCATTTCAGAGGTGAGACTAAAAGTAATTATCCTTGCTGTTTACAGCATTTAAAGGGGGAAGGTAGATGAATTATCTCTCAAAACACAATGAATAAAGGCTGGGAGCATGGCCATGCCATATCTGTTGTGGTGAGGAAAATGGGAAGGGGATTCTGAAAGTAACTGGCCTTTTTCTTTTAGACACTGAGCCACATCCATACCCTAAGGCACAGATCCCATGTTAAACGGTTATTTCCATCATGGCAGTGACATTTACTTTAACAACAGATTTCATTATGTCTTTAACAACAACAAAAATGCACTGAAAAGCCTGAAACACACACATACACAACTCCCAACACAATTATTTTTCTGTCTTCTCTGAAAGAATATTTTAAAATCATTTCAACATCTTTGGGATTTCAGAAAAATCTAGTATTGGTTTACAATGGAAGTCTCATAGAGTTTATATATATGTGTGTGTGTGTGTGTGTGTGTGGTTATTATTACTCAGACTATAAATGAGACAAATGAATAGAAATATTAAAGGGATCAATATTCTGGCCCTCATTATATTGTTATACAGCATATCTTTGTGTATCTCTATGTGAATTCTCTGCTAGTCCTCAGCTGTATTTAATCCCTCAAGACTTGATATACAAACATAATGCCAAATAGAGAACTTCCCTTAAATTATTCAAATCTCCCCATAAGTGATTTCCCACTCTTCCTGCAATAGAAAACATTTGATCATAAATTCAATTAAATCAGCCATCATCTTTGTGATGTTTGTCCAGCTAAATCCTTTAGTGACTAAACCAATAAACATACCAGCTGTGAGTGTGCATGTGTGTGTGTGAGTGTGTGTTTATGGCACAACTATTGCAAAAGAATCGATTTGAAGTAAAGATGAAGGGTAGTTCTCATTTCTTAGGCCAGATTTTAACTACTTCACTGAAGCCAGGGCTTAAAAGATTAAACTTTTAGGGATAAAATCATGTGTACTTCTTTAAATGCTTTGGCTTTTATTTGCTAATTTAGAACTGAGTTTTAATAAGTTTTAGATCAAAACTGATGTACTTTGGAGATGTTAGGAAAAGGCATCAAACCACGTCAACCATTCTTCCTTCTCTTTCTTCCCCAGCCTCTCCTCCCTAGTTAAAACAAAGAAAAAATGACTGTCGACATACTTTTAAGTTTCTCAGGGAAAACGGCATGATAGGACTATATTACTGTTTATAATTTCTTATATGTCTGTCGGCTGAAGAGGTAAAGTTTATCAGAGGCTTATAAATGTTGATTGCTTCTCATCTTGATTCTAAAGCCTTTTAGACACGCAGATATACCCAACCTCCTCCCCTCTTTTTCATCTTACCTTTACTAATGATCCTATTTGGATATAACTGAACCCTATTTATGCATCTTCACATATGTGTATATCCATGTGGCCTGTAGAGGGCAGCATGCTCTGAGGGGAAAAAAAAAAAAAAACAGGCAACTGTTTATCTCCGTAAAATATGAGATACGCAGCTATATATATATTTTCCGATAGCAAAACAAGTAAAATGTCTCTGTTAGAGAAGCCAGAGCTGCCCCATGCTTTGTCTGTCCCTCTCTGCCACGTTAGGTGTCTGTTTGGATGATGAATATTTTTTATGAATTGGCTCAGCCTACCTTGGAGGCTACTTAGGGATTACACCAGGCTCCATGCCTTTGCCACCAAATGGGACTAAGCACATCATTATATTTATAAAGATAAATACAAATGGAATTTTTTTCATTTGGCTCTCATTTCTTGTCACCCTTTACTGAAGTGTAGAATTTGAGTCAAGCTGTACCTATAGTTCTAATTTTATTTGGTAGTCAAGTGGGACTTTACCTTCCTATCTTAGAATTCTGCTGTCTCACATCCTTTGCTTTTAGCTTGTGACTGCCAAAAAATTCTAGTGCCTTTTATTTTTCCCAAGAAAATGAAAAACATTTCCACAGGGACATTTTCTGTTCAGAGTAGACGTTGGGCTTAAAGCTGGGCTCCTTCCTTTGCCTGCCTCACACTTCTTTGGGGTGAGTCCCTGATCAGGACCCCTTCTCTGTTGCCACATTCATTGATTTTCTCAATCCAGTCTCTACCGTTCATCTAAAGAGGCAAATCCTCCCATTGTGTGAACTACACTATTCCTTTATGAGAATGTAGAAATTTCTAGAAGCTGCGTTACATATTTTAAGGATATAGAGCAGTACTGTCCAATAGATCTTTATGCATTGACAAGAATGTTCGCTATCTTCACTTTCCAGTATGGTAACCACTAGCCACGTGTGGCTATTGAGTAATTTAAAATGTGGCTAGTGCAATTGAGGAACTGAATTTTTAATTTCATTTAATTTTTATTAGTTTAAATTTAAATAACCACATGTGGCTAGAGACTACCAAATTGCGTGGTGCAAGATAGAACATAACTTCTGATCAGCTTGAAGCAAGTGTTTTACCATAATGTGTTGTGAGGTGAATTAGGATTTTCAGCTAAAAACCTCCTGCCCAAGTTTTTATTTTTGCACTTATTTCTTTATTATATAGCTATAGGCTTAAATCCAAATCCTATGACTCTGCCCCAGGATTTGCTTTCTCTCAGAACATCCGAGAGATTTTCCATTTTCAAATTCTTCGATTTTGTTGAATATTGAATGTCTCTCTCTTGGGTATCCAGAATGGAGTTTCAAAGCATGGCATTTCGGCAGCACTGATTCTGTAGGCGCTGGCCATTTCACAGTCTAAGCTCTGTCACTCGTCACCTGTTTGTATCTAGTGTTCCTAAATATAGAAACACAACTTAGTAAATGTGCTAAAATGTGTCGGGCTACATAGAAGCTTGACACCCAGCTCATTAACTAAGTTGGTTTTGTTTGTGTGTGTGTGTGTGTGTGTGTGTATGAGCAGCTGTTTACATTGACTACAAATAAAGCGTAGGTTTGTATCATCCTTTTTGAAATGACCTCAATATTATTTTGAAAATGTTCTTGTCGCCAGGTGTGGTGGCTTAAGCCTGTAATCCCAGCACTTTGAGAGGCCAAGGTGGACAGATCACTTGAGTCCAGGAGTTTGGGATGAGACTAGGTGACATGACAAGACCCTATCTGTAAAAAATTTATCTGTAAAAAAAATATTTTATTTATTTATTTATATAAATATATATGTATATATTTTTATATATACATATATAATTTATGTATACACATATGTGTATACATATATGTGTATATAAATTATATATACATATATACATATATAATTTATATACACATATGTATATAAATTGTATATACATATATACATATATAATTTATATACACATATGTATATAATTTATATATAATATATATACATATATGTATATGTAGTTTATATATTTTATATATATATATATAAATTAGCCAGGCATGGTGGCATATGCCTGTAGTCCCAGCTACTTGGGAGGCTGAGGCAGGGGGATCATTTGAGCCTGGAATGCAGAGGTTGCAGTGAGCCAAGATCATACCATTGCACTCTAGCCTGGGCGACAGAGCAAAACCCTGTCAAAGAAAAAGAGAAAGGGAGAAGGAAGGAAGGAAGGAAGGAGGGAGGGAAGGAAAGAAGGAAGGAAGGAAGGAAGGAAGGAAGGAAGGAAGGAAGGAAGTAAGTTATTTTAAGCTCCCAAGTAATCAGATGAGTTTTTTTTTCTCTCTTTCATTTCTTTAAATACTTCCATATCTTTACATATGATCTGCAAATGCCTGTCTTCAGTTTCCTACATTATGCCGATATTGTTAGTTTTAAGACATCAGTAGACTGGTTTTTTTTGCCACCAGCTTCTGATTCATGTTAGAGATATACCCGAAAACCTGCATGTACCTGGAAGTTATAAGTAGTTGGACCCCAGATGATACTCAATGTGCAGCGTTTTAATCCTATTTATTTGTCTTTCTTTTATTTCAGTTATAAAGGTGAAAATGCTGATCAAAAAGATAAAAAGCTCTAGCAATCATGCCAATTTGGGTTTTCTTAAAGCCACAGATATGAAATGTCACCTTTCCATTATAAATCATTTTATATAAACAGCCAGATGTAGAGTTAAAGTCAGGAATAAAGGACTGTGAAACAAAGGTTGTGCTCAGTTCCAGTAAAAGATAGCCTCAGCCTATTTTATGCTCACCATCAAACCACACTTTGGAGCATCTGTGCCCCCAGATCTACAACCTCCTCCACATGAGAGAGGAATGTAGGGTCTGCTGGGAGTCATACTATAAGAATAATTTGACCAGCCTCTTGGAAAAACCTAGGCATCCTCTTACCACAGGGCATGACAGAGAGAAATAGAGGCCATGAAGCTTTTAGCAGTGTTTTTTAGTAATGAACTTTAAGACTGGGCTCCCATGCACAAAGCAAGTTCCCTGCCATTGTAAGATTGGTAGCCTTTCCGTTGATGAACATGCGAATTATCGCAGAAAAATCGTTTCACTAAAGTTTCTACAATGTAGCAACTGTTTCTGTGTTGGGAACAGCCAATTGCAAACTCCAGAAGTACTTTAGGCTGTTTGATAATAGCATTTCAGTCAAATGCAGATTCAGATAAGCATAGAGAGAGAAAATGAAAAGTCAAAGGCAAGGACTTGCAACTAGAAGGAGAACACGAGGTACCACTACTTAACTCTTCCTCATAACATAGAGTTGAAATACATCCTGCAGATTTGTTGTTAAAAGTCACTCCTTAAATTACACATTCACATTCTAATGTAGAAGGAAACGATCTTTTTGAAAGAATATCCGTTGAAAGAAATACATGAATTTTTGTTCTAATTATTTGAAAATCCCTCCTCCAATGTTTTCATATTTATTGCATACATCACAGAGTAAATAAATTATTTGCCAGGACTTGAACTGCAGAACAAAAATGACAAACAAAAATTTTATGCATACTAACTTTAGCACCTGCCATGTAAGACTTTGCAGTATTTTCTCCCTAAACACACATCACAGTTACTCAGAATTCTAGCAGATTTCAGTTTGATACTCTGCAGCTCTGAGGACTGGTTCAGATGTGTGCGTGTCACTCTATTTGGAAGTATTCGAGCATAAGGATTGGGAACGGGAAAAGAAGAATGAGGATGACCAAGTAGAAAGCATGCTTTTGCACTGTTGCGTTGATCAATCTGGACCTGAGGCCAGCATCCTGGTGCCTACTAGGCAGGAGGAAATCAAGATGTATAAAACTAAGGTAGGCCAGAGAAACAGGAACCAATCATGGTGGACCATAAAATGAGGAAGTCATTGGACATTTAGAAAAAGGACAAACAGAGTGGGCCTGAAGGGGAGATTGGCAAAGAGAGTAGTATACTTTAGTGTGTAACACAGCAAAACACAGTTACAAAATCTTCTTAAAATTTGGAGACAGATTCTGAAGCATATCTATCAAGAGAATGTTTCTATCTCAAGGTACTTAAAAGAATATTGAAAATATTTGTTCTTAAGGTACCTCACCATTATCTTATTTTAGCAAGCATTTAAAAACAGAACTACCATTTGACTCAGCAATTCCATTACTGTTTATATATCAAAAAAGAAAATAAATCATATTACCAAAATGGCATATGCACTCACATGTTCATCGTAGCACTGTTCACAATAGCAAATACATGGAATCAACCTAGGTGCCCATCAGTGTTGAACTGGATAAAGAAAATGTGGCACATATACATCATGGAATACTGTGCAGCCATAAAAAGAATGAAATCACATCCTTTGCAGCAACATGGATGCAGCTGGAGGCCATTAATGTTAAGTATATTAACATAGGAACAGAAAACCAAATATTGAATGTTCTCGCTTGTAACTGGGAGCTAAACATTGAGTATTCATGGACACAAAGATGGCAGCAATAGACACTGGGGACTATTGGGAGGAGGGGGAGGGGTAAAAGGGTTGAACAAGCACCTGTTGGTTACTATGCTAACTACCTGGGTAATGGGATCATTCGTACTCCAAACCTCAGCAACATGCAATTTACCCATGTAACAAACCTGCACGTGTACCCCCTGCACCTAAAATAAATTTACAAAAAAGGAAAAATAAATAAAAATTATGAGACCTTTTTCATATGAGTTCACTCATGATCTCAATCCTCTTTACTTCATGTTTTTTCCCATTAATTTTAAATTCTTCAATGAGGTTTCTCCTACCAAAATATTTTCAGGGATGTACTCTAATTTGGGAAAGAATATTGCAGTCCTAAGGGACTCTTTTAAGTCCATTTAGTAAGGTCAGTTTAATTTTTTACAAGTGTAGCGGTGGGGGAGAAGTGGTAATAGTGCAGTATGAAGTATCACTGGCTACACTTGTTCACGGCACACGTCTGTGCCTCACAGCATGCCAGAATGCTTTGTCTGTATCATCTCATTTAATCCCGAAAACAACTCTCAAATTGTTTTCCTGGTAGGAGCATCTAAGTTTATTTTACAAATTTTATTTTCCTGTCTTCAGTTATTTTGTAGTCTCAAGAGCAGATCTAGGAAGTACCTGTCTCATTTGCCATTTTTATACCAAACAGGGCTGAGACTAGAGTGAGGCATGTAAGGTGCTCATCTTGGGTTCAGAATTTAGGTGGTGTGAAGAAAAATCTCAGCGATCAAGATAAATAACACTTTAATGCAATATTTCAAAAACTCGAAAGATAGCTTCAGTACCTTGTATGCTCTCCATCAGACTACCCTTCATTAGCACCCAACCCCACATCCACAACCCACTTCTTCATAAACACCAATACTGGTGAGGTTATAGAAAAATGAGCCCATTCATTTACTGCGGATGTCCCTGTAAACTGGTAAATGTGAAAAACAATATGGAAACATCTGTTAGCGGCCATAAAGATGTCATGGAACATTCAAGAAATTTAATTTAGTATCTTGATGCTCTGGATGTTTGGGAATGCTGTTTCCACTCTTATAGAACTTATCTTCTAGAGTAGCGAGGACAGCAAACAAAAAATAGACAGTATAATCTCAAAGAGAGCTAAGTACATGAAGACAATAAAACAGAGCAATGTGATGAAAAAGAGCACTGGCAGCCTGTAAGCATATGAAAGCTGGGATTTTTACTTTTTTCTTAATCCGTGTCCTTAGCGCCTACAACAGAGCCTGTCCCATAGAAGGCACTCAGTTCATATTTGTTGAAGAATGAAAGTGCTTGGTGGTGAGAGTATAGTGAATGTGGGGAGAGTGAGAGAAGAGGAGACTGGTGAGTGAAAGCAGAGGCCAGCCAAGGAATGGCCCTGCAGGCCAGAGTTTGGGATTTTCCTTTACTTCCAACAGGAAACCTGAGGAATTATGTTTTGAACCTACCAATTTCACTTGTTAGTATTTCTCCCAAGGAAATAGATCAACCAAGTAAAAACCGAGTTGCCCCAAAATTCTCATTATTTTATTGTAGTTTAAAATTTTTAAAAAGACTTGGTATCAACTTAACCAAGATTAAAGGAATGGGGAAAGGTTTAACAAATCATGATTCAGCAACTCAGTGGAATATTACACAACAATGTTAGGAAATTACGTATGGAGATTTTAAAAACATAGGAAATTCTCCCTATGTTTCCTGGAAAAAGATTAATAAAAAATATATATACTAACATATTACTATAAAAAGTCTGTGGACTAGCTGTTACTGAAATGTAATATACAAGATGAAAATGGTTGTGATACAGTAGTAGAATTTTGGGTGATTATTTTTCTACTTTCCCAAAATTATCTTTAATATTGTCACATTATTTTAATAACAAAAATGTTGCTTAATTTGTGTAGAGTTTCTGCTTAGGGTGATGACAGGGTTTTGGAAATACTGTGATGGTTGTACAATATTATGAATGTAATTAATGCCACTGAATTGTACACTTAAAATGATTAAAATGGCAAATTTTCAGTTATTTATCTATATTACCACAATTTGCCAAAAAAAAAAAAAAAAAAAAAAACAGTTATCTTCTATAATCATCAGTGTGGCCAGCAGCCCCAAAGGTGGCTCCCAGCGATCCCACCTTCTGGTCTTCACACCGTTCTCTCTTCATCCCAGGATTGGTCTTGGTGACCAATAGGATGTGACAGAGGTTATTGCACATTACTTCCAAGGTTAGGTTATAAAAGATTGCATCTCCTGTCTTGGGCTCTGGCTCCTTCTATCTCTGATCACTGGCTCTGGCAAAGCCAACCAACATGTCATGTGCCCAGCCCTAGAGAGAGGCTCACATGGTGAGGAACTAAGACCTTTTTTGCCAACAGCCATGTGAACGAATTACCTTGGAAGTGGATCCATCAGACCCAAACTTCAAATGAGTACAACCCTGGCTATCAGTTTGACTGCAACTTTGTCCCTGAATCAGAACTACCCAGTTAAGCTTCTCCCAGATTCCTGATCCTTGGAAACTATGAGATAATAAATATTTGTTGTTTAAAAAAAAAAGAAAAGAAAATATAAATTTTTTTATCTTGCTTTCATTACAGCTATCCTCATGGGTATGCAATAGACACCAGCTCTTTTTTCCCTAAATTTGAAGTCTTGTTTTCTCCTCTTTTAATGGAAGTGCTGGGTGCAGCAGACTTTATTAATTAACATTAAAAGGAGTGCTGTGCAGTAAAGTAAAATTTATTTATTTCCATCTGACACCTCACAGTATCATGGTCACAAAGTCGAGTGCATCACTAGGCCTTGGCCTGACATGAGATGCCTATAACCATGTTTTTGCATATGGAGGAGATTCGTAAAACTAGCTACATTGCTAAGAGAATATTAAGTGGCAAAGTGAGAATCAAAGTAAACAGCCCAAGTAAAAGAAAAGTCTACACCCTCAACAGGATACAGCATTTATGGATGTCAAAAATTTTTTCTTTTCACAAAAGGGAAAATGAAAAGCTAATATAACCTCAAAATGGACTTGAGTAAAATTCAGGTATTGAAAGGAAATTTTATTATATAAAAACATATTCGGGCCGGACACAGTGGCTCACACCTGTAATCCCAGCACTTTGAGAGGTCAAGGCAGGTGGATCACCTGAAGTCAGGAGTTCGAGACCAGCCTGGCCAACATGGTGAAACCCTGTATCTACTAAAAACACAAAAATTAGCTGGGTGTGGCGGCAGGCACTTGTAATCCCAGCTACTTGGAAGGCTGAGGCAGGACAGTTGCTTGAACCCAGGAGGCAGAGATTGTAGTGAGCCAAAATCGCACCATTGCACTCCAGCCTGGGTGACAAGGGCGAAACTCTGTCTCCAGGAAAAAAAAAATACAAAAAAAATTTTCAGTGGTTAAAAAATACAAAGAACTAAATTTATAAATTTTCTTGGACCTCTATACATGGAGTTAATATATCTAATTGATACAAAAAATTATATCTAGATTACACACTAATAAGATTTTTTTTTGTATACATTCCAGGATTTTCTGAGTGCTCTAGAATCATCATGTCTTACTTTCATAATGAGAAAAAAAAAACAAGCTATAAATATAGCCTATAGATGGAATGATACAGGGAAGAGAGCTCCAACATTTGAGGCGTGTAATGGGCTCTGCCTCACTTGCTGTGTGACTGAGGCTACGTTGCTCCTCCTGTCTGAACCTCAGCTCCTTCATCTGCAAGGTGGGATGGTGATGATCACCTCACAGGCTGGGTGTGTAGTATAAGGGAGATCACATGTGAAAAACATCGCTAGCACGTAGTAAACCATATGTTTCCTTCCCCTTTGTATATCTTCCCCCAGTATTTAGAACAAGGGTTCCATCTCCTGGCTGGCCATGTCTTCTGTGTAATGGGAAGAGATGAGATCATTCACCAGGTAGTTGGTTCAGTGTGCAGTTGGGAAGACACTGTGGGTTAGAGAAGGCAGATAGGAAACTCCTTGTAGGAGTGGAAAGCATTGAGAGGGATTCTGACATTTCTTTCTTAGAGAACAGGGCCTGTGTAAAGGATGCTCAACTATTCAGCAGTCTTAATCCAATTCTTGCTTTAGACATAAGCCGTTTATCTTTCTTTCATAATGAAAGCATATATTTTCAAATTCCAGATGCAATGTCATAAGATAAAGAAGCTGAAATTAGAGTGCCCAGCAAATAGATTTTTCATTTGCTTTGAACTAAACTTTAATAACCCATGACCTCCGACCTAACTGAATATTCTCTCATTTTGATATAAATGGGAGCATTATTTTTGGTGATTTTCTGCAGTCCTAACCATTTAATACGTTTAGTCTACAAGATAATTTTTTAGGGATAGCATTAGGAGATATGCCTAATGTAAATGATGAGTTAAGGGGCGCAGCACACCAACATGGCACATGTATACATATGTAACAAACCTGCATGTTGTGCACATGTACCCTAGAACTTAAAATAAAAAAAGAAAGAAAAAGAAAGAAAGAGAAAAAAAAAAAGAAATAAAGGCAAAAAGAGATGAGGAAACATCTCTTCTATATCAACATAGAGTGCTAAACTATATATTGCCTTTAAGAAAAGTTCCTTTTTACACTTTTCTTATTATCTTGGATCATGTCCAATCTGTAAGGAAATAAACATGTGAAGAAAGAGTTCTGTGGAATGTTAACTGCTCTGCTATTTTTCTTCTTTTTATCATGGCCCAAGATTCACCAAAGTTGAGATAAATTCACCATGCCTTCTTTAAAAAGCGTGACAGCAAGGCATTCTTCCTGTAGGAGTCAGACTGTAAAAGGTGATTTCCTTTTACTCCAGTTGGTTTAAGCCTGTAAAAAGCATTAAGTGAAAAATCTGATATATTTTTAGGGCATTTATTGCATTACTAAGTTATACTTTCAGTTCTCAGTGAAAGGTTTATTGAGAACATAAACTTTGAAGAGGTTTGTTCAGGATTAAAGATATATTTTTTCTTCTCTTTTCATGAAATAATATTATACAAAATTATGCCTTTCAAGAGCTATTTTTAGTGCTACTTATAGTTGAAGGACATACTGTTCCAAAACCTTCCTCTGATGATGAGATTTGTAACTTCTCTAGGGTTTCAGAAGAATGAAAGGCTAGGTAGCCACCATTTCTGTTAACTCCATTTACCATAATGCAGATGCGCCAATAAGTTACACTTTTTACCAGAGCCTCTGATGGTGAAAATGTTTTTCATACTGCTTGGATAATTTGGACTAAATATTTATAACCAATCTCTCTGAAACATAAGCCATTCCTAAATTTTTACATAGACTGAATTTTTGGATAAATGAAGATTTGGGTTTAAACACCCATTCAATCTTTTATCATAAAAAATGAGAGTTGTCTGTTTCAGTTGAAACAGTGCTTTAATCAACCACTTTGAATTCAGGAAAATTGGGTAATCTTTATTCTCCAAATAGTATAAATATTCAAAGCATCACAGGAGTATAACATTCACTAACAATTTACTTTGCTTCACTCTTGATTTCCTAAAAACATTTTAAAACCTGTGAAGTCGGTGAAATAATAAGATGCCTATAATCGATTTAAGCAAGTTATGGTAAGAAAAGGTCAATCTTCACAGCAGTCCTGTGAAGTAGGAGAGGGCTATTAACTTTATCCTAATCTGTATCCAGAAGTTGGAAAGGTTGTGAGTTACCTAATGTCTTTCAGGTAACAATGGGATTTCATACAGGGTGGGTTTGTGTGGTTATGAAGGTCTAGTGCTTATTATAGATAGGCTATAACTGTAAATAAAATAACTGGGAAGCTGGAAATCAATTCTGTTGAATACATGTCTTTGGGTTTGAGGATATTCTATGCTGACTTGTGAGGTTAGACTTTTAAGTATTCTGCAAACCTTATTCTGATTATAAAGGTCAGTTATTGTAAATGTATTTTTCTTCTATCAAGTCTTCTAGTCAGAGGGTTGAAAAGTAATTATTGGTGCCTCTTTTGCTGTTTACTGCTTTGTTGAAGTAAAATACTTAATAAAAATTATAAAATCATATAATCGCTGGTTCACTAAATCTAGGGATCTTTTCTAAAATATAACTGAGATACGAGTATAATGACTGACAGGTTTGTACTACCCCATATATGAAAAATACTATTAATGTTTGGTGATCTCTGATAAATCATAGGAGAAGTTTTTAATTATGCTATTTATGCATGTAGAATTATAGTTTAAGTGCACATGGATTATAGTGTTCTGTATAAATTATTAAAAATAAAACTTCATCACTGAAAACAGTCACTGCCAGTAGGCACTGGGGAAGATTGCAAAAGGAATTAAAGTGGAAGCTCTGCAAAAGCAATGTAGTGAAGCAGTTACCTTATTCTGTCCTGTAGACAGTAGAGCGGAAACATGATCTACTTTTGTAGGAGTTAAATGAAAATAAGTTTAAATAAACGAGGGCTCTTGTTGAAAAGAATATAACAAATTCATATATATTAGTCTATGAATATTTTATGATAATGTCTGTATCAATGGATTTATGAAAGGTAAATATGAAAATAGCATCATATTAGTACGCAGGAAAGGCTGCTATAATTATGTCATAAGTTAACAGATTTTTAAAAAGCAGATCACCCTTTCTTTGGTTTTGGAATGATCTTAAACATTTGAAGACATCTCTTTTTCCAGGAAGGGTAGAAAATAGTAATAAATAAAATCAAGGCTGGGGAATTACTACCAAGCTAAGCTCTGAAATCCAAAGCAAGAATTTAATATTTTCATTTTTCTGGCCCACTTTTGGCAGTTTAGAATAGCCTTAGAATGTCAGTGCTAGCATTTTCAAAAACTTGATTCATTTCAGATCCTGCTGAGGGCTCTTCAACACTTTCTGTACTTTTCCATCAGGTAGAGTTGACTGCAAGGGCAGCTGTGTATTGAGTAAGGGTTAGATCTGATGGGGAGACCTAGCAGTGTAGATTCGTATGATTATTCATCTTGTTCATGTTAAGGCTGGACTCTCCCCATTGTCCTTATTTAGCATAGGACAGTGGAGGTGTTAACAAGAATATAGAAAGAATAGTCTCTATAGCAATATAGTTCAAAATTAAAGGAAAAGAGAGAAATATGGAAAAATGTAATGTGTTCTTAAGGAAAACTTTAGGAATAATCTAATAACCCCTTTACCAACTGAGTAATGTACAGCTAGCAATAACTCTTTGGCATGGCATGCAATGGACACTAAGATGTAAGTATCAGAAGTCTGAATACTCCCCATTTTGTAAGCATGACCCTTTGATCATCTGGATCAAATAAAATAATACATGGGAAGGCATTTTGTGAACTGTAGAGCTGCCTACAAATAGCATTATTCTAATATAGCATTGGCTGTCAAGTGAGCTGACCATTATGGGAATGAGTGTCTGCCAGGGAGATTGTGGCATTAAACAATTTCATTAGAATAAGTGAATAAGTATTGAGTATTTTTATGTACTAAAACTACAGCCTATTTACAGAAACTAATATAAAAATGTTATCAGTTTGTTTTGAGGGGAGGAATCTCATTATTTTTTTTACATTGAGTACAGTGAGAAAGGAAGTCCCAGTGTTAAACAACTCTGTGTCTTCATTATTAATGTAACTACGAGTCTTGCTTCTCATTTCATTGCACAGCCCAGCACCTGGGGTTGAGAAGTACACTGCACAGGGCTGAATCTTTTCTTCTGTTAGTCTTTATTTTCCCCAAGAGTTTATTCCAATGTCAGATTCACTCATGTTCTGCTTGACCAATTTCTGACCCCTCCTTGCAAAATGAATAAATTTAAGCCTGTTTGCTAAAAGTAAGTCATTTTTTGAAAAACAAAAGCAGTGTTATGACCATAGTACTCCCTCTAAGACAAAAAGCTTTGATAAGAGGGGGTTACATGAGCATTTGAGCATTTTGCTTTGGATGTGTAGACAAGAAGACTGCTGCATCTGACAGTTCTGTTCAGTAGTTAAGGAAAACAGACAGACTTGTCTTTATTGGTGGGTGGACTTCTTCACAAATCATCCAGATCATTTTCAAGAGATCAGATGTTGATTAATTCAGTGGCCAGCACCCGCATTGGTATCCTTGCCACAGAGATGTGCACTGTCAATTGAAGGGATCCAGGCTCTGTGGCTTTGCTCTGTGAAGAGTGTGACGGTGCATAAAGTATGAGTATAGACCCTCTGCATCACTCACTCCAGGTTGGTTGTTGTACTTCCAACTCTGTAAAAGAAAGCACACTATTATGCTTCAGACATAGGCCCATAGTGAGTGTAATAGTATCCCGTCACCATATAAAATGTAAGTGAGGAACATTCTAGAACTTTTTCTTCCCATTTAAGCTTTTTATATGGAATTTTGTATCTCCATTGAATGGTCTAATATGTAAATTACACCTACCACACCTTTACTCTTTATATCCAGTTTTCATGAGCTAAAACAATAAATTCCAGTGGAGAGTTTTATAGAGATTTAGAAGCCACCCTTGGGAACAAAATGTAGCTTGCCTTAGTTGTTATACAAGCAGGTGTATCATCAGTTTTAGAGGGAGTCTTTTAGAACTATAGTGTAAAAAAAAAAAACCCTAAATCAAAACAAACATCCATGCAGTCCTAGTTTATAAGTTAACCTTAAAAAGGCAAGGATCAACTTCCTTCCCACTTCAAAAACCAAACCAAATCAGAAAAAAAAAAAAGAAAATGACATCTTCCGGGGGATGTATAGTTTGAAGAGGTTCTTTAAGGACCAGGACCTGAACATAAGATGTTTTTGCTCAAAAATGACTGCCTACTTCTTCAATTTTTATTTCTCAGGTAATGTGAAACCTCTATAGATATAACCATTGATATACTCATTACTCAAGCAAACATTCAGTCATTTAGCAGATGTTGTGTCTCCACATTGTATTAGAAATGCTGCCTTCCGGCCGGGTGCGATAGTTCACACCTATAATCCCAGCACTTTGGGAGGCTGAGGCGGGCGGATCAACTGAGTTCAGGGTTCGAGACCAGTCTGGCCAACATGGTGAAACCTGATCTCTACTAAAAATGTAAGAATTAGCCAGGCTTGGTGGTGTGCACCTGTAATCCCAGCTACCCAGGAGGCTGAGGCAGGAGAATCGCTGGAACCCAGTAGGCAGAGGCTGCAGCAAGCCGAGACCATGCCACTGCACTCCAGCCTGGGCAGCAGAGCAATACTCTGTCAAAAAAAAAAAGAAATGCTGTCTTCCAGGAAGTAGCCCTCTTCGTCTTGCCACAACCAGTGGACCTCCTCTTTTTCTTTTTTGCACCACCATTTTTGTCCTCCACTTTCCATTCCATCTTTTCAACTTTGATGGTACTCTCTAGTCTGGCAGAGGACTCCAGGTTTACTTTGCTCTTTGTCTGTTTTCAGGAAGTCTTAGAAACTTAGGTTAGATTTTGAAAAAGCGCTAGTTTCAAGGTTGAGTGGAGAGAAGTGAGAGGCACTGTTTGTTCCTTTCATTGGTGGCAGAGCAGGAAATTCTGGTAGGTCAGCCCTGGCAGGCCAGTACAGCTGTGCTAACTCTCCCTGCCTCTAGTTCACAATCTGGTTCTTCCCAGATTGGAGGATATGTAGCATTAGAGCTAGGACAACTCTTAAAGACAATCTATTCCATCTTCCTCATTTCTGAGGTATAAAAACTAACCTGTACAGGGAATAAGGAGAATATCCTGCTCTATATTCATGGTCTAAGACTGTTTTTCACTATTCATGTTACCTTCTTTCATACATTTTTTTAAAAAACTGCAAGGAGACCGAGAGAGAGAGAGAGAGAAAGAGAGAGAGAGAGAGAGAGAGAGTGTGTATTGCATGGATAAGGACTAGAAAAATGCAGAAAATTCTTTATAATTAGAAGAGCAGCATACTGTTATTTTCAACTGTATTAAAAGCACTTGTTTCATAGTTATTCGCAATATAAGATTCTCATACCACACATACTCTGAATTCAGTAGGGATTGTTTATGTCTTGTCATCCAGGTTTATAATTTTAAAATTCCTTAGTTTTTTTTTAAAAGAGTTTCCATGAACAACAAACATCTTTTTACAAAATGAATGTAGAATGAACATAACAGTCTCTTGTCCCACATACCCTTCCAGGTTTTTCTGACCCCTTGTGAACATAGAGGCTCATTGAGTACACCCCCACCAACCTGATGGGCCCAGTTCCATCAGCCTGAGGCAGATTCTCACTCAGTGACCTGCGATAGAACACTGAAATCTATAGGAGGGCCTCACCATTGGCAGCAGCATCTCTGGGTAGGCTGGAGCATCCCTTGAGGCGTAATTGGGAATCCCCTCAAGACAAGGAAGTTCTAATTTCAGCCACTCACAGGAGGGCAGCTTTCCATCCTTAATGCCTGAATGTTCTTTGTGAAAAATCTGCAGTCTTCCATCTCTCTAAATGGCTCCATCTTCTGAATTTTTATTATAGTCCCCCTGACCTGGCCCTCTCACATGGCCCAATGTTCATCCTTCTTGATCAAAATGTAGAACCATCCAAAAAGATTGTCCAGTTCCCTTTTGCTAACCTCTCTCACCCTCCCTCCAGCCTATGTCAAACACTGATCAGTTTTCTGTTTATATAATTTTGGCTTTTCCAGAATGTTGTATAAATGGAATTATATATCTATAAGAGGCCTCTTGCCTCTTCACTTTGGATGATGCATTTGAGATTCATCTAGACATTGTGTGGTGAAAAAATGTCAGCCTGAATCAACTTCAGATAATTAGTTTCTGAGACTAAACAGAGGTGACCTAACAGAATTAGTTTTAAAAGAGAGAGATGGGGCAATGAAAGAATACCAGGGAGAAAGACCTAAAAATTATAAGTGTAGGTGATTATTTTGTGATTATTCCAGGGAGAAAGACTTAAAAATTATAAGCATAGATGATTTTATAGTAACTAATTAGATTACAGGGATTATAAATATATGCCTATAGGGAAAAAAATATCTCTTCTACTACTCCTAGTACTAAAAGTCACCTAAAATGCTGGATACAATACACCAAGCACGTGATTTCAGATGCGCAGCTGAACCAAGAAGAAAATAAGTAAAATCTCCAGAAAGGCCAAGAATGAAGAAAGACAGGAAACCAGAAGAATAATCAAATGCTAAAGTTGCAGCTGCCCTGAAGTTGTTCTCTAAAATAGAAACATGAAACCACTTGGGGATCAGGAAACAAGGCCTTCGGCCTGAAGAAGGTAGGGAATAGGAATTGAGATTCTCCACACAGAGTGGGGACCCTCAAAGCACATTAGTGGGCTTCAGTAATGTAATTCAGCCCCAGTAATGGACTCAGAAATAACTGCTTCCAACAAAGAAAGACCACAAGAACAATTGTTGGTGCCAGCCTTCACTATGGATGGGGATGTAAAAGTCTGATATGAGAATTTCTACGTATTCAGGCTTAAATTTACACAGTTTGCATGCTCTTGGAAACCAACAGCAAGAACTTGGAGTACCCATGTATTGGGAGAGCCTCAGGCCTTTTGACAGAAGCAAAAGAAAATCCTTATGGGGAAACACATTCTCAATCCAGGCCTCTCAGGTTTCCCATAGATTAACATTAGACAACCATGGGCTCACAATCCAAAAATTATAAAGCATATGAGGAAAAAGTTATTGCAAGTGAGGATCAGTAGCAAAAGCAACAAAATTGAACTCTCCTGTCACCCAGCATTTTAGGTATTGGGAGTTATCAGACATACAACTATATTTAAAATGTTGTAGTAAAGAAATAAGATCATATAAAAAACTTAAGAGACTATCAAAACTGAATAGGCAAATTTGTCAAAGAATTGAAAAGACCTTATAAAATCAAAATGAACAGGGAAAATAGCATATTAGATGCAATTGATTAAATAATTCATTGAACTGAGCGATGGCTCTGAAGTAATTGCCCAGAATGGAAAACAGGGACAAACAGATGGAAAACATGAAAGAGTAAAGACATGGACAATTTAATGAGATCGCATTGCATCCAAATTACAAAATGAGAGAAGAGATAGAATTGGGGAAAGATAATATTTGAGGGGTAATGGCTGGGATTTTTTCTTGAATTGTTGAAGAACATGAAACCTCAAATTCAGGAAACACAGTGAGTACCAAGCAGGTTAAATAAAAAGAAGACCTAACATTGCAATTGCAGAACTCTGAAGAGGAAGAGAAGAGCACAAAGAGGCAGAAACAACAGAAGCCTATGGAATAATGTCTTCAGAGGGTTAAGGGAAAATGCCTTGAGCCTGCATATAGAATTATTAAATATATACCCAGCCAACCCATTATCCTGTATGAAAACAAAACAGAATTTACCATCAAATGATGCTCATTGAAATAACTGCTATCATTTGTATTTCTGGCACAAAAAAATAATCTGGGAGGGAATGTCTGAAACATGAGAAGAAAGGTGATTAAATAAATTAGTAAACATGGGTAAATAAAATAATAACAGTAACAGTAATAATAATAATGTCTAATATGTGTCCTTAAAAAGCATAGAAAATAGAAATAAAATATTAGACAATAATATGATAGATGAGACTGTGTCATTAGAATTAAAGTATTCCAATATTTTTGTACACGAGAGTAAAAATAAAATTGAACTCTAAATTTTAAGTTAAATAGAGTTAAATATTAAAAAGTTAAGGAGCCATCCACTTGGAGAACTGAGGGTGAAGATGTAAAGTATGGAAATTTATTTTTATATCTTTGATGGTAAAAGATACTAAGCCAACCTACACCAAGAGAGGTCACTGCTAGCTGCAGGTTGGGCAGTTCTGTAGTGTTCTTGGTCATGCATTTGCAAAGTTTCTGAGGGGCAGTGGAGATTATTATCAGGCATACAGCATGACTTCTGTGCAAACAGGTGAACTATAGAAAGTCATTACCATTCTACCAAGCAGCTCCATGAGAGGGGTTAACTAGGACACAGGAGAATCAAATTAAAATCAGGAAAGCATTTTACAAGAGTTTTGACCTAGATGGGTAAACCTAGGGAACTTCCTTTCTGTTGCCTCATTACTGAATTAAAGAATTGGTCTTGCTTTTCAGGAGGTTCATTTCACGTCCTGTTACTGCCATCTTCATACTCCAAAGCACTGAAGATTTCAAGTGTAGTATAAAGTGTGGTACATTGAAGTAGACTTCAGTTATTTTTACATTATTTTTTACATCATTTCTGTATGCTTTATTCAAAAAATGTTTTCATTTTTAAATAACCCTATTGAGTGCTTTTTAACTAACATAACTCAAATGAATAGGTCAGGTCATGTGAAGTCACACACAGGACATTCTAGTCAGTATGACCTTAAATGAATGTTAAAGGAAATTTAAAAGTATGGTCTTACCCAGTAGTGAGAATATGTGAAGCAACTTACAATACTGCTCTTGTGAGAAAGAAGGCATCCAGGTTCTGAATAATGGTACACTGCCATTTATCCAAGCCTGTTGATGACTGGTTATGTTTTGTAAAATGAAGTTTCTTGGAGAGGCTAGTTGTTGTATTAAATATTACTGTCATCATGTTGCTGGTTTTGGGAGAGCTCTAGTGTTCGTTGTCCAAGCATTAAAGTGGAATGAAATATGAAGATGCAGTAAAGTTCGTAAGACAAAAGTGAAATGGAAATGTTAGAAGCAAGCAGTTTTTCTCTTTGGAGCAGTATTGTCCTACAATGCAGCTGCACTTCCTAGACACCAGCAGTCAGAGAAACAACTCTTGCAGTAAATAAAACCGGGCTACCTGATGCAATTGCTTTGGAAATGGAACTTTTAAGACAGGACCCAGTTTATCAAACATATTAGCCAATGTGTAGGCTTAGCGAATGATAAGTCTAATGAAGCTTCTGCAGGAGTATTGGTGAGCATTTTTACCAGGCCTCAAGAGCTTGACAGAATTGAAACCTCTGTATTTGGATTATGATCAGCTTGTTTGAACACTCAGCAAAAGATGCTTGTTTGTCCAGGCGCAGTGGCTCACGCCTGTAATCCCAGTACTTTAGGAGGCTGAAGCGGGCGGATCACTTGAGGTCAGGAGTTCAAGACCAACCTGGCCAACATGGTGAAACCCTGTCTCTACTAAAAATACAAAAATTAGCCAGGCATGGTGGCGCAAGCCTGTACTCTCAGCCACTCTCAGGCTGAGGCGTGAGAATCGCTTGAACCTGGGAGACAGAGGTTGCAGTGAGCCAAGGTCATACCACTGCACTCCAGCCTGGGCAGCAGAGTGAGACTCTGTCTCAAAAAAGAAAAAAGAGAAGCTTGTTGTTCAACACTTAAAGCATGTTTACCATTCGTTTGAGTTGACCTTTCCTGAAATCATGCAGTATTGAGTTATGTGTTCTTGAAGTCTATTCACATTCTTGAATCTTATCAATATATAAGGAATATAGAGATATTGGGTGCCAAAATACCCAGCATAATACTTGTATGTTTTTAATGTCCTACAGAATTTAAAACCTAAGAACTGTGAACAGTCTATGCCTTCTGTGATTTATTCCTTCAGTCATTTCAAACATTAATAGTGGTGCCTGTATGGCTATTTGCCTGCCACTATATGTTTATAACTGCCACATTTAAAACAGTGTACGTCAGATTTGTGTACCCATTGATTTTGTTGGCTTTCATCCAAGTTTAATGATGATTTCTTAATGTCTTTTTATAAATCTCATTTCGTGCTATTATGAAAACCTCCATTTTGAAAATCACAAACCTCTGGTTGAAAAGTTCATGCAAAGTCCACATTGCACAGAAGCACATATTTTTAATGTCTGTCTCCAGACCAAAAAAGTCTTAAAGTTAATTTAATGTCTGCATTTGAGGTGCAACTTAAAAGAGAAGATCTGAAGGAGGAGTGGGAGAGCTATAAAGTAGTTTTAGCAAAATGTGTTTGTGTTGTTTAGGACATATGCTCTTTAGTAAATATTTTTTAAGGTAGACATGCCTTATGATGGTAGCTGAAATAATTGTTAATAATAAAATTTTTGAAAATCTTGTAATTTTTTCCCATATCTATTGGAAGTTGTTTACCAGCTGTTATTGTTTGAAATGTGATTGTTGTCTATCTCTTCCCAACCTCTCTTGCAAAAAGAGAAGTTAACTTCTGGTAGTGAATTGAGCAGAAATGTAATATTTTTTAAGCCTGTTGCTCTGTGTAACTTAATATTTGCATACTTAATTGTTTTATTATACAATCAGTGAAATGGTAATGTATATTGATGTCCATTCAACCATATACTTACACTGTCTGGACTGTGTGTTTCCAGTTTTGTGGGACAAATAATTTGTCAGCGTTCACCAGCTTCCAAAAACTTGTGAAAGCTTAAACACCTAAATTGATGATGAATGCAAAAAAGAAGACGAAAAATTAAGAGGAATTACCAATTACATGGAAATAGAATGCATAACTTCTAGAAGTTATACTTCTAAAATAGTTCTATCTAAAATAAACCCAATCCAAAAGAAGACAGGTAAAGAGAAAAAAGGTAAAGGCGGACAAAATAGGATGCAGAATTAATCTGGTAGCAGTAATTCCAAATATATCAATAATCACAAAATGTAAATGGACTAAACTTTCTCCTTGAGAGATGAGGATTATTTAATTGGATAAAAATTAAACTTAGCTGAATAATATTTATGAAAGAGACACCCTAATATTACATGTATGAAACATTAAAAATAAGCAGGTAACAAAAGGTATGGCAGGCAAATACTAAACAAAAGAAGCTGAGGTCATTATATTGTATTAATGTGAGAATAAAATGAACTTTAGCCTAGAAAGCTTTATGAAAGATAAAGAGTGTCATGACATAAGGATTAAAGACTGAATTTACCAAGAAGAGATAATAGTGCTAGACTGCTATGCATTTAATTACCCAGCCTTATAATATAAAACAAAAATTGATGGAATTCCAAGGAAAGATTGAAAAAAGTCTCCCATCACAATGGGAGATTGAGAACCACCACCACCATTCTAACAATCTGATAATGTACACGTATGACTTCAGATAAAACTTCCAATTAAGATATCATACATGGATTCCCAAAAGTATCATGTCTTAACAACTTAGGTAGACCGAAAAAAGAGGTTCTAGTGATGACAAAGGCTCTGATGTTGAAAATGCATGTAGAGACTTAAAATGAAATTTCTAAACTAAAATTTTATATAACAAATATGTATTAACTAAATATCACAAATGAAAATATGATTATTGGCATATTAAAGTGTAGTCAATTTAGTGGGGAATGGGACTATCTTATATTGATGAATTCCTTATATGAGGCATATACTGTATTTAAATATAGTCAACAATTTACTGCAGAAACAGAGATACAACTATAAGTGTTTATAATTCTTCGAGATAATGAAACCATGCTTCAGATGTGATTCATGGCTTCTTGGAACTGGAGGGACTGCAGACATAATGTGGTTCATCACTATTTTTCAATAGATGAGAAAACCAAGATCAAAAATAGTATGTCTTGCTTTGTATTTCATGTTTTTTATACTCTTGACTTCTGAGTTAAGTACTTGTGCACCAACTATCGCAATCACCTTTCTCTTCTTGTATTTACATGCAATGTAACAACATACAGTTTGGGCGATTAATAATATTCCTTTTTTTCTTTTAATAATAGTTATTTGTCTGAATTTAGGAAAATGATAGCAGTATTAAGCCTGAAACTCAGATCTAGTCCTAATCTGGTTGTTCTATTTTATCAAAACTATATAAAATTGATATGAACATACTGTTCACCATAATTAACTATGAACTGTACATTCAATATAACTTTTAACCATGAAGCCTATCTCAAACTTTGCGTTTGATTTTTTAAAAATATGAATGAAAAGTTGTACTAGTGATAAAGTCTTGGGAAGAGGAAGGAATAATATGAATGGCCCTGTGCCCTCTTAAAGGGGAAAAAACTGTGAAGAATTTTGAGAATGCTTTCGTTCCCTGTGGACAAATTTCTCTCTTCCAGGGAGAGACAGTTAAAACCAATCCATTGATCCATTTTTTTCGTGAACAGCCATTGCAGCAGCCACACATTGAACCCATTTGTGAGGCCTTCACATAACAAGATGTAGAGAGAAAGTCTCTTAGTTTGGATCTTTGTGTAATATTTTTCTTTGCTTTTCCCCTTTTTCCTTCTCTACCCAAATCCATTACCTCATCTTCTCTTCATACCCCCATCCCCAACAATTTGAAATAAATACTAAAGAATTGGTTGAGGAGGGGAAGGAGGAGATTGTTGGTCATTGAGGAAATATGTTTGTTGGCTAATTGTGTCTTGAGTAGCTTCAAGGATTTTTAAAGAAATACCTACTGGAAGGTGCAGCTCTCCCTCACCCACTTCTGGCTGCCTCTGAGAGTCACTGTATATATTGCACCGGGTTTCAGAAACTGGAGAATCCATTGGGAAATGCCTTTAAAATAACCTGTGAGAGAAAGAGAGCATGGCATATGCAAACCACTTTAGAGTCAAGAAGTTCTGGATGGATTGGAATCTCCTCTCAACTTGCTACCCAAGTGATCCACTGCCATCTCTGACTCCTACTTGGCTTCCACCACTACAAAATAGCAATTGTTACCTTCTCAGACTATAATAAATACGAGTGTTAAAAGTGCCTAGGAAAGTGCCTGACGCATGTTCAACTATCCAGAAATGCTAGCCATTATTAGGAATACTTTTATTATCATTATTATATTAATTATCCAGGCTTGATTGCTCTGAGTAGAGAAATAGAGGTTCCATGAAAAGCAAGGCTGAGCTGGACTGAGAAGTGCTGCTACCCATTTGAAAGCTTATACCACATGAAAGACTTTATTATTACGCCTTTTTCTGTAATCTTGAGACACATATTTTCTATCTACTGTTGTTTTAAAGGTCATCTTGAATTGATTCAGCCCCGTATCATCTAAGCACATCCCCTTTGCTAACCTGTTTATTAATATTATGATAGTTGATATTTGACAGGGCACTGTTTCAGTAATGTTAATTCATATTCAATGCAAGAAAATATAAATTCTTAGAGGAAAAGAAACTTTAGTAACTGGAGAATTTAATAGCAGTTTTATTTTAATTCTTTAGTATTTGTTATTAATTTTCTATAAATATATCCAGATGTGGGTATAGTACATAGATTCTATTAACAAATTCTAATAATTATTTGATATGTTGTCTTCTGAAATTTTCTACCTCTGGACCTAGTTTTATCTTTTCGGAAAGTATCAATCCTTTGCCTATAGTAGAAATATTTTAAATCAATTATACTGTTATACCTAGAGTAAAAGTAAGTTTGAAGTAACAAATACTCTGAGAACCAACATGCATTTTGCTTCTGTTTATTTCAGCAGGTAATTTGTTTTTCTAGCCAGGAATAAATTGAAATCCAGAAAAATTAGGTAAGCTTTATGTCTTATTTAGTGGATTTTCTTGTTTGGTCTGACCTCTCTTTTTTGCTCATGTTTTTAGGCTCAGCTATGTGAACCATGCAGAGGACCTGGCCTCCAAGCTCCTACAATGTTCCCCAAAGAACAGACTGTCGGCACAGGCTGCCTTGAGCCACGAGTATTTTAGTGACCTGCCGCCACGGCTATGGGAACTCACCGACAGTGAGTATGACAAATCCACAACATCCAGTCCAAGCAGACACATCATTTTATTTTGGCATCTGTATGTAACGTGTATGCAGAGATTCACATATTTGTGTGTCCACAAACATAAGATAATGTATGTTTGTATGTGCATTACAGGTGTGTGTGTGTGTGTGTGTGTGTATGTGTGGAGAGAGAGAGAGAGAGAGAGAGAACAGGGGAAGGGGGGCCATGTGTATATATATTTAGTGGAATCCTGCCATTCATTTGCTAGCTTACCAGACACAGGAAGAAAATGGATTCCTTTTTTGCTATCTCTGCTCTGCAGTCTGCAGCTGTGCATCTTTGTATTTGATTATGTGTGTGTCCAAAAAAATGATCTGAACAGTCATAAAGGAAAAGGAAAATATGATTTACATATTTAGTGCTTTATGCATACAGTACTTTTTAACTGGCTGCAGTACACAGAGGAGCCGATGATTCATTTCTGTTTGATTCTCAGAGACCATCTTGGTTGTAACAATAACCTTAAAAAGGGCTGCTATGCAGCGAGCTGAGGAGCAGAGTTGGCAATTGGCTAATGCACTGAATTGACATGTACAGACTGAAGACATGTAATTCATTTTAACTGCAAATGCTCTTGGTATTTGTACAGACAGCTCTTCTCTGAATCTTTTAAAACACATTCCTGGGTGGGTTTTGTTTTGTTTTTATAAAAGTCTACATATTTATACAGCCTTTTAAAATTACATTTTAAATATTTGGGGGAGGATTTATGGCTGGGAGGATCTCAGATTTCTTCCAGAGTGTGAAACAGAATTCTTGTGAAATTTTGTAAAAACTATTGCCGTCAGAATATTTTTGTTCAATGGTGATATGTTCTTTCCAAAGAACAATTAGAGATATTTCTTCTATACTCTTTTCTGATTGCCTTAAAAATGAACATACTGCATATATACATTAATATTTATAATGTGTTTATTAATCCTTGGTATACATCACTTACAGTAGACATATGATTATTTCTTCATTATCTTGGATTTTAGACTTCTTTCATCCATCATAATATTGGATTCTCCTTGATGGCAATAACCCTTTATTTTGGAACTAAGTTCTAAGTGCAACTCCTCTTGGGTATTTCTATCCTAAATCTTTTTTTGATATCCCACATTTATTTCTCATTACTTTTTTTTAACCCTAAAGTCACTATAGATATATTAATCTACTACTCCCCTTAATGCTTAGCAAATCCTCCTTAACATTTCACGTATTTCCAGCCCATGTTTACTCAACACTCTGCCCTTTCTAAAGTCTACTCACTGACTATTACAACAGCTATCCTCAATTTTTTTTAAATTAAAAATTAAATCCCTATGGGAAAATAATTTTCCTATACTGAAAACAAAAATGCTGTAAATAGGCTCACTAGTTTACGGCTCATCACACTCAAACATATGGTTTGTTTTCCCATTTAGTGTAACTTGTAACTTGGTATCACTCCTCCTTGGTGACATCTCAATCCCATCTGACTTGAAGATTGAGTTTAAGCCAGGATTTTGATGGTCTATGAATTCTGAATTCTGTAGTAGTACTTTTCTGTTAATATGGACTTATTACCCACTTGCCACTTAGTTTATCAGCCAGTGGTTAAATCCAGTTTCTATCAGTGAGTAAATGCCTACACATTATCACTCGGCAGCAGACTGCCAAGGGAGACAGCCTTGTCCCCGTCATTAACAAGCACAAAGTATGCAGAACACCAGAGGGGAATTAAAACCACAAAAAATACCTCAGGGTGGTATTTTTAATATGAGAATTTAATTTGTAATTTTACAGATTAAGAATTTTGGCTGCATTAATCCCTTTATCAGCTCACAGCAGGCTATTTGCAGAAGCATAACCGTAAGGCGATATTCATTGGCAGAAACACGTCTTTGCATAACGTTAAACATCAGGAGCAGTGAAACCTTTTGAAGGGGGGAGAATAAAGATGAAAAATCATTATATTTTTAAACCAAGATTCTACTAAATGCCTCCGGTAACAATTTTGAGTTACAGAAATGCTATTTCTGTGTCTAGAAGATAATCATTATGAGGCATAAATCCAGTTGCAAGAAAGGACAATCCCAGTATTAAATACTATAGTCATTTCCATTTAGAACAACGTGGCTGTACTTGTAAACATGTTTACAAAACAAAGAATTCCCAGACTTTGGAGACTTAGGGAATTGGTTTCTTTAAGTGAAATGACTGGTTTGGGTGACTTATTATCTAGGTTAGTATTCTGCAGAGTATATTTAGAAGTTTTTTAAATTTTTATAATTAAATTTCATATTAGCATAGAGTCTTGTAAAAGTTCACCATCTGGCAAAGGCAGCAGTGGCAGTGGCAGCAGTAGCAGCAGCACCTGTAATACCCTTACGTATTTCTTTTTTAAGGAGATTTGGAAGGAGATCCACCTGGAAAGAAGTGTTACAGAACCAGTAAATGGATTGTCTTAGCAACCAAGCTGTAGTTTAGGAACCTCGCTGTCTTAGTTTGGTCACACTGCAATAACAAAATACCTTAGACTGGGTGGCTTAAACAGCAGACATTTATTTCTCTTGGGGATGGGAGGTCCAAGATAAAGGTGCCAGCAGATTCGGTTCCTGGTAAGGTCTTTCTTCTCAGTTTGTGAAGGGCACCTTGCTGTGTCTTCACAGGGTGGAGAGAGCAATCTCTTCCTCTTCTCACAAAGCCATTAATCTCATCATGAGGGCCCCTCCCTTATGAGTTCATCTAACCCTAATTACCCTCCTAAGGCCCCATCTCCAAATGCCATCACATTAGGGGTTAGGGCTTCAACAGATGAATTTGAGGACGGACACAATTCAATCCATAGCACTCTCATTCTTAAAGATGGCTCATAGCACTTTCTAAAGAATTTCCACAAGAGGAAAACACTTATGCAAGCAGGAAGCAAAGTCAGGTTAAAAGGAGAAGATGGGAACAAAAATAAGTTACAAGTAGATTTGAGCCTTCTTGGCCTAGTGTAATATGTCAGACCCCATGAGAAGGGCATCAAGTGTGGTTGGAGCCTGAGTAACACAGAGCCCTGCAGTCATTTCATAGATTCGTACAAAAGTGAAATTACGGGCTTATGTCAGACTCTGGCTTTGGAAGAATACATAGTAATGTAATATCTTTCTTTAGTATACTATTCCTTAAAACCTCATCAGGTTACATAGTACCAAAATTTAGAGGTAATGTATTAGTGTGGCACTGAAGCAGGAATTATAAAAGCAGAAAGCAAGAATAATGGTACAGTTATCTGGGGATCTGGCTGTTAAAGCTGGCTAATTCTGGTGGCACCCTGTCATTCTCCCTCTGTCCTGAAACCCCAACAGCTTTGTCCCACTTCTTCTCAAAGATTTAATTGCAGGGAAGTAAATGGAGGGCTGATTTAGAAGAAATTCATTACTTTTCCCAAATACACCACAGGGCATTCTCCTGCATATACTATCAAGTTACATAAATAATTGAAGCTGAACTACCCTTGTCAAAGTAAATGAACAAAATACACTTCATAGCACAGAGTCCTTGATTTTATTACACTCATTTGCTAATTCACAAAACTCAAATTCAGTGAAAGAAGGCCAACAAATCGGTACAGTGTGAAGAGCACTGAACTGGGAATCAGACCACCTGGATTGCAGCTTCAGCTCCACTGTTAACTAGCCAGGGAACTTTGGACAAGTGCCTTGGTCTCTCTGAGCTTCCCATTTCTCACTTAAGGAGCAAGTGAGGTGGGCACAGTAGTCTCCAGGGACCTTTCTAGCTCTAGAGTTTGTCGATTTTCCCACATATTCCTGTATATGTTCTGTATATCATCCTAGAACAGCATAATGCTCTTAATGTAGCTCTATGCTGTCTTTTTAAAAATAAAACAGGTGCACCCATTTCAGATTTAAGATTTGCTACCTTCAGTTCGTAGACTTTCATGCTGTTTTGAATCCTTTACAACCAGGCTTTTGTGTCCACAACGCCTGGCTTTCGAAGTCTCTATCCATTGGTCTTTTCCCAGCCTATCGAAGATTCAACACAATTGACAACCATCTCCTCCTACTAATACTTCTTTCGCTTGGTTTCCAGGACAGTATTCTCTCATTGCTTTCCTTTAGTTTAGAAAACTAAAGTCTCCTGTTCACACTCCTTTGCTGATTTCTCCTCATCTGCCAGACCTTTCACATTAGAGTGTCCTGGGGCTGAATCCTCAGATCTGTCTATCTGCATGGACTCCCTGGAGCCTAGATGATCTCATCCCATCTCATGATTTAAATATCATCTATACACTGGCAGTTTTCAAATATCCATCTCCAGTCCTGTCTTCCCTGACTTGACTTGCATATCCAACTGACACTCAACATTTCCATTTGACCATCTAGTAGGCCTCTCACACTTAATCTTACCAAAACTGAACTCATCTTTCCCCTCAAACTTGCGCCTTCTCTAGTCTTACCGTTGTCAATAAATAGCAGCATCATTCTTCCAGTTGATGGAAGGTATCCCTAATCATCTTTTTTTGGTTCTACTCCACATTCAGTTCTTCCACAGACCGTATTGTTGCTACCTTCACAGTATATCCAGGATCACGCACGCCACTCCTCACTTCACTGCTATCACGCTGCCCTCAGTCACTCACCATCTTTCACCCACATTTTTACAGTTGCCTCCTACCTGGTTTGCCTGCTTCTCTTCTTGCCTCCTTAAAGTCAGCTCTCACTGTTTCTTCTTCTTATATTTTGTGCTTGCTCTCCCTCTAGACATACGCATGGTTTGCCCTCTTACCTCATTTGATTCTCTCCACCAATGTCCCTTCTCAGGAGAGACTTCACTGACCTCCTTCCACCCTAAAACCTCCAGTTTCTCTTCTCTGCTTTATTTTTCTTCATAACATTTACCACTATTTAATATATTATATCTGTTTGGTTGCTTATTGCCTGTCTCCCCCAAATGGACTCTATAACAACAGGGATTTCCTTTCATTCTGATTTATTTAGTACAGGATTCTGAAATTCCCAGAACAGTGTGAGGCTCAATAAATATTTTTCCAATGAATGAGAGAATGGCACAAAGGAAGGGCAAAATATGTTGTTTCCCAATCTAAGTTCATTGTTCTAGATCAGAGAAATGTGGGAGATAGTCTGAGCTGTGGTTCTGAGGGAAAGACAGACCATCCTATCATATGTTTGCAAATGTGTGTGTGCCTGCGACCACCTGGCATTTCAAAGATCAAAACATACCATGATGTTCAGTGTGCTGGGCATCCAAACTTGCATCTCAGTCTCCATTTTTTTAAAAAAAAAACATGATTATAAATATCTATAACTATATAAATGAAAACTTCATATTCTGTCCACAGTGTCTTCTATTTTTACTGTCCCAAATGTGAGATTGCAACCAGAAGCTGGAGAAAGCATGCGGGCCTTTGGGAAAAACAATAGTTATGGCAAAAGTCTATCAAACAGCAAGCACTGACAAGCAGCACATTCTCAAGAGCACACAGGTAAGAGGACCTGCTTTACCTGGAAAGTAATATTTAATGGATATTGAACGGATTCTTTAAGTGAAATATTTCAGACTCGTTTTTTCACCAACTATCCTATGAGTCTCTTGTGTGCATTATGGCATTCATCAGACCTATTGAGATAGAATGCACTCAGTCATTTCCATATTTTCAGGCACCTACTAGATTCTAACTAAAATTATACTTATGCTTTTATTTATGTAGTCATAGGCAAACCATTTTAGTTATAAGCAAGTCATCTTAACTACTCACATTCCTCATGGAGATTAGAAAAAGGTTCACTTTGGGCTGTATCTAAGCCACAGACCTACTTTGTTTTGCCCATGCAATTTTTCTAATTAGTTGTTCTCATTTTAAAATGGGGAGATTACACACAAAATCTAGATTTCTGGTTTTCCTTGAAAAATAAGCAACTCTAGCAATATTGCCTTCACATTCCTACCAGAAGTGTTTGCGTGTAACTGAATCATTGCTGCCTCCTTTGGAGGGGATGTAGACTCCCCAGTTTAGTTTAGCTCCCATCTGGGCCACTTCACCTATTTCTGATTCCTGTCTGGCTCCTGGTACGGACCTTATCATGATGAAGCTTTTCTCTTTCACTATCAAATTCTTTGTCCTCTACTATTGTGCAGATAGGAAGCATAATCTAAACTTGGCAACCTCTAGCCATGTCAGCCTGGCCCAGTCATCACATCACGTGTGCTACGTAGTGACCAGCCTGGGATGGCAACTTCTGAAAAGGCCATCTTTCTTGATTGCCAGATGGAAATGCCTAGTATTTTTGGAAAATTTTTAGTGTGTGTGTGTATATATATATACATACATACATATATATACATATACATTCTTAATGTAACACAAGTCTCTGAAACAAATAGAGAACAAATGTTACTGTGGAGAAGGCTTTTTATGTGCTGATTTGTAGAGAAAAGTGTGTCTTTGTTCTGATATTCAGTAATTAAGTGTTCAGGCCAGACATGGTGGCACATACCTGTAATCCCAGCACTTTGGGAGGCCGAGGCAGGCAGATTGCTTGAGCTCAGGAGTTCGAGAACAGCCTGGACAACATGGTGAAAGCGTATCTCTACAAAAAATACAAAAATTACCTGGGCGTGGTGGTGGCATGTGCCTATAGTCCCAGCTACTTGGGAGGCTGAGGTGGGAGGATGGCTTGAGCCTGGGAGGCTGAGGTTGCAGTGAGCTGAGATTGCACCACTGCACTCCAGCCTGAGTGACAGAGCCAGACCCTGTCTCAAAAAGTAAATAAATAAAATAAAAAGTGTTCAAGTAACTCAAAGGATATATGCAGCATTGCAGTAGTTCCTCTTCCTTCCTCCCTCTCTTAGTTTGAAATATGTTAACAGGCTAAATTGATAGCATGGTAAAGAGAGCAAATTTTAAACTGTACACATTGTCTTGTGGGTAATCTGCCAGTATCTTGAGCTACTTCTGGACTTAGCTTTTGAATACCCTCAACATAGGGGTCAATTTTGGCCTATCAGGGGCATGGTGGAAAGTTATGAATGATTTGGAGATAAAAGATCTCCAGATAAAGTATGATGTATAAATGACAGTCAGAAGATGTTACTGTTAAACTTGCCACTCCATAGGTAAGAGTCTTCATTCTTCATGTTATTTCTCCCTGTTGAATAAAAAGCACAACTCTCGGTTGCATTTGTACTCCCACTCTGAATTTCAATTGGTCAGACAAAGAGTGGGGCTAGGTTTTTGACAAGCTACCTCCTGGTATTGAGAATGGTTTTAATTCATGAGGGTTACAGCATATGCTTTTTTAAAGTATTTAACCTGCATTATCATAATGAGGGCCCTGGCTTTATAAATCCCTTCACCAATTCAGTGGAACAAAACAAAAAGTGGACTTTATTTGTGCTGCTACCTCATACACACATGCACACAAGCAAGCCTGAATTTCAATTGCAAGGCTGTGTTCCTCTTCTTGGCTCTTTTGAGATCCCCTGACCTGAGCCCAGCCAGTCAAAGCTGCTAGAACGTGTTTCAGCTCAGCTCCTCTTTGGGAAATCAAATCAAGCTCACAGGACAGAAGGGTTGCTCAGAAAGTCTCAAAGGTTGCTAATTGAAAAGAGATTTTTTTAAAAGGTGCTCAGAACTACAGTCATCAGTATATAAAAGCCTTTACAAAAATGTAAAAATGTATTTTCTTCACATATATTTTTTAAACTAGATGTCAGGTTATAACACAGTAGAAGCTTTTCCTCTAGAATTATTTGATAGCAATACAAATATTTTTTCTATGACGTTTGCCTTTTTCACATCAACTTGTAAAGCTTTTTTTTTTTTTTTGAGATGGAGTTTCACTCTTTTGCCCAGGCTAGAGTGAAGTGGCATAATCTTGGCTCTCTGCAACCTCTGCCCCCGCCTGGGTTCAAGCAATTCTCCTGCCTCAGCCTCCCAAGTAGCTGGGATTACAGGCACATACCACCACGCCTGGCTAGTTTTTGTATTTTTAGTAGAGACGGGGTTTTGCCATGTTGGCCAGGCTGGTCTCGAACTCCTGACCTCAGTTGATCCACCCACCTTGGCCTCCCAAAGTGCTAGGATTACAGGCGTGAGTCACCGCGCCTGGCCCAATAAAGCTTTAATATTATTGTTGGTGTAGTTTTCTTCCCATCCAAATGCCTCAGCATGATTCAATATAATGCTGAGGAAACAACCCAATTTCTCAGAAAAGCTACAGGGAAGATGGATTCTAAGAGTTTTCTGTCAGTCAGCAGAAAAAGAAATTATTTTAATGTCTCACCTTTGTGGAGTTTTTAAATAAATGGGACCATCTTCGAGATCAAATAATATAGCCTATTTATTGGCCTATTATATCTTGTGGAATGGCCTTTCTCTGACCAATACTGAATATCATATAGACATTATAGAGCAAAATGTCTATGTAGATAAGGTATCCTTAGAGAAAAATCTGTAATTTCTTAGACTTTGATTTTGCGTTGCTGTTGAATTCATTGACTGTTTAGAGAAGGCTTTGGCATATTAAATTTCCTCAAATGTCCCAATTCTTTGTAATGCCTAGAGAGATTGGGAAGGAGAGGGAGGCCAAGGGGGTTGGGGGCTGAAGGAGACTAAAACTGGGCCGGCCGGCATTTTAACCATCTCTCTTTGGGGAGTTACAAGGAGGTAAATGTGGAAAATGCATTATATTACTTCTGTCTTTGAAATGGTAGAGGACTGAGTAGACAAGAATGTTTCAAGTCCTAATTTTTCTTCCAAACCTCAATGCCAAATTATTTCTTTCCTTGCATACCAAGGTCACTTCAATTATTTAGTTAATAATGCCAGATTTGCATAAATTGGTCTTAGTGGAAAATCTAATGAGATGCATTTGGCTTTGCAGCAGAAAGCAATTTTGGTTTCAGAGTCTTGTAACCAAATTAAATAAGAAGAAAACCATAAATACCTAAGTTAAAAATGGGATAGGTGCCACTGGATTATCAAAATACTGTGCTTCTTACATTTTGTTATCTTCTAAAGATATTAGTAAAGATTTCATAGATTCTTCTAACTCATTTTATCAGCACTGATGGGTAAGACCCTTCTAAAGTCTGAGAGAGCCTTAAATATACATAGAAATTTTCCCCAAGGAAAAGACTGGAAGCTGTATTGAATACCACATCCATTAGTATGACTTATTTTTGCATGCAGTGATACCAAACACATCCCTCTGGTGAGCTTAATTTTCCACTTACTCTAAACTGGCATAGAAAGTGCATGGTCACTCTACTTCTCCTTTAGCTAAATATAAGGGATAAGAAAGGTCTCTATTCTTTTAGATATGTTTTGTAATTTTTCTGAAATAGTATGTGCTCATTATGGAATATCTCTTTTCAATGAATCAGTTGGTTCACAGACCCCATTCCTAATAAATTTACAAATGTTTGTCTAGTGCATGAAAGAATTTTATTTGGTTCAATTGCAAGAAGTTAACTGCATGCATGTTTTGGTGACCCTCTCCTTACCTTTTAGCCTCTTATTTCTGCAAATCCACATTATGTAGGAATTACATGATAATGAAAAAAAAATGTGTCGGACTCTCTACTTGGTCATTAAGCAGTAATTTCCTGTAAGTAGGCTGTTAGGTAAACAGAGTAGAATGCTCAATGAAATTTAATTAAATGAGATAAAGATTTTTTTAGAAACCTGCTTTTAGACAGAACACAATGCACTGGTGCTTAAGACTGTGGCAGCACTGTCTGAACGTTAGTAGAATGGTGGTTCTTACTCGGTAGGCCACCTAGAGCTGTTTGCCATCTCAACCGCCATCTCAACTCTGGAAACTGCTCCTAAAGAACAGCCACCTATTGCTCTCCTCCATGCTGTGACATTATGGCGGCTCACTTTTTCTGTCTTTGCATCAACTAACACAGCTTTCATGTTCCCTTCACTTCAGGGCTTCTGCTGACTTGTTTCTGCTTATTCATGGATTCTGCTTATTATCATTTCTCTTTGTCCCTCTACTTCTGGGGCAGTCTATTGCTGACCTCTTTTTGCCTCAGATTCAAACCCTCCCAGAGAGTGGCTCTGATTGATGTAGCCATCATCATGAAGCAGAGAGCAAAGCTGTTGTGTCAGTCACCCCTGTAGAAACTGCTGACTGACGGTAGGCTGCCTTGAGGTCAGGCTCTGAGCCCTGATCCAGTCAGCTGGGCCCAGAACTGGTTGGCCAACCTGTTTTTAAGGAAGCATTTGGAAGAGACTGCTGGGCTTAGCCCTTCAGAAACTTGGAGAAGGTTTTGGAAAGCAAGCAGTATAGCTGGAAAGTGCCTTGCCTGGCCTGTATACTACTGAGTGAAAAATCAGGCAAGTACAGAGAGAAACTCCAGTTCTGATGGTGTGATATCTTCATTGTATGATATTTTTAACTATTGACTAAAGGTCCTTTTAAGGTGTGTTGCATTTTCTCAACTATAGACACAAACGGAGATAATATCCATCAGCACTTTTCAATATATAAGAAACACAAGTGTTAGATCTAGGTTTCTTTCAGTACTAGGAAGATTTCTGGGGTTTTTCCTGCAAAAACTGCCATTTTCTGCATTATCCTACAATTTTTTTTTCCTATTAAACATCTGCAGTTTTATTATTTCTGTTATCTCATGTAATTGACAACAATTGTTGAAATGACGCTTAGAGGGGAAACAAACCTTAGTGTTCTTTGCAGGTTTCATCTGGAAGATTCCCTAGTTGTTACCATTACCCCCACATGACTGCCAATTAAAAAATATATCTTATTTGGGAAATTGACAGCACTTTGAACCTCAAATGCATGATGCATATTATGAATATCCAAATGAGAAGAGGCCGGAATGCTATTAGTTTCCCCACCTCACCTCACCCCACCTCCACCCCACCTTACCTTAGCTTCCTGTCTACCCTGGGGAGTCTGTTCTATCCTTTAAACGCTAATGCAAGTTTGTTTCTTCTCTCCTCCTTGTCCCTTCTCTGCCTCTCCACCCCTTCTTTTCTTTGGGTCAACTCTGATCTGTACTGTGCACCACTACCACCCTAACCGCATGCAAGTGTAGGCAGAGGACTCGCAGGCTCTCACCACCTACTGGGATTGTCACAAAGCAGAATGAAAATAAAGTTGTATCATGCTTCCTTCAGAATGCATTCTTAAAGCATTTTTGTTTTGTTTTGTTTTTTATTTTGTTATTTGTTTTTTTTAAGAGACAGGGTCTCGCTCTGTTGCTCAGGCTGAACTTCGTGTGTTCAAGCGATCCTCCCACCTCAGCTTCCCGAGTAGCTAGGACTACAGGTGCGCACCACCACACCTGGATCATTTTTAAATTTTTTTGTAAAGATGGAGTCTCGCTATGTTGTCTCAGCTGGTCTCAAACTCCTGGCCTTAAGCGATCATCCTGCTTTCGCCTCACAAAGTGTTGGGATTACAGGCATGAGCAACTATGCCCAGCCTTCAAGCATTTTTTTTTATATTGACATAATTTCATGTCTACAGAAAAGATGCAAGAATAGCACAAGAATTCCTGATACCCTTCACCCACTGTCCCCAAAGTGTTAACATTTTACTACATTAGCTACATTTGCTTTATCATATTAATTCTCTCCGCCATCACATACAAATTTGTGCACACATACATTGTTTCACTAAACCATGTATGTTACTCAAATGAAGCTCCATTATCTTTAAATATTTAACTGTGTTTTTCTTAAAAACAAATAATTTAGAGTGATTTTTTAAAATAAAAATAATAAATTTTTGCCCTTTCTTTCCTTTTTTTTTTCTCTGATTAAGGTTTTAAAAAGCAAAGTGGCTGAAAGAGAGGAAACTGGTTGATGCTTCACAAATTGGTTCATCAGCCTTTGGATCCTTAAAATTGACTATATTTTTGTGAATCAGCATTTCCAGGTCAAATGAGCTTTCAAAATGGTGAGGGGCGGGGGGAATAGCACTTGCATCTTCTGACTTCTTAAAACCCAAATTAATTTCTTAGGGACTATTTAGCCAGCAGCATAATATGAGTGAAGCTTTCTTATAAATAGTGGGCCCAAGCTGTGATGTGGCTAGTAACCACAATATTTATTACAAGGAAGTTAGCAGTCACATATAGAAAGTAGTTAGAATCAGTTCAGGTGCTGTATTTTTCCTTTTCATTTAATGTTGATTCTTATGAATTTGGGATACAGAAGGAATTGTCTATGCCCTAAGTGCACTGTATTGTATTATTAATACCAGTATAGCAGCTGAGTCCCACTAGACAGTCTTTGTGGTCTGCTGATACTCTAAGAAGTGTCTAAGCATAAAAGGAGGCTGTTTGAGTTGAAGTGGGCTGATGGTCTGGGATGACATTTGAATGCACAGAGGACAATGTCTAAATGACAATGTCGAGAAGGAAAGGCAAAAAGAAGCTGAAAACTATTCCCGCTGTCCCATGGATACTCGTCACTCCTTCTGCGATATTCTTCACATGGGAGCTTTGTCTGGGTAGAAATGGGGAGTGGGATCAGGGAGGGCTAGACACTGGGGCCTGGGGACAAGAGCCAGGGTTTCATGTCCTTAAACACATTAAAATTCTAGACAGATAGCAAATGTAATGAAAATTGCAACCTGAATGTGTTCTGATAGACAAAGTTAAACACTTTAGCTAAAGTATTACAAGTATAATTAACAAAAAGTTTGCAATACTCTGAATTGCTTCTGTGAATAAAGCTTTTAAGAGCATCAAATTGGTTGTGCAAATGAATGGTTTACTGAGCATCTTTTGGAATTTAGGATAGCTGCTTTCTCTGCTAACCAACGCATGCACACACACACACATACACAAACACACACCATTCATACAGCCAAAAAGAATAATTTTTCAGCAGTCCTTGAGTTGTGAAGATAACATCATAGATTAATCAAAGGTTACTTTTCCATTTAGGGAAATAATGTACACAATCTAGAAAAAAAAATACAAAAGTTAGAGTCATTGGTGGAAATTTATCTCATTATAAAAATAACCCTGTATGCTAAGCATGGAATCAAATACTGAACTGTTAACCTCAATATTGGGGTGAATTTTTTACCTTTAAATTATCACCATTGTCTTAATGTAGTTTGCATTACGTATAGTGCCCTTGGATTTTTAATTGCTCTGGATTATCATTTTCAATGCAATTAGTAAAATGCCCTCAATTACATATAATAATTACTGTAAATGGGGCTATTGGCCTAATTACTATAAATGGGGAAAGATGTGTGATTATAATGTGCAATTAAATCATGTACAGTATTTATTTTACATTATTACATACAATGGTATAATGATAACACATAATTATATTGTATCTTTCCTTGGTCAACAAATCTACTCCATATTAAGATACCTAGAGTTGTGATACATTGCCAAATTAACCATCTCCGGGATCATTCTTCCTAAAATAATAGGGTTATTCTGTGGGCCAAGGCCCCACTAAGTTTAAATATAATTAAATAAACTGATTCTGCACAGGCAGGAAAAATCTGGAAGGAAAAAAATTATTTCACCTCTATTAGTTAAGAATGCCCAGATTATCCTCTTTTTGTCGGTGTCAAGAATTTAATCCTCCCTGGCGCCATACCAACCTCCACCATACCTGTTTGTTTTTATGTGAATATGTAAAAATTAACACCCCTAAATGTTGGTAACATTTAAAATATGCCTGAGAAAAAAAGAGGTTCTTTCTTCACTGTGGCAAGTATTATAATCATCCCTAGTTTACAAATGCACACTTAACGAGCTTATAGCACATAATTAATTCTGCAAAGGATGCTGTTTGACAGAGTGGGATTATGAGAATTGCATATTGATAGTGGCAGGAGAAATAAAACTATTTTCTCTACGTAAGATGGGATATATCTTGTGTTCTTTAGAAACTGGCACATCTCAGAGGTGTAGCTCTCAAAATGATCTCAGGATGTAAAGAAATCAGTAATTACAGAGCCAGGCATTCAGTTGTGTCCTAATTTTCCCACCAGTTTTTCAGTGTTTCAGCTGCCTCAGAGACTTAAAGTATTCTCATTAGGTAGCTGCAGAGGCAGCCGCTTGCCTACTCCCTCATTCTCTCACTCGCTTTTCTTTTTTTTATTTTTTTTTCCTTCCATTCCTGCCTTGGGAGTGACTGTGAAGATCATTTGCTGGAATGATTGGCAGGTTAGAGGATTCGATCAGATGAGTTCCTCTTAGTGCAGGTCAAAAAGGCTAGTTAGCAGGAGCTGTCGAAAAATGCCAGCAGCATTCGAAATGGGAAATGTCATGACTTCGAGGCAGGGGGTGCCACCTGGAACAGAAAGCTCTCGGCTCATTAGCAAGTTACAGGATGCGGGCTTAACTGGAGGGAGCAGGGAAGGAAAGATAATACCCAATAGGGAAAATGATTGTGAAGTGGAATTGATTTCATGTATAATTTGTTTATCACTAGAGGGGACAAATGCTGTCCTTCTGACATGAGCAGAGGAGTGTGGACTATGAATGAAGCGACTTAGCATAATCTCCAGGTTGAGCTTTGGATTTAAAGAAAGCAAACTTCTTTATTCTTAACTGTGGAAATGATCAGGTCATGTTACATTAATTAAAGCTGACATACTCTCAAATGTTTTATCTGGGCAATTGCGGCAATTCGACAGAAGCGGATAGAGATGGGCAACTTCAGAAAATAAGAGGGATTTTCCCCCCTCTGCTAGTGTGGAAGACTAGCTTAGTTGCATACTGAATTATAACAGGGTTGGTGTTTATACTCAGTGGTTAGCTAGGCTGCACATATCAAACCAGGGTTCCGGATTCACGTGCAGTCTCATTGATAGAAGAGACCACATGCCCTTTGGGAGATTTGTGTCTAATCCATGTGAAAAAATGTATGTACATTTTAGAATATGACTGTGTCCTATTTTGGTACAATGTTAAAATTTTAACTTCTTTTTTTTTAAAGGAGAAGTTCTCCCATTTCATTGCTGCCTACATGTCAATTCATCTAGAATTTAATATTCTACTATAAAGTTAATTTACAGTAACCTTATTTACAAACAAAACTAAACTAAAAAGTTGCTGTTATAGAGGAAATTAATCTGCAGTTTATAAAAAGAGAACACAGTGGCAAAACAGAAAATAGTATTGCCTCGCATGTATTCATACTAAACTCCAAATTAAAGGCTTCCAGTATTTTTACAATGTATCAAATGAGCTTTTGTTTAAAGCCTTTTTTTAAACATAAATTCCATCCGAAAACGTATTTTGTTTTGATAAGAAACTTTTATGATATCATTTATCTTTTGGCGTGGAGATCTTCATCTTGTTAAGTCACAAATGCCACAGCTGCAAGTCTTTCTGGCTGAACACTAAAGGATGTTTACTTAGCATCCAGATTCTGGTTAAAATGTATATTTTCAAAATGTCTTTGCCTTGGGTTTCTCTTAAATATTGAGACATTTTATGAGGCAGTTGTTAAATAGCCAAGGCTTGTTTTATCAAGCAGCCTCAGACTGCTGTGTAATGTGAATAGGAATCTTAAAACCTCCTAGTCCAAAACACTGGTGCAAAATTCATTCCATTCTGTATTCAGCATAAAAAGCTTAGCATTAAGCTACTGTATATAGCTTTCAAGATATACTGCATTAGTTCTGTCAAATATAAAAATTTAAACATCAGTGTGAATCCACTCATCCCCTCATTTGGGAATTGTATTGTGTGGTCCAGAAGCTGGCCTTGAAAACAAAATTTTTATAGAATGCTGTCTGAAATGTTCACCTAACGTTAAGATTTTTTATCTTTCACAGAAACCCAATTTGTTAATAACTGACAGATTTATTAGATTAATAAATAAACAAACCACTTTGAGGGAAAACATTGTCAAAAAAATGTTATAATAAAATAATTGGGTATAGTTGTCTACAAGTAACAAGTAGGTTTCCCAGTCTGTACCTTTAAGTAAGAAGCCCTTACCGTAAACTCAAGACAGGCAAGTTGAAGGCTCCTGGCCCTGCAGACTGCAGGGGTGAATTGGTGGTGTTTGTGCATGCCTGGTCTCATTGCCTACCCTTTTCTCCAGCCCCTCCTTTCAATTCCGCATTGCAGAGTCAGCTCTGCACTCACTGACTTCTTAGACTCTCCACTATTTTACATTCTTCTCAATCCATCTCCTCTCCATTAACTAATTGCTGGTACATATTGACATTCTTATGTTTATCATACTCTTTGTTGAACGTTTCCACAACTCTGTGGATTGAGTAACCATGTGTTAAAAGTCTTACTTTCAGTTTTGTGGGTTCTCCTCAGAGAAGGTCCCTGGATACTAAAGAAAAGAAATGATAGTTTTATCATCGTCTTTTATGTCAGCAGATCTCAAAGTGTGGTCCATATACCATGTGGATCCCCAGGGGCTTCACGCCCAGGGCCTTCATGGGGTCAAAACTGTTTTCATAATAACACTAAGATATTCTTTGCCATTTACACTGTGTTGACATTTGCACTAGTGGTGCAAAAGCAATGGAGGGTAAAACTGCTGGCTCCTTAGCATGAATCAAAGCAGTGACACTCTAAACTGTATTCCTGGGCACTGTGTCTTCACAACCACACAATTCAATTTTGGAGGGGGCGGAAAAAGCTTCACTTAATAATATTCTTGATGAGGAAGTTAAAAGTATTGATTTTATTAAACCTCTACTTTTAGGTAAATGTCTTCTTAATATACTCTGTGACTAAATGGGAAGTTTGCCTAAGTCATTTCCACTGGATACCTAGTTACCATGGTTGTCTCAAGGAAAACTCTTGTACAGTTGTTTGAGTTGTAAGCTGAACTAACTGCTTTTTTCCAGGCATATGGTTTTTACTTGAAAGAATGACTGACAGGAAAAACTATGGTTATTCAGACTTGGGTATTTGGCAGACATCTTCTCAGAAAGGAACCAAAAATGAGTTCATCACCAAAGCAAAAAACCAGTATTAATTTGTTGATAAAATTAGAGCTTTCAATAGAAAATTTGAATTTGAGAACTCTATGGGTAGCTTTTATTTGCCACTGTGAACTGGACAGTGATAATGAGATTGGTGGTAATATAAACAAATGTGATTTTTTTGATATTATATAGTGAAACGTGTCAACCTTTGAAATACCTGCATAACTCACTAAATCAATGTTTTCCAAATGATCAATGCATGTTAGCAAAATAATGCATGGATAAAATATTCACTGAAAGTTTAAAATAAACCAATAGATATTAAGGTAACAGAATACGAAGAGTTCATTGATATAGTTTCAGATTCCCTGGTACAATTAACCCTTAAGAAACTAACACTTGTTGAGTTTTGTTGTACTGTAAAAGAAGAATATATCTGAAAGGGCTATTAAAATACTTTTTTCTTTTCCAACTACTTATCTGTTGTAGTCCCATATTTTTGTCATTTGCTTCAACCAAAACAATGTATCATAATAGATTGAATGTAGAAACATATTTGTGAACCCAACTCTCTTCTATCCAGCCACTCATTGAAAAGATTTGCACAACTATAGGGCACTGCCACTCCTCCCACTAATTCTCTTTGGAAAATGTAGTTATTTTTATTTAAATTCTGTTTTCATGTTAACATGTAATGAGTTCTCACATAAATATTTTTAATTAACAGTTTTAATTTTGAATATGGTAAGTATCAGCAGCTACAAACCATAGAAGCAAAAGTTCTTAGGGGGTTCCTTTTAACTTTTAAGAGTCTTAAGGGGTCCTAAGATAAAAAAGTATGAGAAACACTGCTCTATTTCACAAGTGTCATGCATTAACTCTAACATACAAGTTATGTTGGTAACATTTTCCTTCTTGAAGAAATTACTATTCAGCACAAATTTTTTTTTGCTATATGAAATGATTCTGGATCTCTCGATTTAATATCTCAATTTTTCTAGTGTACAATAGATAAAAATCCCTATTCTTGTGTTCACACAGGTATCATCTGAAAATTACAATAGAGCATCATTTACTATCCTCTTGATGACTAGTAGACCAAATCTTGAAAGACTTTTACTGTATATTAATCTTAGGGGCTGTGACTTTCCTTTTTTATATGCATCAAGTTTGACCTCACATGGAGAGCCTCTGGCCATATGATACTAAATCATCAGGCCATTTTACATAGCTTGCTTATAGGACTCAGAAAGGCTTTCAGATAGCTCCTATTAGACACAGCATAAATTCAACTTTATGTCAGAAAACGGGACTTGGGTCTTTTCCCGCCGAGCTCCCATGAAGTAACTCATGGAAATCTGGGTGCATTTGGGGTTTCAGAATCCAGAATATCTGCTCAACCTGAGTAGCAGTCAGTCAGATTAGGGCTGTGTTCTTTAGTTTTTTATTTTTTTTTTGTTTTTGTTTTTTGAACTCTATTTTGAAGTACTTTTAGATTTTTTAGAAGAGTTGTAAAGCCAGTACAGAGGATTATGTCCTTAACCCACCTTCTCCTAATATTAACTTTATTTTTTATGACCTGGATGCTTTTGAAGAGTACTGTTCAGGTATTTTGCAGAATGTCCCTCATGATGTTTTGGAGAAGAATACCACTAAGATGAGATGCCCTTTCACCACTTCATGTCAAGAAGTACATGATATCCACATAAATTATCACTGGAGATGTTGACCTTGATCACTACATTAACACAGATAAGGTTTTAAAGCCAACGTGATATCCAGGATGTAAAGTCAGAGAAGCTGGAGATCTGGGACAGGTTCTCAGTCAAATGGAAAGAACTCTAAATGGTTACTGAACTGACAACAAGGCTGTCTAATGTCAGAATCTGAAGAGAGAAATTACTCTCAAGGCTTCAACTTTCTAAATGAAAATGGGTGGAAATGGAGACAGAGTCACCAACAAAGCAGGGAATGTCTGAGTTAAGAACCCTGAGATGTTCCAGCCTTTGACTCAGGATCAGTGATAGAATTTATAAGGGCATCTGACAGCGTGTGGAATATATTTTGTAAACATGAATAAAATGTGGCTACTTTACAGATGTTGGGAACAAAGCAAGTGTTAGCCCTTCAGTATTGAAGTCACCTGTTCATTTGTCTTCCTTCCCCACTGGAATCTAAATATCAGAATACAGGAACTCGTTTACGGTTTTATCCTCATTTTACCATTATATTTCCCATCTCCTCGCATGGCACATAATCTATGCCCATTAAATATTTTTGAAATATTGATTGACTTAGTGAATATCCAACCAACTCACCATACACCAATCTCTTGTTCTTTTAGGAAGTTTTTTTGTTGGTTGGTTGGTTGGTTGGTTTTTTAGCAACCACTATATTGGTGCTCTACTAGACAATAGTAAGAAGACAGTTCCAGCTTCAAGACACTCACAATTTAGGGACACAAATGCAGTCTTTTAAATTTCAGGATGATGACGGGTACAGCAGAACTTTGCATGAAGCTATATGGGAGAGCAAATAAGGGAAATATTAATTTTGCTCGAGGAGATAGCAGAAGTTTTTCCAAAGGAAGAGATTTTGAACAAAAGAAGGCATTGGATTTTGCATGGGCATACAGGAGGAGAAGGATGTTTTCAAAAAGAGGAAACAAACACCAAGAGCAAAGCTGTGTCACAAAGTGCAGCATCTCTAGGGACTGATCTGATAGAGCTAAGGGGCTGGGAGATACGGAGTGAGAAGACACGCGCAGAGAAAGTCATTTGAAGCCCGATTCTGAGGGTCTTGAATGACATGCTGAAGAGTTTGGATTTTCATGTTGTTGCCCATAGAGAATATGTATGACTTCCTGGTCACAGACAGAAGAACCAAAACATCTTCAAGCTGAGAGATCCTTTAGGAATCATTTAACAATGCTAAAGGAAGATGTATTTTTTTTCTTCTTTGAACTTATTATGTTAGATCATGTCTTGAAATTAAGTAAAGAAAATAAACAAGATTCCATTCACATTTATGCCTAATTTGATGTTAGCAATTTTACCAACACTTACTCTTCTCCTTCTATTCATCCTCCAGCCATGACATTTTAAATTTCAGGATGATAAAGGGTACAGCAGAACTTTGCGTGAAGCCATATGGGAGGGCAAATGAGGGAAAAATTAATTTTGCTGGAGGAGGTTGCAAAAGTGACTGCAACTCTGTTGTGACTCTGTTACAGACATAGTTTCTTGATTATACATTTATCAGCATATTACAACATGTTTCTTAAAAGTAATATGTAAATTATTTTAAGTTAAAGAATATGCCTTTTCTATTCACATATCTTTTGTAAAATGAATAACAATCCCCTTAATTTAAATTTTGTGAATATATAATATTTCATATATTAAGATACATTGGTATCATTTGGGAGAAATGCAAAAAATGGAAAAGCGAGTTTCTAGGGATAAAAATTTAAGACAATTTTCAAAGTTAAAAGAAATGTTTAAGAATTCAGTATCTTCATGGTCTTGTATACTCAGCAGTCAATTGGTGTGCAAAAGTGTTTTTATGAATAAATTCATACTCCTGTCTATGTACTTTAAGTCCCTGTAAGGGTTAACTGTAGTTTCAGGCCCAGTTTTGCCTAAACTCAAATACACTGTGAAGTATTTGACAATATTAAAGTCTGTCTAACCAAATTCCTTAAACCACCTTAATGGTTAGTAACTAAAATTTTCAGGGATAATTATGATAACAATGAAAAAAATGTTGAAACAACTAATGTAAAACAGATTAAACAAATTATTAAGAACAGAGTAGACCATTTAAATATTTTAAAAATAAATAAGTAAATTAAAGTTTACCAAAGCAGATGAAATATGATACAGTCTTGAAAATTGAAGTTATTAAGCCAAGTAACATGGAGAAATACATGGGATAAAGTGAAAGTAGAATATTTTGCTTGTACATGTAAAATTTATACATAAGAAATATGAGTGAAAGGAAGTATATTGAACTGCTGTGTCCTTACTTTAACAGAGAAGATGGTTTTACCGATTTTATTGTATAATTAAGAAAGTTAGTTAATTTACATTTTTATAGCCATATTAGGCTCTCACTATATTCCAACCTCAGAGTCCCCTTGGATGGGTCCAAGTTCTTTGACGCTATCTCATTACCAGATTCTCCTCTGTAGATCTATGTTGAAGAGTCAGATACTACGCAAGCTAAGCTCATTTTACAACCACAGGGCATTCCATGAGTTAACGTTTAAAGTACTTTCTGTTACCCCTAAGAAATGCTGATAAATTAATACTAGAAATAGCAGTATCCAGATGATTAAGAGATAGCATAGAAACATAATTTAGCCAAAAGCAAAAAGAGGAGCTAAAGGAGTCCTGTCGGCATAAGAATTTGGGACTCCGGATTCTCCACCTGCTGCTAATCTCAATGGGCTTTTCAAAAGGTGAGGGCTTTTTGTGGGGGGAGGGCATTGAGTCTTTTTAATGAAACAATATGTACTTTCCTATGCCAAGACTAATTCTACAACATTGCTTTGTGGGTTGAGAGGATGGAGATGTTGCAAACAGCCATGACTATTTTCCAGTTTGATCCACTTGACTATAGCTCAACAGCTTGTAGCTAAAGTCTTTGAGGTAAATAATTTTTTTATCACTTCACCTCATCCCCTAAATATCTCCTGATCATGGCATTGTTGACCTACCTGCAAGAACATGCTACAGTCCTCAGAGGTCCACTGCCCGCTTGCCCAGACCTGAACTATTTGCAAAAGGTCAGAAGTTAAGATTCTTGACCTTATATATTTCTTATCTGCAGCTAAGGGGTAGAAAGACTGGGAAGGCAAAATCATTATCTTTTGTTTGTACTCTTTGTAGTGCAGAGTGCAAATAAATTTTGAGAAGAAAATTTCTATTAAGAAAATGAATTTAGGCCGGGCATGGTAGTTCACACCTGTAATCCCAGCAATTTGGGAGGCCAAGACAGGTGGATCAGTTGAGGTCAGGAGTTTGAGACCAGAGTAGCCAACATGGTGAAACCCTGTTTTTACTAAAAATATATACATTAGCTGGGCAGTAGTGGCATGTGCCTGTAATCCCAGTGACTCGGGAGGCTGAGGCAGGAGAATTGCTTGAGCCTAGGAGGCAGAGGTTACAGTGAGCCGAGATCACACCACTGCACTATATAGTCTGGGCAACAGAGTGAGACCCTGTCTCAAAAAAAAATAATAATAATTTATAGAATTTTTTGTTGTGTGTATATACAAACATATCTTGAGACCCTGAACCAGCTTATTAAATTGGCCGTTTTATGTAGTATTCAAATATGTATGTATTTACATATTTGTATACATATATATTTCTGTCAAAAAAAAGCAGTGTGTTTCATTTTAAATTTTCTTTCACTTGTAACTTTCCATGCAGTGCTTCATTATTCAGTAAGCTCTGCCTTTTGAATTGTTTATTTTCCCGTACTTTTCAATTTCCACCTTCACTTCATCTCTTTACTTGATATGTTACCAGGGAGGAACAAAAAAAGAAAACTGGGGGACAGAGGGTTGGGGGTGAAAAGGAGGCAGAGGGAGGAAGACTGCTGAGGGAAAAAAAAAGATTTAAATGAGAACTAGAATGAATGCCTCACTTGTTGGCTTTTAGCACAATTACCATACCTTAGGAAATATGCAGGGAATAGTTAATTACAAGTAAATGAGCCCCCTTTTAGAGGCAGTGGCAGGACCAGGCATCTGACTGTCAGAGCTGTGAAAGATATTGAATTGGAAGGCTGGTCTCAGTGTCAGGAATAGATGGTCTGCAAGGGTGAGCCCGACAGAGAAAAGATAGCCGGGTAAGAGTAGCCTCAGACAAGGGAGCCATGTATAGCATTTGCATACTTTTCCTGCAAAGAGGGTTTAATCCAAAGAGGGAGATTTCAGTATTGTCAGTCAGGCTTTGTTCAGGGTGAGGAGCAGAAGGAAATCAGCTGAAGGGGCCTTTCTCAAAGCCTTGGTCTCAGCCTTGAGGTTGTCCTAGCAAAGTTACGTTCTTGAGGGTTGTTTGCACACTATTGTCTGTTTGAAGATCTTCTAAACCCAAAGGGCTCAAAGCATCCCCCTTTGCCAGCACAAAAGAAGGGAATTTGTGTGGTAAAAGTGACTTGTGTTGCAAACTGAACCCAAGCACCCTTTGTTCTTACACAAAATACTCTGAAGTTCCAAGGATGTCTTTTAGAGCCGGACTCAGTGAGTCATACCATCAAAGTGCTCACAGGCTAGAAAACCAGGTAAAACCAACCTACACTTGTGTCTTTCTTTGCCAGCTCAGAAGAGACCTTTGTGTACTTCCTAAAGAAGATGGCTGAAAAAAAATGAGGCAGATAAAAACTAATTTTTATTGGCATGGATCATTTTTGCCCCATTTCCTTATAGCATTTTCTGATACAAAGTGTTTATGTCTAAAATGGAGGCAAATTATTCTGGCAGTTCAAGTTGTCTTAGCACCCGACCAGCCTTGTCTTTTATCTGGCAATGTGAGTTTCTGACTTTGATCTGTGTCCAGTTTTCAAAACTATGCCTTCTTTTCTAAAATATGATGTTCTATGTGGTATACCATGGTCTACTCTCCACCGTAAGTTTTTCTAATAATCTACACATTTACAAAGAGGAGTGTTTAATCATCCAGATATTTATGGGTCAGAAGTCAGGGCTTGTTTCAACTTCACTAGTTGATTTGAGCGTTACTGCCCATAATCTCTACAGTTTAGGAAAGTATGTACTAAAAACATAGACTCTGAATTTAAAAAACAGCAATGTACTTGTTTATAAGGGTAACATGGGTATCTGTGAGTGCCTTTTAAATTTATAATCTTCCACATGAAGCTTAATGCTTTAAAAATGTGATATCTTAACACATTTTATATATATAAACATACAGACTAAACATGCCTTGTAATGGATCCTGTAGGATATACAATAAAACTTGACATTGGAGTTTTGAAAAATATGTACGTATTTACATAGAGCAACTAATTCAGCTTGAGGTTTTCTGAATTAAGGATATTCCTTTATCACTGTTTTAGTTGTTTTTTATTCTTTTGCTGGATTTTTGTCTCATTTTGAAACTTTCTTAAAAAGACCCTATACAAATGCAAAATAAAAGGTAATGAAAAATCTGTTTAAGGGTCTAAAAGACAAGAAAATGTCCATCTGGATTTCAAAATAAAGGCAAAACTTGCAGCATGTAAAAAGAAAGATAAAGCACACTTTGAAATTCGCATGAGCCATCTTCTAAGAGAAAAGTTATGCCCTCTTCATTGATAATTAGGAAATCTTTTATCAGGATAATCATATTTTGGGATTCCCACTGATGTTATAATGCTAGTGGGTGTGGATCACAGGTGAAGTTGGAAGCTAAGACATTGACAATGCCCAAATTAGAGCTTTCTAAATTTATAACTGTGGATAAAATTGTGCTTGCTGCTTTCCTAAATATGTTATTTTTTGTTATGGTTGAAATGCTTGTCTCTGATCTAAGTAAACTCTGCTTTGCTGGAAGTGGTGCATTTCTTTCTCCAGCTTTGCATTTTCCCCTGTGAGAAGCATGTCTGAATTGGGGGGACCTGAATATACCTCTTTGTTGCTGAGCTTGTCAAGCACAGTGCTGTGTTCTCTTTCCCACCAGGAAGGTCAGGCCGCTGGGGGCCAATCTGTTTTCTGAAATGAACCCTACTGTCTGTCCCTGGTGTCTGACAGATTGAAACAGTTATCTGCATTACTGTGCTTTCAATGCTATTTAAATGCCTTGCTTTCTGGGAAAAAAAAGTAATATGTAGGCTCCATTGAAAAAATAAAAAATTTTTAAAGGACCGTGCTTGGGATGTTAATATTTATCTAAAAGGCAGATTTAATTAACTTTCTAAGAACATATTTACAGATTCAGGAAGTTAACTACATGCACTGTGCACACACACACGCACACACACACTCACACCAAGATAAGCCCTCACTTATGAGCTCTACTTCTAAAGACTTGTGGGGGGTGTGTGTGTGTGTGTGTGTGTATGTGTGTGTGTGTGTGTTTAATTGGAGTAATAAAATTATGAAGTATGGAACTGTTTCAATTGTGGAGTTTTAGAGTAAGAGTCTTTTGTTCACTTAGATTTCAGTTTCATGTATTTTGATGAGAGGTATGTATAAAGCCTGAAGAAATTTGTACTGTGCTGAGCCTCACTTCAATACTCTCCAGATAATTGAGCTAATTAAATCTTTACCAACATTAACACAACTCTGGCATTCCTTGGACAGTGGATAATTATTGCATGAACATGGCAAGCTTAAACTAAACAGATGAAAATAGAGTTCTGTGGAATGGGTATTGAGTTTATTCTTTATTCATCTTTTGATAAGGTTTAATTAAAACTGCCTCTCTCCATTGTGGTGAGAATAATGTGCTTGTTTTCTTAGTGAAAAGCAAATTATTCACTTCAGCCATGGTTCAATAATCAAAGCCTTTGCAAAGTTTTGGGTTATAGTGTAGCTGTGGGGATATAATTGCTGCAATTCTGTATGAAGGCTTTATCTTTTTTATTACTTTCTCTTATTTATTTTTGTAGAAAGAAATTTATAAAAGCCCATTTTGTGATTTCGTGTGGAAGTACATATGTTTGAAGCCTTGTTATAGGCTTGCTGTGGCTAGAGTTTTTAAAAGGTGTATTTCTTAGAGCCTCTTGCTAAAATAAAAAGGTGAAAAGGGACACACACCTAAATAGATGGCATTTGAGATGGATTTTTTAAGTTAGTGAAGAAAGTTTAATAAAACCTTTAAATCCTGTGGTTGCCACTGTATTGACATAGTGCATTGACAGTCTCAAGGGTGAAAAAGCAATAGACCTAGGGAATTCTTTCTGCAAATATATATTTGCATTCTCTTTCACTTTCTTTAAATCTACCAGAAATATTTTTATTATTGTTCTTTTAAGTGGGGTAGAATTTTTTTATGTTGGTGATAATTTTGTAGCATGAATAGATTTTATATATATTAATGACAGCTGATTGTTAAATGTATTGTCATGACTATCCTGTGATTTCTATTTCTTTCTTTCCCTCTTTTTTTCCTCATTTTTATAAAATGGGAGATTGTAAGGATATATAAGATATTTTATGGAACCAAGGACAAAAATAAAACTGGGCCCTGGGCGTAAATTGGAAACAGGGACTCCAGCAGAGATAAGATCTCTTTCTTTGTCCATCTTTTTGTTGCCTCGATTCTGGCTTTCCCTGCTTCTCTAGTCCATGTGATGGAAGCCAGGTTGACTTGTCCTGTGATTTGCAATAACAAGCAGACATCATTCGAGGTCAGTGTTCCCAACTCCTTGCGAAGAGAATCTGTCCTTCTTAGACAAGTGAATCAGCCCTACATCCAAATTCGAGTGCCTCCACTTACCACTTCTTACTGCATGTTTTCTTCATCAGTGCTCCCTCAAGAGGGAGGAAATGCAGACGGGAGCAAGTATTTCTTAATCTATAGAATTATTTTAAGTATTAAGTTACTGAATGCAGTGTTTTTTTAACTCCTTATTGGATAGTGATATCAATCTAGTAGACTGGAGAAAGTACTTCGCAAGTGGAGTAGACTAAACGGGAAAGGAAAATGAGATGATCACATGTAGTAAAAATAATAAGTATCATTTCATGAAATTTTTATTTCAACTGTATGTGTGCATGTGCATTTATATCTATACTGAGTCACTTAATAAAATGCATTTTTTCTAGTGAGTTGTGGCCAAAACAAATTTCAAAGCAGTCACTGCTCCTCAGATCCCCTTGAAGGTATCTCTTGGGAGGCAGTGGAAAGGGAGAGGAACACTGGGCAGGGCTTCAACCCCATCACTCTCCACATCAAAGTAGCTCCACTTTAATCTGTTTTACACTTTATGTTTCCACCTAAGATATTTTTCAACAAAGGATGCAGTGGCCAAAAGTTTGAATGAATGATTTCCCATGTTCCTTGGTATTTTTAGAGCTAAGTACAGTAGCCTCCAGGACCATAGCAAACATTATTTTGGTTTTCTTTACTAGGGAGAGATCAGGAAACAATTCAGAACTTTTCTTTTCTTTTCTTTTTTTCTTTCCTTTCTTTCTTTCTTTCTTTCTTTCTTTCTTTTCTTTTCTTTCTTGCTCTTCCTTTCTTCCTTTTTTTCTCTTTATTTTCCCTCTTTCTCTGTCACCTTTCATTTTTTTCCGTTCATTTCTTTCTTTCAAGACGAAGTACAGTTTCCCTACTTAATCCCATTGAAAAAAACTCTGAGACTTAGCACACAACCAGGACAACACTGAATCAGATTGAACTTTAAACAGCCTTACAATTTTAAACAGAGAAAAGCAGTGAATACCTCTCCCTGCAATTTTTCCTGTTTTGTTCTTTAGGACGGGATGAAAGGCAAAAGTGAGCAATGGTGACACGAGTGAGAAGGATTTGGGCAGCCTCCTCACATGCTCAAATAAGGTCCTTTTAAAACCGAGGATCATGGAGAGAGACAATCTCTTTAATAGAAATAAATAGCAAGAGAACAAAGACTAAATAAGAAAACAAACTGACTTCCCTAAAAGTGCATTTTACATGACTTCCTTTGGAAAGTTGAAATAAATTTAAGAGGTGCTTTTTCTGGCCTTGACATTGTATGAGGGGATCTGTGTGGCACAGACTGTCCTGGAGCCAGAACCTTATGTCGAACTCTTTTGTTTAATCCTGAGTTCTGTTGTGTCTGTTTGAGAAAAGATGTGAAGTGGTCATGGGCTTCCTTTACTTTGACCTTATGTTAGTGAGTCCTTTGTTAATCATTCATTGCACTAGCATCAGTTTTGTTGGTGGTAGACTTGATTCAGTACAGGCAGCTCTAACTCGGGAAGCAATATAGAATAGGGATTAATATCTTTGGTTAATACCAGCAACCTGGGCTTTCAGACTGTGCTATGCTACTTACCAGCTCTGTGGCCTGGGCTGAGACTTAACCTTTCTTAGCCTCAGTTTTTCCATCTATAAATCAGGAGTAGGAATGGTTCCTTTCTTGTCAGCTTGTTGTGAAGATCTAAATAGGAGGATAAAGTATTTAGCACAATACTTGCTTGCTCCGTAACAAGTACTCAGTGACTGTTATGAATTCCAAATTTCATGAAGTCTGTATAAATAAAAGACAGACGTATTCGAGATCTTTTATGATAGCCATTTTTTTGGTCTTTTTTTTCCATTTCTTTTACCTAAAATGAAAAAAAAAATCTAGACCATCTTACAGTGTAGTGTATTGCTTGGTAAAAGTTGTACATAACCATGACAGAAGGAAGAGCAAACCAGGGCTTGGTTTGGCATGAGGACATGAAGAAAAGGGATTTGTGGAAATTGGGAAAAGAGATGCAAGAGATTTTTGTACATCAGCAAAAAGCACAAAAGTTGCACTGAGTGTGTCACGTGCAGGGGATGGCAAGAATTTCCACTTGAGTGAAGCAAAGGAAGCAAGAAAGTGGAAGCAGTCTTTGAGGAAGTGTAAGTTTCATGACCCTCAGTAGGGGGCCATTCCAGAAAATCGTCAGTGTGACGTAGTCATGTAGTTAGAGTGGTGGGAGAAGGACAGAGAAGAATTAAAATTGTCTCCACTTTCTCAGATGAACTAATTGGCCAGATGGCACCTTCACTGGCGACTTCAAAGAACTCAGAAGGGGCAAGCATTAGGTGAGGATAATTAGGCCAAGTCTGGTGGTATAAAGTAGAGGTGTCCTTTCGTTTAGGTTGATATAGCAACAGAGAGAGAAAGAGAGATAGAAATTAAAAGCAGAACTGAAGATTTGGGAGCCTCTGGCATAATAGGACTTGATGGGATAAACAAAGATTCAAAAGCTGGGTCATTGTTACTGAGCTGTGAATAGAGGTCAGCACAGACAACAGAGAAAGTAAGGTCAGAAAAAAAAAGAGAGAAATAAGTTACAGGTGCATCTCGGCTACCAGCTTCTCCATGATGCCGAGCCAGGGCATTCCAACCTACAGTTATAGTGTCTTTCTCTTACTTTTCCAAAACACTTGTGGAGGTTGTAACCTGGAAGTCTTTAACAGATACTGCCCGTATACCTAGGATTTGCCTAAAACAGTGGGTTTTGTTGTTGTTGTTGTTGTTGTTGTTGCTGTTGTTCTTTTTTTTGAGATGGAGTCTCACTCTGTCACCCAGGCTGGAGTGCAGTGGCGTGATCTCCGCTCACTGCAAGCTCCGCCTCCTGGGTTCACGCCATTCTTCTACCTCAGCCTCCCAAGTAGCTGGGACTACAGGCGTCCACCGTCACGCCCGGCTAAATTTTTGTATTTTTAGTAGAGACGGGGTTTCACCATGTTAGCAGGACGGTCTCAATCTCCTGACCTCGTGATCTGCCCACCTGGGCCTCCCATAGTGCTGGGGTTTACAGGCATGAACCACCATGCCCGGCCAACAGTGCTTTTAAATATTTAAGATAATAGTCAACTTTTAAAACTATGTAGATTTTACATGAAAATAATTTTTTTCTGCATCTCATTTTTTTATTGTTGTTGTTAGAAAAAGGAAGATTAGACCACTTTGGGCATTCTCTAACAGCAGTGATCAGTAGGGCTGAGTAGTGGCTGCCTTCTTTAGCAAAGGCTGTGACCTGAAGTTTGCCACAGTCCCTGCCACTCCTTCTTGTCCCCCTGCCACTCAGACTGAGAAGCAATTGCTATTTACCTTCACCTTCTGTGTTGTTTAACTTTCAGTGGAGGAAAAGAAAAGTGAAATATTTCTTGTAGCCATGTCTCTGTTGTCCGTGTCAAATGTAAAAATAGCCCAGAGGAGCCTTTTGTTGTAAGAAGAATTGACAAGAGCCTATTTCCTTGTATAAATAATCTAGGCCACTTCACTCAAGTTGCCTTCTTGGCCCTTATTGAGCTGCTGTCTGAGAACTCATAATAATTGTATGGCATTTAATCAGGTTTATTATTATATGTGTTTAGCTTCCATTTCCAAGGGAATCATAAAGCTTCATCAGGTAAAGTTGGTTTATTCCATAGCATATAACATAATGTTGTACACAAAGTGAAATATGTGCATATAGTTTCAGGGGAACCAGGAACAAAAGGAAAAGACTGTAACAAGTTTCTAAAGAAGAAAGATCTCCTTGAAAATAAGTGACCCAACTGATTGAGAATGAGATGACAAATTAGCAAACATTTACTAAATGCCAACAGATCTCAGATGGATTTTGTAAGAGATCCAAAGATGTACAAGACATGGTCCCTATTGTCAAGCAGTTTACAGTGCAGTAGATGACATAAGATACGGATGATTCACCCAAGGTAAAATGTGAAAATTACTGTTATATAAATATAAATAAAGTGCAATGAAAATAGAGCAGGGACAGACCTCATAAAGTTCAGGGAATGCTTCATGGAAAAGATAGCATCTGAGCTAAAACTTGAAGACTAGGTGGGATATTTATAGTCAGGGATGGGCTTCCAGGAAGGGGCACCTAAAACCACAGAACAGCTGAAAAGTCCAGGATATGTTTGAAGCTGGACAAGAAATGTAATCGCCTCAAAAACAGAGTAGGTGAGTGGGTACCTGTGTCCTGCTTAAAGGTAGGAAAGAGAATGTAGTAAAGACCGTTCACTATAGCGTCAGAACAAGTACAAGCTACTTTTTTTCTTAACCTTTTCTCTTTGCCTCTTATTTCTAGAGATGGCTGTCATGCCATAAAGCACAATTGTAAGGTTAATAATAATAATAGTGGATGGGTACAGTGGTTCATGCCTGTAATCAATCCCAGCTCTTTGGGAGGCCGAGGAGGGAGGATCACTTGAGCCCAGGAGTTTGAGTCCAGCCTAGGCAACATAGCGAGACCCTGACTCTACAAAAAATAAAACATTAGCCAGGCGTGGTAGTGCTCACCTGTAGTCCCAGCTACTTGGGAGGCTGAGGTGGGAGGATCACTTGATCCCAGGAATGCAGTGAGTCAAGATCATGCTACTGTGTTCCAGCCTGTGTTACAGAGTGAGACCCTGTCTCTAAAATAATAATAATAGTAATAGTGAGAACATCTCACTTAATGAGTGCTTACTGCATGCTAGACATCATGTTGAGCACTTTACATGAGTAATTTCATTTAATCCTCATAACAACCCACTAAGGTAGGTGTTCTTATCCCCGTTTTGCAGAGGAGACTGAGACCTGAGCTGTTCCTTCATGTCCTCAATGTCTTACAGCTATGAAGTGGTAGAGCTAAATTTGTAAGCTAGAAAGAGGTCATGTTGTTGCACTTATCAACTGGTCTTTTTATTCTATCTTCTGACAAGCCTGCATTATTTTAGATGTTTCAGTCATAATCTAAGCCTGTGCAGCTATTTAGTTGCTAATGTCTAGAGAAGCTTTGGCTACCTCTAAGGATAAAATTAGAGGTTCAAGAACTACAGTGCCCCCAAAACCCTTACCAGATCAAGTTAATTAATCTGTAACTTGAACACCCTAAAGGCCCCATTTAAATACAATTTCACTGTTACTGAGAAGCTCCAGAACCTTCATTAAAACTGAATGCAGTAAGAAATAAAAAGTATAAATCTGTCTTTAGAATCATGTTGGTTTTTCAAATAGATATCACAGTTATTAATAAAATGATAATGTTCTCTATAAATTTAATGAAGGCACAGTTGGTCTGAAAACATTTGCAATTTCTACATAAGCATTTGTTTTTAAAAAATATATGCTTGAGATTCTATTATTATGGGCCATATTTGGATGGTATTGGCATTTCACAAATATTTCTTTCAGGATCAAAAATGCAGTAGGTGCAGTAGAATTCAACTGCAGCTTTAGACTGACCATTTTTAATAGATTCAGACAGCTTTCCCTTATTTATGTTGACACAAGGGAGAAGCGACGCAGATAACAGAAATCATTGAGTTTGAGGATGCAGTGTTTGGACCACGCTGTATCATCAGAGTAATTTTTGATAGTCTCATAGTAAAAGTAGTTTGGTGCCTTAAAATACCAACAATTTTGGCCAGGATTTCTAAAGTGCCTGGAGCAAGTGTCCAAAAAGGGGTAATCCACTGGTAGATATTGGCGGGCTTGGAAAAATTGTTAAAAACAATGTGAAGAATCAAAGGTAAAACATGCAAGAGAGAGATGATTAAAAAGAAAAACATAAGCAACTTCTAGCATTTTGTTGCTACTATGAGACTTTTGGGTTATATCCTTAGAATTAGATAGGTATTAGGGACATAAGGGCAGAGAAAAGAGAAATAAGGGAGACTGTTCCTTCCTAAGGATTTGAACACTCAGATGGATCGCACTACTTTCCTTTCATTTTCACCTTTTTATTCTTACTTAACTATTTGCTGAAGCTTATGTGAGTTAAGCCATGAGTGTTTCAGGTATCAACTACTCTTAAAAACAAAAAGAATTGGTAGTCAGGATTCCTAAGAAAAACACTAACTGGATACGACAGAGGGAGGGATGACCTATTCTCTTCAGTGTTTTAAGATTTCCTATTGATATTGATAACCAATGTATGTGAAGACCTGTTCCGATTGAGCAATCTCACTGCGATCCATATAGTGCCTTATTTCTTTAGACATACTTTTTTTTAGAGGGCTGAAATTTAAATTAATAAATCAGCCAGGGCTGCATGCCAACATGACTTGAAAGTTAACTGGAATTTATTGATCTGCAGCCTACAAGCTGTTCTATGCCACACTGCACATAAGAAAGCCAGTCTTTAAAAGTCGCAAAAAAATTTTAATTACCTCAAAAAAGACATTTTACATTTCTAGACAGTAACCGTTGTTTGAGTGGGCCCTTCTCCCCTCCACCCCTTCTCCCTCAAATTGGGTCATTAGTGACTAGTGTTGACAACAATGATAGCTAATGCAACGTTCACAATCCATGCTCAATTTTCTGTGTTAATGGAGGAAATGGAAGAAATGGCTTGCCAGGCTGGTCACTCTTCAGCTCCTGTCCCTAAGGAAATTCAGTGAGCAGGCATAACTGTCTTGATGATAATTTCAAAAGATGAATAGGCAACAAGAAGCTGCTCATCTTCCTTATTAACTTGTTATGTATCTAGCCTCTCTGAATTTCCCAAACTCCTTAAGTCTATTTAAATTTGTCACTAGATGCTTTCCCTTGAAGAGCTACCTGTTGGGTAAATCTAAGTCTTTCCTATCCTGTGTCCTAAACAAGCCCTTTAAACTTCAAAGGGATTAACCTGGCTTGCTTTATTTATTTATTTATTTATTTATTTATTTATTTATTTTTTATGTCAAGGCATCACAGATTAAATATCCTTTTATTTGACTCAAACTGAACAATAACATTTAAAACACACAATGGGAAGCTGTGCAGTTATCTCTCAAAATAGACAATGATGGTTTAATGAAGAGGTTGATAAAGCATATGTAGAAAAATCAGAATGTCAAAATAAGTACCAAGGAGAACATATACTTTGAAAAGGGGGCTAAAACATGTAGCTATACAATCTGGGGTTCTTATTGATTGATGGATTGATTGATTGATTGAGACAGAGTCTTGCTCTGTTGCCCAGGCTGGAGTGCAATAGCGCAATATTGGCTCACTGCAACCTCCAACTCCCAGGTTCAAGTGATTCTCCCGCCTCAGCCTCCTGAGTATTTGGGATTACAGGTGCCCACCACCATGCCTGGCTAATTTTTGTATTTTTAGTAGAGTCAGGGTTTTGCCATGCCGGCCCTGCTGGTCTTGAACTCATGACCTCAGGTGATCTGCTTGCCTCAGCCTCCCACAGTGCTAGGTTCACAGGCGTGAGCCACCGTGCCCAGCGCTGAGGTTCTAATTGGTAGTCGTGCCAACAGTAATTGGAGAAACATGTTCCTAATTGTTGATGGGGAGAGGATTACAGTTAAGCATACATATTTTAATACGTATTCAATATCTGAATTTGAAGAGTAAAAATGCATTGCTTTTACCACTTAGAAAGAGTTAAAATCAGATCCAGTTATTTGACACAGCAAAGACATACAAATGTACATGGCAATAGCAAGTTATATTGTTCAGGCAGTGAGTATGATGATACCCCACTTTTGTCCTTTGCCATTCTACAAATTTTTCCAGTCATTCCAATCTCAACTTCCATTTTTCCATGCTGAACAACCCGCATTTTCTACCTTCTTCCATCTGCCTCCTTTTTTCTTTGATTATACACATACCTATCAATGAAATTATTTCCCTCCACTTTTAAACACAATATTTAGAATATTCTATTTCTACAATTTTATGGGACTTTTCTAATCATGTATCTTGCAGGATGTCGTAATCAAACTCACACAAATTGGGTGGGTGTAGACAAGTCAGTTTGGTAAAAGAATAAGGAGCATCATTTGCTTCATCAGCATCGTCTGATGATCACCTGTGTCATCACTTTCAGGGTTCCAACAGCCCCACCTCCACTAGCACCTCTCTCTGTCTCTCTCTCTCTCTCTCTCTCACACACACACACACACACACACACACACACACACACACACACACTTCTTCCCATGGTTTTAGGTATTTTATCACTTGGAAGAGGCAGATGTGTCCTGCAAGATTTGCCTTTTTTTTTCTTTTTTGAGTGTACTCTCTCTCTTACTCCGAGATAATTTTCAATATTAGAAAGAAAGTCCAACTAATGCTGGCTGCTAGTTACTTTTAACACTTCTCTGATGGAAAATGTTGGTTTGACTCATTATTTCCCCTCTTTAATCAAAGTTTTCTTTCCCGGAGAAAACATTCTCCCCAGCCCCATGTTAACTCTATTTTTCTAAACTGTCTTTGATGAAGAACCTTGTCAAGGGCTTTCTGAAAGTTTATAAATTATATCCTCTGCTTATTTACTGTCTCAGATAACTCAGAATGATTGGCGAGACATGCCTTCTCTACATGTAAACCATGTTGCCTTTCTCCTAACAGATTATGTTTGCATATATGACAATTATATTGCACTTTATTGTAGATACTGTCTACTTGCTATATTTGAAGTGGAGCTGTGAGTCCCAGGATTCAAACCAAACTCTTTCCCCCCTCCCCCCCATTAAAGCCTGGATGGGTACATGAAAAATTCAGGATAATGACCAACTCTGAAATTGTTCAACCCTTTGGTATGATAATACTTGATAACTTTTATTTTTGTCTTTGTTTCTAATTATGTTTGACTTTAAAATTAGCACGTTTAACATTAAAGTCATCATCAGGGAATCAGTCAAGTAGTAAAAAGAGACCTTGGGTTAAATGCTTATATGTCTATCCACACACATACTTACATGTATACACACATATGCATATATAATCAATAGCTATCTCTGGCTTCTGAGTATGTTTGAATAAAATTAAGCTGTATAGTCTGAAATAAAAATGGATTTTTAAAGGGAATTTGCAGGCCAGGTGTGGTGATTCACGCCTGTAATCTCAGCACTTTGAGAGGATAAGGCAGGAGGATCACACCTTGAGCCCAGCAGTTCCACACCAGCTTGGGCAAGTTAGAGAGACCCCATCTCTACAAAAAAATTTTAAAAATTAGCCAGGTCCAGTGTGGTGGCATGTACCTGTGGTCCCAGCTGAGGTGGGGAAATCACTTGGGCTGTGGAGGTCAAGGCTGTAGTGAACTATGATCATGCCACTGCATTCCAGCCTGGGCAATCAAGCGAGACCCTGTCTCCAAAAAAAAGGAATTTGCAAATAGATAATGATGTGCATATAACTACATTTTACCCACATAGGAATCTTCCATTTCCATTTCCTCTGATAAGATATGACGGTAGCTTCCTGGGTGGGTATGAAGTTTGTGAGGTAATAGTTAGCATTGGTGCCTTAGGGTAAAAAGTGGAGTGCCCCTCTGAGTACAGCCTGACCTAGATGTTTAGGCTACAATGTCAGGTGAGCCATAGTGTCCACTCTTAAGGACATTGCATTCTTTGGGGAGAGATAGACAACAATCAGTGAGTCTGGTCAGAGGAACGAGGACCATGGTCAGGCACACCCAGGAGTCCCTGGGAAATCCTGAGAGGGGTGTATAAATAGGCCGCTGGTGGGATGTCTTCCTTTGCAGTATTATTTTTTTTTCATTTCCTTCATATTAGTACAAGCCAACAAATGTTTGTTCAGTTCTTGCTATTTACCAGGCACTATGGGAGATATACCTACTGCCTGTAAGGGGCTGCAGACCAACAGCATCAGTTATTGAAATTTTATATAAAAACATGAGACACCATATGTGAAAACCTGTAATCAGGGAGACTGTGCCCTGGAGTGGAGACCTAATGATTTTAGAGTACTTCGGATGGACCAGTAGTCCTGGCTTACTGTTAATAATAACATTTATTTAACACCTTGACTTTTGCTATAAAACAATTTTGCCCTGTTGAGAAAGGAATCATTGCAATATACAAGCAAAAGGTCCATATCAAGATACTGAGTACATAGCCCTTGAAGAAGGGAAGTAGTAACAGATATGAGATGTTATTTAGGTGGGAAGAAACATTGAAAATGGCTTTATTTCAATATTTCAAAACATTTCTTCCCTCTTCTGAAACCATTTTCCGAACGTGCCATTCACTTTGGGAGCTTCATAAAAAAAAAAAAGGCACCACTTTCAGCACGTTACAGCCTATTTCTTCATGCTCTTTCCTTTTTGACTTTCCTTCTCTTCCCTTTGTGCCACCTTACTTGAGTACCCCATCCTCCCATGCAGGCACACATGGAATTCCAAGTGTGGAAGCAAATTGCTGATGGACTGCAAATGATATTCTAATAGTTTTTAGCAGTTTAAGCTCTCTCTCTGTTAACATGTAGCTAATGCATAAAATGTTAATACTCCTTAAAAAGAACATATGTTACAATCTTAGTGCCTTGTCAGACAGACTCTAATCTGTTAGCAATTTTAGGCTGACAAAAGCTTGTTCTTGGCCCCATATCTGTCTCTACAGTTCTCTCCACTATATATCCTGTGCAAGTTCAAAGCATGATGATGACATTAGATAGCACACATGTTGGTTTCATTAGCTAGCTCTAAACTGTTTTATGTGAATGCACTAATTTCACTGTACAGAATTAACTAGGCCATATGGGTGTGTTCTGGTTGCCCTGATACATTCATTTTCTTCCACTCTGTTTTCCCCCTCTCTTTACTGACCCTGTGCATCCAAATCTGTAGTGATGGGGGAAAATTGATTGACTCAGAAAGTAGGGGATTGCGATGTAGTGATTTCACGCTCAGTTGTTGGCTAACAAGGCACCATAGTTTTTATTTAGTGAGCCCTGGTAGCAGGAGATGAAGAATTGTGTAGGGCCCAGCTGCCACGGTTACAGAGCAAGCAGCTTAAAGGGCTTCAGGGTTCCAAGTGTGAGGGGAATTGTCTCTTCTCAGCAGGTAAGGGATAGATCTAGGCAGAGTCTGTTGTGTTCAAGATGCTGACTGGCCTGGCCAATTCATAAATCCAAAAAATTACAACATCTTCTGGTCAGGAGGAAGTGGAAGGGACATTCAATGGTGCATTTAACCCTTTTAATGCCAGGATATAATACCTCTTGCCTGCTGGCTGTTTACGGGGGACATTTCGTGTTTAAAATATGTCTTTAAAATGTAATTTTCATTTCCAAGTCTCCTTTTAAATTAAAATAGATTAACCAATTAATTATCTATTTAGTGAAAGCTAGTTAGTCAATCCATTTACATTTGCTGCTCTCATATATTTACATGTATTTCAAACAGTTGTGATTTTTTTTTTCCAGATTGGTCTAAAAGGACTAGAAAGCCCTAAGGTTTATGTTCTCATTGTGTATGTGTGTGTTTCTACATGTGTTCACACACACCCAAACATATATAGGATCACACTAAATTTATACAAGTTTTTAAACACTTAAACTTTATTTAGTATATAATCATTTTTAGTAAGAATTTGGCCTTTACTCCATCTATGAAAAATAGTTGTTAAGTCAACAATGGTTCTGAAGAGAAACACAAAGGATAGGATTTGTCCTATTAGGAAAACTATTTTCAAGCATGTTAGAATTACTGTTAATATTCTGAGTCCAAGTGAGCCCAGGAAGGACCTCTAGTTGATGAAGTTAGCTTTCTTCTAGTTTCTATATATATTTAAGGATAATACATTTTTATCTCTTTAAAGAACATTAAAATTTAAATTTTGATTCAGATCTGTCAGGCCTTTTAGCCTGAAAGATAGATCTGAATCAAAATGAATTAGGTATTACTATAATAAATACAAGATTCCTATTTCTTATTTGCCTCATTAATGCATAAAGTATTTTTATTGTGTTTGTGTGAAGAACTCTGCTGAAGGACACAGATGTCATTATTAATATTTTCTATTTAATGCCTGCAGTGTCCCGAGGATTGTATATCCCATGAAGCAGACATAATTTATTCTTAAAACTGGAGTTCCCTTGGTGGGAATACTCCCTGTGTTTCTGCTTTAGTATTCAGCCTCTTGCTCTTACCCTTCTCATTCCCACACCCCAGTCTTTAGGCTGTCTCATAATTTGGGACTGAGAACTCAAAAGTCCCAGTTTCAAAGTGAGTCTGATTTGCTAACAGGTACAAGTCCAGTGGGAGCATCCTCATCACAGAATCCACTCATTTCAAATCATATCCCTGATACAGAATAGACCTATTAAAAGTGGCTTGTTGCTATTCAAATCCAGACAACTATGAATTTAATCATGCTCTCATTCATGCAAAACATAATTTCACCTGTTAAAAGCCTGAGCAAATGTAGTTAGCCTATAAAGTTGGGGGCTGGACCTGAGTTTCTCTAACTCCAGAGTTATGATGGGGTTTCATTTAAAACCATACCTTTTTTATTTCCTGACTTTTGTTTCTCTGGTTGATTTCTTAACAATGCTATTTTAAATAATATTTGCCATGCTTTTACAACAATCTAAATAGAAGCTGGTTTGGAATGACATCCCTCTTGGCGGTCCACATTTGGTTCTAAAAGGTCACTTGTGTTCATTGTATCATGGATGCAGAAAAGAAAAAATGCTTCCCTTTTCTCTGCATCTTCTGCCTTTGATCCATACTCATGCCTAGATGGGTGACAGAATTCAGTGGTAGCTAAATGCCTACATTTCATGGTCACTAAGATGGAGAAAGGAGTCTCAGTTTTGCCCACCTATGATGTAATGTTATAGCCCATCAAGCCCAAAACAGAAAAGTGAGGTAGTCTAAAGCAATGGAAATTAAGGCCAACATGAGATGGAACAGTCCTTGCAGTATGCAGACTCAGTTGGAGTTATACCCATGCATTACATAAAACCGAACTTGTGTGTTTGGGATTATGGTGTTCTTAAATGCTACCAATGGGCTTGGTTGGCTTTGTAAACCAGTCATACTTTCCTCATGTGGTTACAACTTCTCCAAAGCCTCACGGAAAAATTATAGCTCCCCACATAGACCGCTTATTCATAGTGTTGTGTCTTGTGAATCGTGGTATGATCTTTTGGTCTCCATAGAAACATAGCAACTTAAGAGTAATTTAGAATAGAGTGGGGAAGCATACCAACTAGAATTACCACTTGGGAATCACAATCAGTCAAAATTCTTTTTTGTCTCCTTCACTTATTTCATTACTAAATCATATAATATCAGAAATTACTATGATGGGTAAGAATTTCATTATATTACATTTTTGGGTTTACTTCTATGCATCTCTTAGCTATCTGGCAAAGCTAAGTGGATATAGAACATATTCTTTAGCTTTAATATTTATCTAATTCATTTCATTCATTGAATTATTTCTGGTGCTTATGTTGTGTTGCATTCATAAGTCATGTGAAAGTTGCTTCCAGAATTTTCTTCAAACAACCTGTACTTATTTTACATAAAGATTCATCTATTTCCTGTAATCTGTCATTTGTTCAATAAATCTTTATTGAGTACTATGTGCTATGTGCTGGGGCTGTAAAGCTTAGAAATAATTAGATATTATCACAGTGCTTAGGGAACTGACAAATGAGCAAGAGAGACATGCATGTAAAGTTGATATAGGTAGGAAGTGCTGTAGCCCAAGTGTGAAAAAATATGATGTAGGAGACAGAGAAGAGCAACTCAGGTTAGCATGTCAGCATTAAAACTCTAGCACATAAATGTGGGAAGCACTAGTAACACCATTTTCCTGATTTGCCTATGGTAAGAATGATCTTATATAATAACTATATGCCCCACAGGTTGAGTACCATTTTCCATGTATGTCAAGAACAGAAAGAAGCCCCAAATAGTTTATAGTATAAATAAGTCAAAGCTATGCTCTGAAGAATTCAAGGGAGAGATTGATACATCTGTTTCAGTGAGGGGTTAGAGATGGAGTGGAGCTGTGGCCAGCTGTAGGGCTGGTGGGAATGGATCAGGGCAGCATAGCTAGGAGACTGGCATGGCAGGGGTCAAAGATTCTCCTGGAAAGATGCAGACATGCATTGAAAAACTAACAAGAAGCCCTAGACTCAGGAACTTGAATTCTAGGCAGAGAAACTTTCAACTTGATGCAGCAAACAATAAGTATTTATAATAACAGATGCTGGTGAGGTTATGGAAAAGAAGGAATGCTTGTACAGTGTTGGTGTGAGTGTAAATTAGTTCCACCACTGTAGACGACAGTGTGGTGATTCCTCAAGGAGCTAAAAGCAGAACTGTCATTTGACCCAGCAATCCCATTATGCTCAAAGGAATATAAATCATTCTCTTACAAAGACACATGCACACATATGTTCATTGCAGCATTACTCACATTAGCAAAGACATGGAATCAACCTAAATGCCCACCAATGATAGACTAAATAAAGAAAATATGGCACATATACACCATGGAATACTGTGCAGCCATAAAAAAGAATGAGATCATGTCCTTTGCAGGGACATGGATGGAGCTGGAGGCCATTTTCTCTGGCAAACTAATGCAGGAACGGAAAATCAAATACTGGATGTTCTTACTTACAAGTCAGAAGTAAGTGATGAGAACACATGGACACATAGAGGGAAACAACACATACTGGGGCTTATCAGAGGATGGAAGATGGGATGAGGGAGAGGATCAGGAAAAATAACTAATGGGTACTAGGCATACTACCTGGGTAACGAAATAATCTGTCCAACAAACTCCCATGACACGAGCTTACCTATGTAACAAACCTGCATATGTACCCCTGAACTTAAAAGTTTTTAAAAAAAGAAAATTAAGTTGACAAAAAAACAAAAGTATTTATAGTTGTGTCTTTGAGCAGGGAAATTACACTATGGAAGTAGTGGGATTTGAATAACGTTTACTATGGGAGGGAGTTCTGACTGCAATGTGTAAATATGTTCATTGAAAAATTTTGCAAAAGCATGAAAATAAATCTCTTAAAGTCACCAAACCTCAGAAACAATTTTGATTTTAACATTTTTCCATCTTAACATTTTAATATATTTCCAGGTTTTAGGGGTTTTATTATTTGTCTTTGCTTTTTTTTTTTAAACAGAATTGGGGTTATACTTTACTTAACTTTTATAATCTCCTTTTTTTTCTGCTTAGTAAATCTTGAATATTTCCCCATGTCATCAAATCCTCTTCTGCTTGGTGTATTTTCCTTAATATGAATGTGCCACAGTTGTGTTTGGCCAACCATTGAACATTAAAGTTGTTTCCAAGTCCTAACTACATGATTCATGTTGCCATGAAGATCTCTGTATATAAATCTTTCCCTACATTGCTAATTATATCCTTAAGATACACTTTCAGAAATTTTAAGTCAAAATAAATTTCAAGCCAACAGATATGGATAATTAAGGTTGCTGGTACATATTGCCACCTTTAAAACACTTTTAGAAAAATTAAGTGGATATAGTATGCAGCACATCTTGGAAGAGAAATTCTGTGAGAAGCAATTCCATCTCAGATGGCTGGGTTCAAATCCTGGCTTCTCTTACTGTGTCACCTCGGTCAAATAACTTAATCTTTGTGCCTTGGTTTCTTCCTGTGTAATGAGATAATTCATTTGAAGCAATTAGAGCACTGCTTGGCACATTCTAGCTGACGTTATTGAGTTGTTGTTAGTATTATTATGGCAGTAATTTAGCTTTGAAATGATGAGAGCCTGGGTCAAATTAATGAGAAGAAAGATACAGAGAGAAATCTTTGACAAATCAGTCATATTTGGTGACTAATTGGCTATATAGGCCAAAGAAGGGAGATAAGTGAAAAAATGAGCCAAACGTTTTAAGCCTAGGGAAGTGGATGTTTCAGTGATGAAAGTGGCCTCTGGCTTAGGGCATACTGAAGTGGACACAGTGGGAGATGGACACAGGCTAGTGACTATAGATTTCAGGGTAAAGAACGAGGAAGGGCATGTTGATTTGGTAATGATCAGAAGTGAACTATTGACATGAAAATGGGTAGACTCCCAGGAAAAGTGAGGATTGAGAGGACAGGGCTTAGGATCCTAGACTGCTGGAGGAAAGTAGAGAGAAGGAACAGCAGGAAGGAAGACCAGCTAGCCAAGGATCTGAGAAGATGCCATTGCAGAGGTGAACAGAGAATCATAGTTGTGGGAACCATACAAGGATAAATGTCACAAAGAAGAGGGTAGTCAGCAATGCCAAATAGCAAAACGTCCAAAGGTGATGGGAAGTAAAGAAAATTACTAATTCTAGTTAATAAATGAAAGGTAAAAGAGTTTGCATTTTCTTTGTGTATTTCATGATGGTTCTTTTGTTCATTTTTTTCCTAGCTTCTCAAAACTTTCTTTGTGAATTTTAGTCACTATGTTTTATTGGTTGTTTTCAAACACAACTTAGAATTCTTTTTATTCCATTAGCCACATTTTAAGAAAACTTGTGAAGCAGTTAGTTCTCCAACTCACAGTGTAACAGATCTTTGTTTCTTATTCACTATCATCTTTGACACAGTTGCCTAAGCATTTGGTTCATGTAACCATTAAAAACACATGAACAAAAATACTAGAAAATAAACAAGATTGCAATGTTTTATACAATAATAACTTGCAAAGTCTCCCCTTTGAAACTGAGGCCATTTTTGTGTCATTGAAGTATAGTAGAATGACCCATTAACAAGATTTCTGTTGGGTTTATATATTAAAACAGATGAAATCATTTTAAACAAAATGTTAAAAGCATTTACTTCCTAGCTCAGGCTAAGCTTGATCCAAAAATTATTTAACATTTGTCCAAAATTTAAAAACAAAATAAAACTAAGTTTTGACCCCTAATTCACTTGCTGGGTAAAACCTGGAAAGACATTTTGAGATATAAAAACTCTATCACTAATTTAAAATCATTTTTAATTTCATTCCACTTTGTACCAGTTGATTTCCCATAATCAGTTCGCTGTTATTACATTTTAAGGCCTAGCTTGTTGGCACTCATTTATCACCTTCTAACTTTCTAAGTAACTTTGTCTGGAATAGGCCGCCAGACCTCTCATTAACTAGTTGCCCACTACTGGTGTTTCCCATCACCTTTAAAGTACAATTTGTTGTTTGTTTTTTAATTTAATTTGAAATATAATTTCCCTATAGACCTGGTCTACCTGACTTTGAATTAAATCATTCCAAGGTTGATTTTTCCCCAAAATATGTGGTTGGATAATTTTTAAATCTCTTCATTAAATTTGGCTTAAACTGTTCTTTGTCCTGTTTTCTATTACTTCTTGGTTGCCCAGCACAGCAATGAGCCCCGATGGATTCTTTAGAACGGCTGTTTGACAACGATTTAAGGAGGGAGTGAGGAGATCCTTTTCTTTTTTTTTTCTTCTCGCTCTCTCTTGCCTACAGCTGCTCTCAATATGGCTCACCATGACTGAAAGGAAATGAATAAAGATGAGTTATCGGAACTGAAAATCAGCCGCAGAGCAGAAGCAATTCGTACTCCCCAACCCATCCCCAAATCCAGTGGGGAAAAGGAAGTCATTGCCATCGTTTATTTATTCATATATTTTTAATGGTGGGAGGATTATTTTTTAAATCTTGTACCTATAAGTGGTGGCCATTTGGAGCATTTATGAAAAGCCATATGGTTTCAAATGAGATTCCCATCACATTCTCTGCATTTGAAACCATTTTATGCTGAGCCTCTTGGCAGGGTCCACACTTGGAGCATGAGCAGCCCCATAAAACACTGTAGACAAAACTGAAGAACATGCAAATAGCACTTAAGGAAATGTTGGGGGTTTGAAATGCCATTTTTGGATGGGCCTTCACTTGGATGATACAACTATATTTTATTTTAAGCAGCTATCATTTCCATATTTTGTGCATTACATGTCTCTAGGAATTAAATTCCATCCTTGTGACTTAGGTATCTTAAGTGCTCAGAGAGATTTCAAACAGGGAAACGTGGAAAAAGAGTTGGGAATTTGGCTCTGAATTAGGATGCAAAATAAAGTTCATCAGAGAGGTTGCTGAATCACACGTTTCATATTTTCTCTTTCTCTATGAGAAGAAAGAATGTGTGTATGAAAAGCAATTTCTTGCTAAAATTACGTCATGTCTCCTTAGATTTTGGAACATGAGCACCTAAACTCGGGCCGCAATCAGCTTATCCATGAAGAGCAAGAGGCTCACTGTGGCTTGATCCTCAAAGGCCCCATAGTGCTTCTAGTCATACTTCAGATTCATGTAGACCTGGGTTCAAATCCCAGCACATCACTTCTTGCTAACTGTGTGTCCATGGACAAGTGACTGAATCTCTCCAAGGCTCATTTTCTTCATTTACAAGTATGAATGATACTGCTAATCTTACAAAGCTGATGCTGTGAGTTAAATGAGAGAGGACAGATGTCAAATGCCTCCTATTACCTGAGAGGCATTGGGTCATTGTAGCATGGCCATTAGGAGTTCCAGTTCCGGAGTTAACTGTCCTGGTTTGAAAGCTTCTCTGACAGGTATTAACTTTGTGGCCTTGGGAAAGAAGCCCCCATTTCCCATCTAGAGAGTGACGGCAATCATACTCATATCCCACAGATGTATGATGAGAAGTGACTGTAATGATACATGTAAAGCTCTTAGACTAGCTCCTGCATGGCACATGGAAAGTTCTCCACACTCTCATTTGCTGACCTTGCAGGATGGTTGGGCAAATGGGCATTAGTATCTGTAATTCCTAGCATATAATGAATAAGCAGTATGTGGTAGCTGCTGCCCCTGTCATCCAGTGCCGAGTCCCACTTTACAATGAGTATTCTTGGTCAAATACCCTGGTCTATCATGGCCACAGGAGCTTCTGGTCTGGCACGTGCCATCTGGGATGCCACTGTATTTCTCAAAGCCATGATGAGTTTCATAACTCCCAAGAAACTTTTTTCTCAATATCCATTTGCCAAACATTTTTTATATAATATATTATATTATATACATTAATTATATACATTAAATATATATAAATATTTATATATAAACAGTATATATACATTATATACATTATACATAAATATACATTAAATATATTATACATTAAATATACATAAAATATATATAATATATTATATGTTTGGCAAATATATATTTTGTATATATAAGCTCCCATTCTGCAGCCTAGGCTGGAGTGCAGTGGTGCAATCTTGACTCACTGCAGTCTCGACCTCCCGCGCTCAAGCATTCTGCCCACCTCAGCCTGCCGAGTAGCTAGAACTACAGGCACATGCTATCATGCCCAGCTAATTTTTCTTTTTATTTTTTATACGCACAGGGTTTTGCCGTGTTTCTCAAGCTAGTCTCAAACTCCGCAGCTCAAGCGATCTGCCTGCCTTGACCTCCCAAAGTGCTGAGATTACAGGCCAAACATAGAAATTTTTGACATCCATTAGGTTGTTGCACTTCCAGACTCATTACAATGGAGATGTAGAATTTGTCACAATTTGCATTTTAATGGAATATGAAATATTCTCTAGTTTTGGAGAAGTTTTTCTGTGAAGTAATGTGTGCTTTCCAAGATAAGTATATTATAATGAAAATTGCCATAGAAAGGAAGACTGTGAGAGGTTGTTCTAAGGCAGGAATGTGAGTAAGTGGTCCCTCTACCCCGTCAGAGGTAAGGAATTGATGGTCAAAGGGTTGACATCTTTGTCCAGCTTAGATACAGTCAGGTCACAGGTGACATGTAATGCCCTGGCTGTCTAGAGGCAACCCCCCAAAAAGTTAGGTTCTTGAACTTTAGGGCTTGAAAAGAAAGTGGGAATTATGTTGTATTTCAATAATGTGCTTTTACCAGAAGGAAAAACAACTTTTAATATCTGTGAACACTTTATTTAATAGCCAACAAATGTGATATGTTGCTGATAGAAAAAATGTCTATTTCAATGTTGTGCTTCATGGTAATAGAACAAAGTAGAGTTGATATTGTAGTAACCAGGCTCCAAAAGTGTCATTCTAATGAAAAACAGCACTGTTTGGGCAAATATTTTCTGGCATCTTTATATTTCTTTTAACTGGAAACAGAGAACATGCTGGCTTGGTATCATGACTGTGGGATACTGTGTTTTCTAACAAAAAACAAATTGTGGAAACAATTTTGCCAAGAAAAATGAAGGTGATTAAAAGGTATGGAACCCAGTACTTCTGGCTGCTCACATCTAACAACTTCATGGCCATAGATTGGCCTGTTAACTAAGAGACTCAGCATGGTCATGCTGTTGCCTGCTCTTATTTTCTAAGATAACACTTAATCATCCTCTGTCTGCCTACTGCCTCAGTGGTGAAAATAAGCATTCTGTAGATATGAATAACTTAGCATCATGAGAATTATAAACACTTGGACATTTGGAAATGATATCTGAAATCTAAAATAGATCTAATTATCAATTACCCATAGCCAATTATTCAAGGTCCATATTATCTAAAGTGTTGGCCCAAGCTTGCTGTCTGGACCGATGGGAGCAGAGGATGTGCCCAGCAGCAAGGCGAAGTGGAGCTGGCCAATGGGCTCCAGACCACAGTAATCTCAATGAGCCGGGGAAGGAAACAACAATGGACAGAAAGCAGCTGTCTGAGTTGTGCATGACAACCAAGAGTCCGCCAGAAGTTAGGCGATGGGACCAAAACTGAGGTTACCAGCCCAGGACAGGAGGTTCCCAATGCGACTTGGTGGTGGGTTCTGGGGTATGGCCATGGTGGTGTTTATGGGACACCTGTACCCTCAGTCATGGATGGTGAGGGAGCTGTAGTGGCACGGCAATAGAGCTGCTGAGTTCTGGTGAGCTCGGTTTTCCTCTTGTTTTCAGCTTCTTAACAATATACTACCTTTTCAATGCATGAGTGTGATGGGAAGTCATTTTTACTGGTTAACAGCTAGGATTTGAATTTGTCTCAAGAAGCATACTGCTTTTGTCTGAAGAAATACTGATTAGAGATTATACTTAGGAATGTGATCCACTCAGATTGGGAAAATGAGATGATACAAAGATTTCCTTTAGAAAATCCGAATTACTTTGTTCAGGAGGGAGAAAATGAAGATGAAAGAAAATGAAAAATAATAGGGAGAAATGAATCATCTGAGTGTCAAAAGACCCTGTGCCCTCGGCTCTGCCTTCCCCATCATCAGCAAATTGCACTGGAAGCATCTAATGTGAGCTACAATTTATTGTGCATGGCCCATTCCAGCCCAGGCCCCTGAGAGCATAAGTACCACCTCCACCCTGGAATTTATAGATACCTTGGGGACTGTGGACTTCCCTGGGCTGTGGAATTGGCAGGGTCCCTACCAGTTTTACCCAGACTTAAAGAGCAGGAAAGTCCCCAATCACCATCTGGATAATATATGTATAAAGATTATGTTATGATGGGGGGGGATATAAATTCATATACATAGCCTGCAGTCTATAAATACTTGTACTGAAATGTTCTGTTCAACAGATTATTGAAACCTATAGCCAAAATTTGGTGTGTAGTTATCTATTGATTTTACTTGTCCACTTTTACAGGTAATCAAATATTTATACTATATATATTTTTAAAGATTTTCTTTCTCTGTTTCAAACTCCTTTTACTATATTCCATGCTTGCTATTTCCTTTTTATTTACTTTATTATAATATATTTAACAAGCCTAGTTATGTACATGGATGTTATGGGTTTTTCAGAATATAAGGGGTCACTACAAAATAATACAATTACTCTTACAGGCCCATACATTTAAATATCCTCATTTCTTTATTCTATAATTGCATTGTAAGCATTATATATTTATACAATTGTTTATCATGAGGCTGGAGGCAGCTCACAAATTTATATACAATACAAAATATAAAATAAATTATTGACTCTCTCCAGAGTCACTGATCTCTGGGAGCTCAGAGTTTAATTGGGAAGAGAAATGTGGAGACCCACATACACCTTGGAAAGGCGTATCAGCAGAGAAGCAATGTGAAAGAGATATGGGCAATTGGTGTCAAAATTCTGAACAGAGGGACACTGCCTCTGACTTGGAAGACTAATGGTGGAAGTGCATTTGATCTGGGTCTGGACGGGTTGATAGGATTATGGATATTGTGGTGTAGAGGTAGGGAGTAGACGGAGAGGATTCAGGAAGGAGCCTCCCAAGGCGCAGAATCAGTGGTGGGACAGCCAGGACATGCTATGATGGCAACACGGGCCAGAGAGTGGGTTTCTTAGAGTGGGATGTAAAGCCAAAAAACTGAATTTACTTCTTTTGGAAAGCAAGACATTTTCTGTATAATTCACAGTATATCCTGAGAAAAATCTGAGTGGTGAGGTTACTAAAATGCAAGGTTTATTGTTTAGAGCGGTGTGTTTTTCTACACTACCAGAGCAGAGTGAGAAATAATGTAATATTTTGATTACAAATAACAGCACAAGTTGTTTTCATGATAGGCTAATTTTAAAAATGGCTGCGGAGTGAAGGTTAAAAAATCATGCTTTTACAGTGAAGTCATCAATCTCTTCATTATTTTAGTTACATTCCCTTTTTAACAAATCCTTTCCTTTACTGTTTCAAAACATTTGAGGCAGACAACTTCTAATAATAAATGAATTCACATACACCTAAAATGACTTAAAATCTAAGAAATGATTGCAAAATAAATAGTTAAACTGAATATTAAAACAACAAAGCTATAAGATACTGCTAAATCCTTCTTGACATTCGGCACATAGCTAGAACATAATAAATAAAATATTAGTCTTAGACTTCCCCTCATTTGTGAATCAATAATTTCTAATAAAGTTCATGAAATGGCATGTCAACATGAAATTTAAGTACATTTTTAATATAACACTGAAGTAATAAAACCTACACGGAAGTCGAGAAAGTAGATTAGCTATTCTGCCCTCTCCAAGCTTGACACTTAGGCAAGAGTAACTTTTCTCTTGATATCTTAAATGTTTGTTATTTTTTAAAAACTAAGAAAGAGAGGCACATAAAAGTGTACAGTCACTGCCTTCTCTCACAGGCCAGTGGGATTAGCATGGACAGACTTTTGGAAAACCCTCAGTGGGGGACTTTGTAACACATGGAAACATTAGATTACATAAGGATTCTGACAATTTTCCCTTTTATGTATTAAATATTTATTTTTCAGATATTCTTAGTAATCATTTAAGCCTTGTATGGAAAGGAAGTAATTTTTGTGTTTCTCTGCTATGTTTAAATTTCTTTCACTCTCCCAGAAGGCTTCATGGCACAGGTGGAAAGAATGTTTTTGGGAATGGGGAAGGTGGGAGCTAGGAGACCCACTGGGAAGCTCACGCCTGGAGAGCGGTCAGTTCTGTGAAGGTGCCAGTGGAGGAACAAATGGGAGGAAGTCACGTTGAACTGGGCAGGAAACCGGGAAGGTTAGGGGAGGGAGAGGAGCCAGGCCCCAGGGCCAGCTGTTGGCCTATAGAGCATCTGTAGTGACAAAGAGCAAAGGCCGCAAGGTCAGACTACCAGAGTCAAGTCCCAGGCTTAGTACTTACTGACTCTGTAACTTCGGGAAGTCACTTACCCTCTCTACACTTCTGGTTCCTCATTTACCATATGAAGAAAATAATAGTCATATCTACCTCATAGTATCGTTGTGAGGATTACATTAAATAGATTGAATTAATACATATAAAGTATGTAGAGTGGAGACAGACACAAGGCACATGGTAAGCGATCCATAAACTTTAACCATAATTATTAGAGTTATAGGTGCTCTTAGGGAAGGGGCAGGTAGTTGGAGAGGGCAGCCTCAGCTTGGATGTGTGGTGTCGCTAGTGCCATCCCAACTCCTTTCTCTGGGAAATGTTGGGGCCCCTAAGTGCACAGTAATACCAGTTGTGCAGGCAGCACACTTATATAGTTGTTCCTCAGTTACCATCCCTGTCTTCAAAACACCAAATCTATCTGTATGTTCCTAAAACTAGCACTTGTATATAATTGTTCACACCACTCCCAATAGTGATGATGGGAGTTTCTCCCTGACCCACAAGGTATTAGATTGTATTAAATGTGTTGTACAAGCTTGTAGTAGGTGAAAGCAGCAAAGAAGATCTTCTTGCTGGATCATAGTTATATTATCCCCTCCAGCCCCAGAAATTGCTCTTCATGTCTATTCTGTGCTATTCATGTCTATTCTTCATGTCTTGCTGGTCCAGGCAGTTGGGAATAAATGGATGCAAGGAAGTGACTAGGTCCTTTAGAATCCAGCGCAAGATTTGACAAAGCTGCTGACGGTGTTGCAATGTAAGCGTTCCTAACAACAGGTCAGAGCTTTTAAATTGAGGAGTTTGGACTCAAGGGGAAAATATCACTGCAGTTACTCTGAATTCCTTTTTTAATATTTTTAATTGACAAATTACAATTGTATAGATGTATGGGGTATAAGGTGATGATTTGATACATGCATACAATGTGGAATGATTAAATCAAGCTAATTGACATATCCATCACCTCACTTACTTACCGTTTTTTGCATTGGAAATTTGAAATTTACTCTTACTTTGAAATACATAATACAGTATTATTGACTGTAGTCACCCTACTTGTGCAGTAGATCTCAAAACTTATTTCTCTTGTCCAGTTGAAACTTTATACCCTTTGACCAACAACTTCCTTTCCTCCCTCACCCTACCCCACTCCCAGCTGCTGGTAATATTCAGAATTATTAAGGAATAAGATGATCCATATGAAAAAAATTCTGGAAAAATTGAGTTTGTAACATTAGTTTTACAAATTAATTGTTATTATAACCATTTAGGCTAAGAAGATAGGTAGGCAATTGATTAAGGCTTTAGGGTCCAAGGCATGGGCTCAAGTTTTGCAATAACACCTACTAGTTGTGTGGTCATATTGGATTCATATTGCCTAAGACATAGTGGCCTCATTTTGAAATTATGAGTTGGATTTAAAACATCCACCTCGTAAGGAAACTATAAGGATAGATGCTTGACAGGGCACGTAGCATACAATATTACTTACATAGCAGAACGTTGGCAACACACTAAATGTCCAATAATAAGTGAATGGTTGAATAAATTACGGTATAGCTATATGATGTTCATTAGTTAACAAACCATTCTACCACTGATGAACAAGTGATTACAATCAGCTGAGATCCAAAACTATGAGGAAGTCTTAATTTTGTTGAGTGGAAATAATAATTACAATAATTAATATTTATATAGTGCCTATATGCCAGGCCCTATTAAAGTCCTGTACGTGTTACTCATTAAATCCTTACAACAACCCGAAGAGAGAGCTACTATCGTCAGCCCCATTTACCACATGAGGCTACCATGGCAAAGTAAAGATTAAGAAACATGTCCAGCTAGTAAGTGATCAGGCCAGAGTCAGGGTAAAGGAATTGGGGGATTTGTGTGTAGTTAGGAAGTAAGGAGGATGAAAGATGGCTCCTCCAGGTCTCATCAAGCTTTGTGATTTCCTAGACAAATGCAGGAAGATTTGGCTATGTTGCAGATGAATAAAACACACCATTATTACATTGTTGGCATAATAGCAGCTGGCCCGAAATACAAATGGAAACTGTCATACTCAGAGTGGAAAGCCCTTCCAGTGTCCAGACTGGCAGCAGATGATTCTGCACTCCCAATATCCAGTTGTAGACTGTTTTCTGCCTGCCTGCTCTACACTGCCTGCCTTTATTGAACACAAACTGTGACGTACTGAAGAAATCCAAGATAAATTTGTAAAACATCATGTCAGTCCCTTTCTAGTCCCAGTATCCCCTGGTGATCCAAGGTTGGGGTCTAAAAAATAGAACAGAAAAAAGAAGAGGAAACAGACACTAACTTGCCACAGATACACATAGAGTGAAGGAGATATTTTTGTTTAAAAGACTGACAGCTGAGAAACAGTTATTTGATCCCTGCTGCTTGAGGGACAGTAGGGAAAGAAAGGTATTTTTGTGATCGCTCTTCAGCGTTCCCTATGCGGCCTGGTTCATACAGTCACAACAAAAACCCACGCTCTAATAGTACATTGCAACCAACCACAGATATGTTGCAAGCATTATGCACAGTAGTAACTAACATTCAGTTTCCTTTTGATTACTTCCAGGCCTGTGACATTTAGATTGTTGCACATTTCTTCCAACCTCAGAGCATTCAGAGTCAACAGCGTACATCTAATAATCATGTGCTGACATAGAAACTGTAAGGAGTTTGTGCCATTTATCTGTCTTTCATCACACTAAGGGTAACAGAGCAAATGAGCACCGTGTTAGGAGTCCAAATACATGAGTTTTGGGCTAAACCTTGTCACTAACTAGCTGTGGCCTTGAGCATGCCATTTAATCTCCGTGGGGCCTCTGGTTCCCTTTTGTGGAATGAGGAGAGAGTTTTGGGTCTCCAGGACTCCTTTCAACTCCAGTGTTCTGTACTAAGTCATCAGTGAGTTCTGGCTAGTAATAGTTTCAAAAGGTAATAGTGCTCATCACATTCCACCGAGTAAAATCATAGAGCAGAAACACCAAGAAAGTGGACATCCCAGCTGCTTTTAACGTTTACTCATCAACAGGGCTTGGCTCAAATAGTTCTGAAAGTAATCCATGCATAACATTTCTGAAAGGGGAAGTAAGAATGTCATCTTGCATTTGAACATTTTAAATGTCAAACCCTCTGCATTGTTAGTATTTATAAAGTTATCTCTATGGCATTATCACTATCAAAGTAATCAATCATAGATTTATTGAGAAATATAAACATCAATGTTTTTTATCTCACCTAAGTATTTTCTGTGCTAAATTTTATTCTGTTGCAGCATACTTGACAATTAGTGATTTGTAGGCTTGGTTAGCACATGCATACTTTTTAAGCAAACTAATGTAATGTGAGAGAACAGTTTTCAGTATTTCCCTCTATTGGTATTTGTGGGTGCCCTTCAAACTACTACACCAAGCTACACAAACCAACTATCACAAATGGACTGTTTGCCAAATGCCTGCTTCCCTAGTAAGGAGGCAACGTGTTACTGACACCCTTATGTGTAGAAGGTCTTATGTAGAGAGACTTATGAAATGCATATCTGGATTCCTATATTTTTTCACTGAAGTCTAACAAATTCATGTAGTCAAATCTTAGGAAAGGAAGTGTGTTTGGTAGTTTGAGCCTGCTGTCTTTACAGGCTCAGTGTGTCTTCTGTGAAAGACCAAATATCATCCCAGTGGACCTGACCTAGTTGAACATAAATACACCATTGAGGAGCTACTGGCTTCAGAATTAATAAAATGTATAAATAAATAGGATGGCCTTGTGAAGAGGCTAAACTTGAAGTGCCTATTAATTAATTTTTTAAAAAGAAAAACAGCAGCTTATAGCTACTCTACTGATACATTAATCTATGAAATGAAATTGTATCATAGAAAGCATTCAGATTATTTATATTATTCGTATTTTATAAGATTTTTAAATGTGTTTAACCTAGAAGGGATCATAATGCAGAGCCTTATGCTTTTCATAAGATACTGATAGAGTGTAGAGGCATCCGAGTAATTTGGCATTTTCGCTTTTTATTCATAAGGCCCCTGAGTATGTGTGAATGTGTTTGTAAATATATCTCAATTTCAGTTTTTGTCATTCAGAGAATATACAACAGTTCTTCTGACTAGTCCCAACAACACAACCCAATGTGTGTCTGAATTGATCACTATTTTAAAATCTAGAGAGCTGGGCAGTCTCTGTGCTCTTGGGCCTGCAGGTGAAGCTCATTAAAGAATCAATCACCAGTGAGGGCAACCGCCCAGGCCCTCACTTCATTTGATAATATTATCCAGAAAAGAGGAATATTTTTCAGTTCTTTCTCACCTAGGCAGAATTTTGAGAAGTAACCATGAAAGATGAGACTGAGAGTTATAATTGGGCCTTTAGTATAGACAAATTGTACTGTGTCGTTTTAGTTTTTATTTTAAATCCCCCTAAAAGGTCACTGGATACAAAGACAATCTCTGAGTTTATTGAAGGGAAAGCCACAAAGCTGTTATATACAGCTCTATCTATGCCTATTTGTATTTCACAGTCTTTTGTCACCGAACAACACACAGACAAAATGGAATTCAATCTCAGAATTTCTTTACTGTCTTCTAAAGATTTTCTTCATGGACTTGTTTCCAACCAACGTTGAAAAATAGTTCTAATTTTTTAAAAAAGGAGAAACAAAGGGCTCTCCACATTTGCCTTATTATATGACGTCTTTTCTGCACTCACAGTAGCAAATGTTAGAAGTACATTTCAAGTTGCAATTCACCTGGATAAATGTCAACATGAGGCCATAAGGTAGCTTTTCAGCTTCCTCTCCTGGAAAGTGCTTTGGACATGGCAGCCATTGCTACATTCACACTGAAACAGCTAACTGCCCAGCTGATTGTTCTTATATAATGTAGATAGGGTCATGGCTCCAACGTGAGCCAGTCTCAGTGCGCATGTTGGAGTTATTTCCTGGGTGACTAATTAGCTCTCAACCTGGTATCTTCATTTTGGATCCCAAATGATCCAAGTGGACACCATGATGTTGCCCCCAAATAATAGATGGCTTCAGGCCCTCTGATGCAAAGAGAGGCCGTACAGCCGACTGCCTACATGTGAATGCTAGGTTTGCCATTTTGTTGCTGTGCAAATCACTTAACCTCTTAGGAAATAATATTTTCATCTTAAAAAAATGGGAAAAGAATAGTGTCTACCACATAGGGTAAAAAATGAAATTGTTGTGTAGAAGGTAGTTGGCTGTTCACATTTTACAAGATTAGAAAATGTATTTAACCCAAAGTGAGATTATAATGCAGAGCCTTATATTTTGGAAGAGGGTGCTATAACCTAAAAACTGATAATTGGGGCCGGGCATGTTGGCTTATGCCTGTAATCCCAGCACTTTGGGAGGCCAAGGTGGCTGGATCACGAGGTCAGGAGATCGAGACCACCCTGGCCAACATGGTAAAACCCCGTCTCTACTAAAAATACAAAAATTAGCTGGGCGTGGTGGCGCACGTCTGTAATCCCAGCTACTCGGGATACTGAGGCAGGAGAATTGCTTGAACCCGGGAGGCGGAGGTCGCAGTGAGCCGAGACCATGCCACTGCATTCCAGCCTGGCGACAGTGTGAGACTCTGTCTCAAAAAAAAAAAAAAAAGATAATTGGGCCACTTTACATATGGTTATGTGAATTAAATAAATTAACTTTTGTAATGTAGTTAGAACAGGGCCTGGCACATAGGAAACATTTTGTTAGTATTAGTTATCATTAACATAAATTCAGGTATATATTTATTACAGTCAAGAAACCTCTTACAGAGTTATAATTGAGAAATTAAAATATAACACAAATTTTTAAAGCTGTTTAAAGTTTCACCTTACTTGCCAGGCATGATGCTATTCACCTTTTATCTATTATCTTTTTAAAGATTATATGATGCATTGGGGAACATGAATTTTTCTCTCTTAAAAAGAAATTAAACAATAGGTAATAAAGGAGCAGATGTTTTCTATTTTACATGTAGACCAAATATCCACTAACACAAGTTACATTTTATTTCTTAATTAAGTATCACACTTTATACCATCATGCTTCATACCTCTCAACATTTTAAAAGTCTTTTCTCATTTAGGAATTCATTTTTTATTAACGGGTTTTGAGATGTAGATAAGACAAGGGAGATTATTATTTTCAATTCACAAATGAGGACATTAAAGTTTTGTGAAACTGAAGGGAAGTGACCATCCAGAGTCATAAAACAAGTTCATGGTCCAGGATCACAGCCATGATCCGGCCCCCTCCCCCTCCACTGTGCTGGGCCGTGGACTCATCTGCTTCATACACATCTGCTGAACAGTTATTTCCAAGCACTGAATAGAAACCATCAGCCTCGCATGTTTTCCATAGCTGTTGATTGTGCTCCTACTCTTCGTTCATCTTGTGGATAATAAATCCATCCATTTAAAGACAAGAAGAATTCAGTGTTCAGCTATGGTCTGCTACACACATGTCCACTTTCCTTACATTTTCTTTGAACAGAACACAGTAAAATCTATTGTACAGCTCACCGGCGTGATACCGCTTTGATAGACACCGAGTGACCTAATATACACACTCCAGTGTACTCTAATCTGTGGTCTCCCAGCTCCCACTCGGCAGGAATTCTGAGATGTTGATGGAACCCCATGATTTAACAGAGCAGCTGGGCTGCCCTTTCACCCCTCACACTGGTTCTGACAGCTGCCTGCCATGTGTAGAGAAAACCTCACAGGCTGAAACCCTGTCACAGAGTAAAGGTCCTTGAATAAACATACAAGCATGATCATGCTACTACTCTAAAATTAAATTGTTTTTTTAAACTGAATTTGCAGTAGGGACATTTTACAGCTGAAGATCTAAAGCACCCCAAAGCGGGCCAAGTACCCTCTCCCTTTAAAAATAAAACAAAATAATACACACAGTAAGCCTGGTCTTGTTCACACTTATTTGAGTTACCAGTTTTTCCTCAAGTGGATTAAGCCAATTTACCAATGACCAGGTTTTTCTACTCTGAAACAGTAACAAGCCTGCCAGAAATGATGTGCAGCATTTTCCTGGCTTAGTTCAGAAACTCGATTTGTGTTTAAGCTGTCAATTTAATCCACACTGCCTTTTTACTTTTATCAGGATATTCTTCAGGTAGAAAAGAATGGAGGGAGGCTTTAGGCATGACTACCGTCCTAAGTATAAAGTTGGTTAAAAAAACAAAAATCCCTACTCGGCCCAAATAGCATTGTGCTTTATAATTCATTCTTTTCACATACAGTACCCTGCGTTATCATGGCTAATGTTTTCCTGCTGAGCTGCCATCATCTTTTGTCAAGCTGTCAGGGTTTTAAATTGAGGTACCTTCCACATTTGGATAGAGGTCATTATCCTGTTGCCTGGTTGCATTGCCTCTGCTGAGCAGGTTAACTGCTTGAGGTCTTTTATCTAGATAAATGTTTTGCCAGCACTTTTGCTCTGTGATGACACGAGCTGTTCCTTAGAGGTCAAATAGTGATGCTATGATAAGTTGTTCCCCGTGTGTTCACAGATATGGAAAGGACTGGAGTCCAAACTTCATTAATAGTCCTAAAAATAATAATAAATGCTCATTTTAGCATATTTCTCCACAAGATACTGGATTTTGGGGCTCTTTTAACATTCCCTACATGCTAATTTTATATACTGGGAAAAATAATGCCTTTTAACTATTTTATTGTTTCAGTATCATGAATGACTCCACCAAGTGTGTCCGAATCTACTGCTTAGTTCTGATGATGGCAGAAATAAATCAATGTGGGTGTGTGTAATAATAATGTATATTGTTATTTGCATGGGTTACCATTATTAAAATAATATTTAGAGTGAAGACCATGATATTTGACACCTTGGTACTCCTGTCCACATAGAAAAATTATTTTTAAAGTGGAGAGATAGAAATAAATCATTTCCCCTCAGTGAAAATTGATTTGTTAATTAAAAATAATTTTGATTAGCTTGTATTCAATTATTTACAATGAAGAATACCAAATAAAAAGGAAAATAATTTTAAATGATTTTGTCATAACCAATTAACTTTTACAAAAAACTCGTTTGTAAATTCTGTTTTCAATCTTTTTTTTTTTCTTTTTTTTTTTTTTTGAGACACAGTCTCACTCTGCCACCCAGGCTGGAGTTCAGTGGCATGATCTCAGCTCACTGCAACCTCCACCTCCCGGGTTCAAGTGATTCTTCTGCCTCAGCCTCCTAAGTAGCTGGGACTACAGGTGTGCACCACCATACCCAGCTAATTTTTGTATTTTTTAGTAGAGACAGGGTTTCACCATGTCAGCCAGGCTGGTCTCAAACTCCTGACCTCAGATGATTTGGTGATCCACCCACCTCAGTCTCCCATCAATCCAATTTTTAAAAACTGGCTTTTCCGGGCTGGGTGCAGTGGCTCACACCTGTAATCCCAGCACTGTGGGAGGCCGAGGCAGGCAGATCACAAGGTCAGAAGATTGAGACCATCCTCGCTAACACAGTGAAACCCCATCTCTACTAAAAATACAAAAAAATTAGCTGGGCGTGGTGGCGGGCGCCTGTAATCCCGGCTACTCAGGAGGCTGAGGCAGGAGAATGGCTTGAACCCGGGAGGTGGAGCTTGCAGTGAGCCGAGATCGCGCCACTGCACTCCAGCCTGGGTGACAGGGCAACACTGCATCTAAAAAAAATTAAAAAATAAAAATAAACTGACTTTTCCATTTGAAGCAGACTTCATCTCCATATTTGCTATGACTAGTGTTGTTATATGAACTAAAAGATGCTTTTATTAGTATGTAGAATAATGTTTTTTAATATTGGAGAAAATACCACTTGAAACTATGGTCTCTTAAAATGTAAGCACATAAAAACACATGGAAATAACTTTCTTGACACTACATAATTTGAGGCCAAACTTCTCTGCTCAGATTTAATCTTTGACTAACTCATTTTCTAATGGATGGTTTATTTAGTGTTGTCTTTTGTTTTTTGTTTTTTTGAGATGGAGTCTCACTCTGTCGCCGAGGCTGGAGTGCAGTGGCATGATCTCAGCTCACTGCAACCTCCACCTCCTGGATTCAAGCGATTCTTCTGCCTCAGCCTCCCAAGTAGCTGGGACCACAGGGATGCACCACCACACCCAGCTAATTTTTGTATTTTTAGCAGAGACCTGGTTTCACCATGTTGGTTAGGCTGGTCTCGAACTCCTGACCTCAAATGATCCACCCACCTCGACCTCTCAAAGTACTGGGATGTGAGCCACTGCACCCGGCCCATATTTAGTGCTGTCTTTTAAAAATGTGTACTGTTATTTTCTACAGTTGATTAGATTTTTAAATTGTTTTATGATAGAGGATCAGTTGTGTGCAGTCCACAAATTTTATCATAAAACAAAATTTAAATCCTGCCTAGAGGTAGCATCTTATTATTGTGCTTGGGTTTATGAGGTTAAATGCAGTGATAAATTTATTCACTTACCCAGTAAGATCTGTTAAGAGGTATAGAGACAAACATGAATGAGACAGAGTCCCACCTTCACTGGAAGATTCTGAATTCTCTTTCATATCCATTATTTATTATTTGCGTAGTTGCCCAAGCTAGAAAGCTCAGTATCTTCCATGACTTGCCGCATCTTTTAACCAGACATTAAGTGAGCCACCAGGACCTGTTCATTTGCCTCCTAAATATTGTCTTAAAATCCATTTTCTCTCCTCCACCCCCCATTGTCTGGTCGCCTTAGCTGAGGCCCTCTTTATCCTTCATCTGCTTCCTAAATGGACTTCCTCCCTCTGGTTATTCCTACTCCTTACCACTGCCCATTTTCCTCACTGCTAGAAGATATTTATTTCCAAAACTCCAAATCTAAGCAGTCACTTCCTGATTAGAAATGTTCCAGTGGGTCCCATAGGCTAGATGGTGAAGTAAATAATTCAGAGGGCTGCATGATCTGTCCCTGATTGCTCTTTCCACCTAATCCCTAAAACCCACTCTGTGTTCCCCACACACAGTTGCTTGGGGTACAGAACATGCCTCACTCTCCTGTTCCACCAGACTGAGCTCCCTACTGTGGAAATGCCGTCCTTCCTTATTCTCTTAGACTTATTTCTCTAAGAAGCCTTTTTTTCACTTCTCCAGGAAGAGGTAATTGTTCTTCCTCTTTGACCTTGTACCTTACTCTTTCACTCACATCAGATTTTATTTTTATTAATTATATGTCTCCCCCATGAAATTATGAATTCCTGTTAGGTATGTTTCACATCCCATTCCTGTAGTTTTTGAACGAGGATGAAGGTACCCCTCATGCCCAAACTTTCTTAATTTTCCCATGTTGTTCTAAAATTCATCTGCTTGAGAATACCTGCTGCTCCTTCTTTTCTAATGGCCTTTCTTCTCCTTTACCAAAGAAAATGTCATCTGTCCCCATCTTACTGGGTAGAATTGTCTTGAGCTGTGCAAACTTCCATATAACAAACAAAAGGTTACATTCACTTACTGGTGTCAGAAAAGCCTCCATGTAATCAAACCAGGTTCATTCTAGCAGTTAGTACTTATTCTGTTCTTCCAGGGATGCATCAACTAAGTTGGGGAGAAGAGAAGTCATCCTCATTCACCTCATTAAGAGGTACATTCCCAATTAAAGTCCAGTTTTGGGGTGCGATGGCACACTCCTGTCATCCCAGCTTCTAGGGAGGTTGGAGCAATGGGATCACTTGAGCCCAGGAATTCAAGACCAGCCTGGGCAAAAGAGTAAGACTGCATCTCTTAAAAAAAAAAAGGTGGGGAGGAGCCAAGATGGCCGAATAGGAACAGCTCCGGTCTATAGCTCCCAGCCTAAGCAACGCAGAAGACTGGTGATTTCTGCATTTCCATCTGAGGTACCGGGTTCATCTCACTAGGGAGTGCCAGACAGTGGGCGCAGGTCAGTGGGTGCATGCACCGTGCGCGAGCCGAAGCAGGGCGAGGCATTGCCTCACTTGGGAAGCACAAGGGGTCAGGGAGTTCCCTTTCTGAGTCAAAGAAAGGGGTGACGGACGGCACCTGGAAAATCGGGTCACTCCCACCCCAATACCGCGCTTTTCCGATGGGCTTAAAAAACGGCTCACCACGAGATTATATCCCGCACCTGGCTCGGAGGGTCCTACGCCCACGGAGTCTCGCTGATTGCTAGCACAGCAGTCTGAGATCAAACTGCAAGGCGGCAGCGAGGCTGGGGGAGGGGCACCCGCCATTGCACAGGCTTGATTAGGTAAACAAAGCAGCCAGGAAGCTCCAACTGGGTGGAGCCCACCACAGCTCAAGGAGGCCTGCCTGCCTCTGTAGGCTCCACCTCTGGGGGCAGGGCACAGACAAACAAAAAGATAGCAGTAACCTCCGCAGACTTAAATGTCCCTGTATGACAGCTTTGAAGAGAGCAGTGGTTCTCCCAGCATGCAGCTGGAGATCTGAGAACGGGCAGACTGCCTCCTCAAGTGGGTCCCTGACCCCTGACCCCTGAGCAGCCTAACTGGGAGGCACCCCCCAGCAGGGGCACACTGACACCTCACACGGCAGGGTATTCCAACAGACCTGCAGCTGAGGGTCCTCTCTGTTAGAAGGAAAACTAACAAACAGAAAGGACATCCACACCAAAAACCCATCTGTACATCACCATCATCAAAGATCAAAAGTAGATAAAACCACAAAGATGGGGAAAAAACAGAACAGAAAAACTGAAAACTCTAAAACGCAGAGCGCCTCTCCTCCTCCAAAGGAACACAGTTCCTCACCAGCAACGGAACAAAGCTGGATGGAGAATGACTTTGACGAGCTGAGAGAAGAAGGCTTCAGACGGTCAAATTACTCTGAGCTACAGGAGGACATTCAAACCAAAGGCAAAGAAGTTGAAAACTTTGAAAAAAATTTAGAAGAATGTATAACTAGAATAACCAATAGAGAGAAGTGCTTAAAGGAGCTGATGGAGCTGAAAACCAAGGCTCGAGAACTACGTGAAGAATGCAGAAGCCTCAGGAGCCGATGCGATCAACTGGAAGAAAGGGTATCAGCAATGGAAGATGAAATGAATGAAATGAAGTGAGAAGGGAAGTTTAGAGAAAAAAGAATAAAAAGAAATGAGCAAAGCCTCCAAGAAATATGGGACTATGTGAAAAGACCAAATCTACGTCTGATTGGTGTACCTGAAAGTGATGTGGAGAATGGAACCAAGTTGGAAAACACTCTGCAGGATATTATCCAGGAGAACTTCCCCAATCTAGCAAGGAAGGCCAACATTCAGATTCAGGAAATACAGAGAACGCCACAAAGATACTCCTTGAGAAGAGCAACTCCAAGACACATAATTGCCAGATTCACCAAAGTTGAAATGAAGGAAAAAATGTTAAGGGCAGCCAGAGAGAAAGGTCGGGTTACCCTCAAAGGGAAGCCCATCAGACTAACAGCGGATCTCTCGGCAGAAACCCTACAAGCCAGAAGAGAGTGGGGGCCAATATTCAACATTCTTAAAGAAAAGAATTTTCAACCCAGAATTTCATATCCAGCCAAACTAAGCGTCATAAGTGAAGGAGAAATAAAATAGTTTACAGACAAGCAAATGCTGAGAGATTTTTGTCACCACCAGGCCTGCCTTACAAGAGCTCCTGAAGGAAGCACTAAACATGGAAAGGAACAACCGGTATCAGCTGCTGCAAAATCATGCCAAAATGTAAAGACCATCGAGACTAGGAAGAAACTGCATCAACTAACGAGCAAAATAACCAGCTAACATCATCATGACAGGATCAAATTCACACATAACAATATTAACTTTAAATGTAAATGGACTAAATGCTCCAATTGAAAGACACAGACTGGCAAATTGAATAAAGAGTCAAGACCCATCAGTGTGCTGTATTCAGGAAACCCATCTCACGTGCAGAGACACACATAGGCTCAAAATAAAAGGATGGAGGAAGATCTACCAAGCCAATGGAAAACAAAAAAAGGCAGGGGTTGCAATCCTAGTTTCTGATAAAACAGACTTTAAACCAACAAAGATCAAAAGAGACAAAGAAGGCCATTACATAATGGTAAAGGGATCAATTCAACAAGAAGAGCTAACTATCCTAAATATATATGCACCCAATACAGGAGCACCCAGATTCATAAAGCAAGTCCTGAGTGACCTACAAAGAGACTTAGACTCCCACACATTAATAATGGGAGACTTTAACACCCCACTGTCAACATTAGACAGATCAATGAGACAGAAAGTCAACAAGGATACCCAGGAATTGAACTCAGCTCTGCACCAAGCGGACCTAATAGACATCTACAGAACTCTCCACCCCAAATCAACAGAATACACATTCTTTTCAGCACCACACCACACCTATTCCAAAATTGACCACATACTTGGAAGTAAAGCTCTCCTCAGCAAATGTAAAAGAACAGAAATTATAACAAACTATCTCTCAGACCACAGTGCAATCAAACTAGAACTCAGGATTAAGAATCTCACTCAAAACTGCTCAACTACATGGAAACTGAACAACCTGCTCCTGAATGACTACTGGGTACATAATGAAATGAAGGCATAAATAAAGATGTTCTTTGAACGCAACGAGAGCAAAGACACAACATACCAGAATCTCTGGGACGCATTTAAAGTAGTGTGTAGAGGGAAATTTATAGCACTAAATGCCCACAAGAGAAAGCAGGAAAGATCCAAAATTGACACCCTAACATCACAATTAAAAGAACTAGAAAAGCAAGAGCAAACACATTCAAAAGCTAGCAGAAGCAAGAAATAACTAAAATCAGAGCAGAACTGAAGGAAATAGAGACCAAAAAAACCCTTCAAAAAATTAATGAATCCAGGAGCTGGTTTTTTGAAAGGATCAACAAAATTGATAGACTGCTAGCAAGACTAATAAAGAAAAAAAGAGAGAAGAATCAAATAGACACAATAAAAAATGATAAAGGGCATATCACCACCGATCCCACAGAAATACAAACTACCATCAGAGAATACTACAAACACCTCTATGCAAATAAACTAGAAAATCTAGAAGAAATGGATAAATTCCTCGACACATACACTCTCCCAAGACTAAACCAGGAAAAAGTTGAATCTCTGAATAGACCAATAACAGGAGCTGAAATTGTGGCAATAATCAATAGCTTACCAACCAAAAAGGGTCCAGGACCAGATGGATTCACAGCCGAATTCTACCAGAGGTACAAGGAGGAACTGGTACCATTCCTTCTGAAACTATTCTAATCAATAGAAAAGGAGGGAATCCTCCCTAACTCATTTTATGAGGCCAGCATCATTCTGATACCAAAGCCAGGCAGAGACACAACCAAAAAAGAGAATTTTAGACCAATATCCTTGATGAACATTGATGCAAAAATCCTCAATAAAATACTGGCAAACTGAATCCAGCAGCACATCAAAAAGCTTATCCACCATGATCAAGTGGGCTTCATCCCTGGGATGCAAGGCTGGTTCAATATATGCAAATCAATAAATGTAATCCAGTATATAAACAGAGCCAAAGACAAAAACCACATGATTATCTCAATAGATGCAGAAAAAGCCTTTGACAAAATTCAACAACCCTTCATGCTAAAAACTCTCAATAAATTAGGTATTGATGGGACGTATTTCAAAATAATAAGAGCTATCTATGACAAACCCACAGCCAATATCATACTGAATGGGCAAAAACTGGAAGCATTCCCTTTGAAAACTGGCACAAGACAGGGATACCCTCTCTCACCACTCCTATTCAACATAGTGTTGGAAGTTCTGGCCAGGGCAATCAGGCAGGAGAAGGAAATAAAGGGTATTCAATTAGGAAAAGAGGAAGTCAGATTGTCCCTGTTTGCAGACGACATGATTGTATATCTAGAAAACCCCATTGTCTCAGCCCGAAATCTCCTTAAGCTGATAAGCAACTTCAGCAAAGTCTCAGGATACAAAATCAACGTACAAAAATCACAAGCATTCTTATACACCAACAACAGACAAACAGAGAGCCAAATCATGAGTGAACTCCCATTCACAATTGCTTCAAAGAGAATAAAATACCTAGGAATCCAACTTACAAGGGATGTGAAGGACCTCTTCAAGGAGAACTACAAACCACTGCTCAAGGAAATAAAAGAGGATACAAACAAATGGAAGAACATTCCATGCTCATGGGTAGGAAGAATCAATATTGTGAAAATGGCCATACTGCCCAAGGTAATTTATAGATTCAATGCCATCCCCATCAAGCTACCAATGCCTTTCTTCACAGAATTGGAAAAAACTACTTTAAAGTTCATATGGAACCAAAAAAGAGCCCGCATCACCAAGTCAATCCTAAGCCAAAAGAACAAAGCTGGAGGCATCACACTACCTGACTTCAAACTATACTACAAGGCTACAGTAACCAAAACAGCATGGTACTGGTACCAAAACAGAGATATAGATCAATGGAACAGAACAGAGCCCTCAGAAATAACACCGCATATCTACAACTATCTGATCTTTGACAAACCTGAGAAAAACAAGCAATGGGGAAAGGATTCCCTATTCAATAAATGGTGCTGGGAAAACTGGCTAGCCATATGTAGAAAGCTGAAACTGGATCCCTTCCTTACACCTTATACAAAAATGAATTCAAGATGGATTAAAGACTTAAACGTTAGACCTAAAACCATAAAAACCCTAGAAGAAAACCTAGGCATTACCATTCAGGACATAGGCATGGGCAAGGACTTCATGTCTAAAACACCAAAAGCAATGGCAACAAAAGCCAAAATTGACAAATGGGATCTAATTAAACTAAAGAGCTTCTGCACAGCAAAAGAAACTACCATCAGAGTGAACAGGCAACCTACAAAATGAGAGAAAATTTTCACAACCTACTCATATGACAAAGGGCTAATATCCAGAATCTACAACAAACTCAAACAAATTTACAGGAAAAAAACAACCCCATCAAAAGGTGGGCGAAGGACATGAACAGACACTTCTCAAAAGAAGACATTTATGCAGCCAAAAAACACATGAAAAAATGCTCATCATCACTGGCCATCAGAGAAATGCAAATCAAAACCACTATTAGATACCATCTCACACCAGTTAGAATGGCAATCATTAAAAAGTCAGGAAACAACAGGTGCTGGAGAGGATGTGGAGAAATAGGAACACTTTTACACTGTTGATGGGACTGTAAACTAGTTCAACCATTGTGGAAGTCAGTGTGGCGATTCCTCAGGGATCTAGAACTAGAAATACCATTTGACCCAGCCATCCCATTACTGGGTATATACCAAAGGACTATAAATCATGCTGCTATAAAGACACATGCACACATCTGTTTATTGCGGCATTATTCACAATAGCAAAGACTTGGAACCAACCCAAATGTCCAACAATGATAGACTGGATTAAGAAAATGTGGCACATATACACCATGGAACAATGATAGACTGGATTAAGAAAATGTGGCACATATACACCATGGAATACTATGCAGCCATAAAAAATGATGAGTTCATGTCCTTTGTAGGGACATGGATGAAACTGGAAATTATCATTCTCAGTAAACTATCACAAGAACAAAAAACCAAACCCCGCATATTCTCACTCATAGGTGGGAATTGAACAATGAGATCACATGGACACAGGAAGGGGAATATCACACTCTGGGGACTGTTGTGGGGTGGGGGGAGGGAGGAGGGATAGCATCGGGAGATATACCTAATGCTAGATGACGAGTTAGTGGGTGCAGCGCACCAGCATGGCACATGTATACATATGTAACTAACCTGCACGATGTGCACATGTACCCTAAAACTTAAAGTATAATTAAAAAAAAAAAATGCAGCCCGGCGCAGTGACTCACGCCTGTAATCCCAGCATTATGGGAGGCCGAGGTGGGCGGATCACGAGGTCAAGAGATGGAGAACATCCTGGCTAACACGGTGAAACCCCGTCTCTACTAAAAATACAAAAAAATTAGCCGGGCGTGGTGGCGGGCGCCTGTAGTCCCAGCTACTTGGGAGGCCAAGGCAGGAGAATGGCATGAACCCAGGAGGCAGAGGTTGCAGTGAGTGGAGATTGCACCACTGCACTCCAGCCTGGGCGACAGAGCGAGACTCCGTCTCAAAAAAAAAAAAGTTTACTTTTATTTTTAATAATTATTTTCGAATTTGTACTATTTTGTTAATTTGATCATTCATGTACCAATATAATTTTAATAATGATTCAATCCAGAAGAAAATCTTAAATGTTTTTAATCTTATTAGGAATTTTTAAAAAATTAGATTCAAACTTATGTACATATTTATGCTATAGAGTATTATAGAGTAATAAATCAAGACATTCCAGAAAAAGAACATATTACATTAGAATAAAATTCTATAAGGGAAGTGCACTGGAAGTACTAAAGGAGAAAAAAGGATCCTTTGTAATGGATTCAGTCTTCAGATTCCCCTTGTCAGCTGAGGTGCAGAAGCACAACCACATGATTAACGCAATCAGAGATCCCCACCTTGAGTAAGCATGATCATTAATGCTTATCATGAAAGATGCTTTGCTAGGGATACAAAATGCATCACAAATTCACATCCCTTCTGCCTTCAAGGAGTTTACCCTTCCTAGTTTTGGAGAAAAGTTTAAATAATAATACAATTTGTGCTGGGTCTATTAAATAGTCATTAAGGTAATATTTAATGATCATGCTTAAATATGCTCTATGCCTATCATTAACTCAAAAAAGCAGGTTGCAAAACAGCTATGTATAGTACAGCCCCATCTCTGTAACGCAAGTATACACATACATGCATAGAAAGAAGACTGAAAAATATCAGCAGAATGTTGACGTTAGTTCTCTCCTGATTGAGTAGGATTACGGGCGAGCAGAATTGTTTTTTTGCTCATTTGTGACTTCTACAATAAAGATCAGGAAAAAGCTGTTGTTGTTATTTTTAATTAAAATAAAACAGCCTATGTGTGTCAGATAAGTAATGGAGTAGATGAGGGTCTCTCCACGAGGTCAGGGAGAAGAACCCATGCCAGGGGTGTTTTGGTCAGAAATGCCTTAAAAGCCAAAGTGGAACTTGACTGGGATTTAGAGGAGGAGAAAGGAAGAGATGAATATTCAAGGAGGCCAAAGGGGCAGACATAGTGCTTTTACATTTTTTTATTATGGAAAATTTTAAACATATGCAAAAGTAGACAGAATGAACTGCCATGTACAGAGCTTCAACAATTACCAACTTTCAGTTCTTTTTTCCTCTGATCTACATGCACTCTCCCCTTCCTACCCAAATTACTTCACAACAAATCCAAGACAACATTGTTTCCTCTTAAATATTTCAGAATGTAGTTCTATAAATACCATCCGTTTTAAACCTAATCACAACACCATGGTCACACTCTCCTGGCCAAAACCAATTTCAGCACTTCCTTAATACTATTAAATATTCAGCTAATGTTTACATTTCTCTGATTGTTCTGTCAACAATGTTTTTAAATTTATTTGAGTCTGAATTTCTTCCCTCCCTCCGTCTCCCTTTTTCTCTCCCTTTCCCTCTATTCACCTTTCTTTCTTCATAAAATTTTGTGGAAGAAGCCAAATGACTTGTCCTTTAGAGTTTCCCACAGTCAGTTTTGCTGATTGCATTCCTGTGGTGTCCTTTAACATGTTCCTCTCTCTCCCATATTTTCTACAAATTGGTATGTAGATCAAGAATTTTGATCAGATTTAGGTTTAATTTTTTTTAAGGCAAAAATATTTTGTGATGGTGATGTATATTTCTGTAGCTGTTAGTGATCATTTCCTAGATCCACTAATCCACTGAGGATTACAAAATGATTATATTCTGTCTAATTCTATCAGTTCTTTATAGTTTATTAGCTGGAACATTTCTAAACAGAAAATCTTCCCCTTATTATGTTATTTTGTTGCCCTGGGGAATCTTTTTTATAGAAAAGACAAGATGAAGGCTTGGTTCTTTCTCTTTTCAAAATAATGAATAGTTTCCTAATATCCTCCAAAGGTGATGGATGTGTTTTGATTTATTGCAGTTATTTTTTTGACCAATGGGAGACTCTTCAAGTTTTCTTCTGACCCCTTTTGACCAGACCCTAAGAATTTCTAATAGCTTCCTTTCTTTCTGGCATGACAAGATGTTCCAGACTCATCTAATGTTTTTCCTGCTCCAGACATGGAATCAGTCTTTTCTATCATTGTCTACAAATTGTGAGGTCACAATTTGAGTACTAAGGGTATACATTGCTACTAGGTTGATCATTGTTCCTATACCTTTTTAATAGATTATGATATGTATGTTTCTTTTTAAGATGAAACACATTATAAATTTATATTCATAGTTATAATTCAAATTCAAGATTATGGAGTTTTCACTTACCCTTTCTGATCTTAAAATGATACCTCTTTCTACACACTGGAAATTATGGCTAATGGATTACTCATCTGCTTTATCCCACACTGCACACACACTAGCCTCAGAATGGCAATATGATTAATGAAAATGGGTTCAGATTTTTTCTTCCTTTTTTCTCTTTTTGCAGTTCTTTGTTTTTACTAGGGTATTCCAATGAGAAATATACTGTATAATCTAATTATTGTATAGTACCATAGTCAAATTGCTATGTTTTCAAATCACTTGCTGTAATTATTCTCATATACCACCAATTAGATAGATAGGTTTTTTTTTCTTTTTAGGATTGCCTTTTACATTTTTTTGTTTAATAATATTGTAAAATGTATAGTTTCAAAGTCAGATTGATAAAATAAGGTTTATTCAAAGAAGTCTACCTCCACCTCTGTCTCTCCTTCTCCTTATGCAATTTTTTTTATTTTATAGCTTAATGGAAAGTAAAACATAAAATTTAAAAAAATAGGATATATATATAGAAAAGAGGGACAGGGATAGAAGGTAGACTTTATAATATAAGCAAGTACGTATCTATATTTATGAACTCCCCTCTCTTAGGTAAATGGTGATGTGCTTCTCTTTATACCACTATATGCACCTACCACCTGCCATGCTTCCTTTAAGGACAGCTGGAGAGAACAAAAGGAAAAAATATGAATGGAAAGCACTTTTTCTTAAAGGAAAAGCCTACACAAATATAAGAGATTCATATTAGAAAACCTAATTTTCCAACGTGAGATTATTTGGAGACTCAGTTTTTAATTAACATTTTAACCAGATCCTATTCCTTATAAATGTTGAGGAATAAATTTTTCACCAGAGAGGGAAAGCCTGTGCTCATTACACTAGCTGAAGCAGAGCTTTCCAAGGCATATCCATTTATATGCAACAAGTAAACACCAGCTCTGAGAGTCGCGTTGCAAACTTCTAATGTTTAGTTCACTTCTAAGGGATTTAATCAACCTTCAGGATATATGATTCAAAGCTCCTAAAAAAAGTAATTAAGAAAAATCCTTTCTATGGCAAGGAAAAAGCAGATTGTTTCCATTAATTTTATGAGTAATTTTGTTTTTGTTGGCTGAAAACTAAACCCAGGCTGGGGTGGTGCACAGTGGGAGGAAGGACTTACTAAAACAGCACAGAGTTTGTGTGTGTCACAGACATACTTTACTACACAGTCATATAAGCACATGTGTGCACATAGACCAGCCACTGCAGCTTAGTGTTTTCAAAGCTGGTCTCTTCTCCCCTTACAAGTCAGTTTCTCCTCTCACCTTTTCTACCCTTACTTATTCATGGTCCCATTCTGCACCCAGTCACTCTAGCTCTCCTTTCATCTGCATTTCCTATCAGCTTCCAAGACTGGCAGGTCTTTGCTTTTAACAGTCTCTTGATTTCCCGCCCTTTTCTTTATTCTCTCATCTCATGCCAATATATTTCTGTAAGAGTTTCTCCAGGCTCAACCAGTCAAACAACAAACACTTACTGAATGCTTGCTATGACTACAGGCTCTCCTTCATTCGCTTCCCTTCTACATTGAATGGTGACACATAACATGTCATTCCCTTCTCTGAGATCTGAACTGACACCTTAGTTCTTTCCACCTCAAGTCTAAGCTCCTCTGTTTTAATTTCAATACCTGTTACAATCTGATTCCATCCTACTAAAATCTACCCCCAAAGTCTCAGTTTCTCTATTCACACCAGATTCTGTCTCCATGCCTTATCTATTCATTGTCTCTATACAAATTTATTGAACACCTGGCCTATGCCAAGCACAGTGCTAAGTGCCTAAAAATAAGAAATGGTTCTTGGCCCAGTGTGTTGGCTCACACCAGTAATCACAGCACTTTGGGAGGCCAAGGCAGGAGGATCACTTGAGGCCAGGAGTTCAAGACTAGCCTGAGCAACATAGTGAGTAAGACCTGTCTCTACTAAAAAATTTTTAAACCAGGCGCTTAAAATTACATTTTTTAATAGACATAATCCCAGCTACTTGGAAGATTGAGGCAGGAGAATCACTTGAACCCAGGTGGCAGAGGTTGCAGTGAGCCGAGATTGCACCACTGCACTCCAGCCTGGGTGACAGAGTGAGGCTCCGTCTTAAAAAAAAAAAAAAAAAAAAATTAGCTGATTGCGCCACCGCCGCACTTCCAGCCTGGGTGACAGAGTGAGATCCTCTCAAAAAAAAAAAAGAACTCCTTAAGAAGCTTCCACAGTCTTAAGGTAGAAATATGTAAGAAAACAACATAATGTGGTATGATCAAGGTTTTATTTATAAAGGTTTTACAATGTGCTGGGTAAGTTCGGAGAAAGAGTGCTTGTTGATTCCACCTGAGGAGGACTAAGGAGGCAGGCTGCCTGTTTCCTTTAAAGTCCAGGAAAATTGTCCAAAGGGGACCAAGGCCCAAATGAAGGGAAAGCTGAGAGTCAAAAGCTAGTATATCTTCTTAATCAAAGACAGGAAGAAAGAGAGTCTGAGTGGGAGCATGTGAGGACAAGAGGGAGCTTCTAGAGAGTCGCTGAGAACAATATTAGAATGGGGATGGCTCCTCTTTATTAAATGGTAGGTGTTTGGTGTAAAGTTGCTGAATTGGTGGGATGAAGGCAGTAGTGGGAATTCATACACTGAAGCTGAGGACTACTGTAGCATAAGCACGGAATCAAGGTTGAAAATGGTTCTGATGGAGCAGGAAAGTTGGGGTCAGATTGAGAAGGGCTTTGATTGCCAGCCCTGTATGCAGTTGGGGGCAGGGGCCTCAGAAGGAAGATTGGCCAGGCAGTAGGGTTGGGGTCGGTCATGGGTGAGGTGAACTCCAGATTGATTCTCCTAGCCACAAATCCTAGAGAAGAAGGGCATCAACCTAGGGGAATGGGACACCTTTTTCTAATTTGCATAAAGGCGTGCATACATTGCGAGTGGTAGCCCCAGCTGTCATCTGTATTTTAGGAAAAGGATTCTGGCAACAAGTGTTTGTTCATGTATTCAATTACTGTTTATTGAGTATCTCGTATGTCCCAGACATAATTCTAGACCCGGGGGACTCAGTGGTGAATAAGACACACACATTTCAACCCTGAGTTCAGAGAGAGTAAACAATGATATAGAAATAAAAGAACTATTTAGAAAACTGTTGCCCTTCCCTTGGCCTTTCTCTATCCAATTCTACTAATCCTACAAAACCCAGCTCAGTTCTAACCATCATGCCCTGCTTGGTCGATAGCCCCTATGCATCTCCTTTTCCAAAACTTCTATTTTTAAAACTTTGTTTAAAACTATACTTTTTTCCGGATTACAGAAGTAACACATGTTCAGTATATAAATGCAAAAACAATAGAACTACACAATATAAAGAGGACATACCTCATAATCTCACTTACCATATAGAACTACTTTCCATTAGTACATATTCCTATAATGATTTATCTATATACCCACCAGTATATTATTGTCATTGCCGTCATTATTACATTCATAAGCATCATTATAAAATGGGCAAGTTACTCCCAAAACTATGGGAGGCTTTTTACCTAGAGAGAGCATAGAATTATTTTATTTTTACAACTTTGTTGAGATATTACCACATCCTAAAATCTACCCTTTAAATATACTTTAAATAAATATACTTAAATATTTAAATAAATTAAAATATTTTAATTTAAATACTTTAAGTTTAAAGCAGTTCGGGGGTTTTTAGTGTATTCACAGAGTTGTGCAAACATCGCCACAATCTAATTCCAAAACATTTTCATCTACTCTAAAGAGAAGCTGCATATCCATTGGCTGTCACTTTCTATTCCCACTTCCCCCAAACCCCCACAGCCTCAGGCAACTACTCATCTACTTTCTGTTTATGTGGATTTACCAATTTTGGACACTTCATATAAATGGAATCATGCATATGTGGCCTTTTGTGACTGGCTTCTTTTAGTTAGTGTAATGGTTTCAAGGTTCATCCATCTTGTGGCATGTGTCAGCACTGTCTGCCTTCCTGTCTTCCTTCTCCCCTCCCCTCCCCTCTCCTCTCCTCCCCTCCCCTCTCCTCTCCTCTCCTCCCCTCCCCTCTCCTCTCCTCCCCTCCCCTCTCCTCTCCTCCCCTCCCCTCTCCTCTCCTCCCCTCCCCTCTCCTCTCCTCCCCTCCCCTCTCCTCTCCTCCCCTCCCCTCTCCTCTCCTCCCCTCCCCTCTCCTCTCCTCCCCTCCCCTCCCCTTCGATTCCCTTCCCTAATAATATTCCATTTTATGGATATACCACATTTTATTTATCTATTCTCTAGTTGATAGACCTCTGGTCATTTCCAATTTGGGGCTGTTATGAATAATGCTGCTATGAACATTAAAGTGGCTGCATAGTTTTACATCCCCACCAGCAACATACAAGGATCCCAACTTCTCCCCATTATCATTGATCTTAGATAGGCCAATTGGCTCCTAATGGTTCACTTATTGTTTATGTACAAATTACAAAAGCTTTGTCTTCCAAGTTTATGGTAAAGTTTGAAAAGCTACTTTTGAGTGAACCCTTCTCTTTGGAGAAAAATATTTATTCAGGTTAATTTTCTTCACCAGCAGGACACAGTACACTCCAGTCTTTCTCTTTCAGCGATCACATGGATCCACAATGTAGGGTTTTTTGTTTGGTTTTGTTTTTTTGTTTCATTTTTTCTTTAAATTCTGAGACAAGGAAAAAGCCTGAACTTAACATCAAGTACTGGGCTGTTGCCGACCCTATAAAATCTGTGACAATTAAAATATTCTCTGCATGTTAGTCAGTTATACCTTTTAAGAGGAGAATATGGACATGAAATGTTATATTGGTAACAGAGCTACAATAAATCTGCAGGAAGAAATACCACCAAAATCAGGTTAAAGGAGACCTATTAGCTCAATTAAAGCACAAGAACAGGATTAAATAAAGCAGTGGTTGAGAATAGTTAAATTATTAAAAACAGTACGTAATTATGTGCATATCATCACATTTCTTTTAAAATATTGCTTTAATTCATTTAAACATGATAATTACTCTTTGTGCTTGTAATAAGGTATTGTTTTATTTTAAAATATGGTTAAGTACTGATGAATACTCATCTCGTAGTTCTTTGTCATGTGCCACAATCCAAACATTGCTCTCTTTTCGTATTGCAGTCAAGACCCATGGGAATCAGTAGACAGCTGCTACAATGTCAGCTTTAAACCAAAATTTTAGTGAGGGCATATATCATGGGGACTATGTGGGAATTTCTTAAGACAGATGGTCAGCAACTTCTTCCAAACATTTCTGAACAGAGTGTTCTTTTCACCATTAATCCCATAATTATCTTCCTTTTTATTATGAAGTATCACTTTTATTTGTTAAGAATTGTAGTAATTTTCAGATCAGGAAGAGTAAAGGAACCAATATTTATGAAGTGATCCCTGAATGCTAAGATTTGCTGAAGTGGCATCGTTGTCTAGGGTAAATACCCAAGGTCTGTAGTCTAGTGCCAAGAAGATTAAGGACACAGACACACACGAGGAGTGAGTTTAGGAGTGGAGGTTTAATAGGCAAAAGAAAGAGAAAGGAGAACAGCTCTCCCCCTTGCCAGAGAGAGATGGGCTCCTAAAAGGGAAAAACTGACCATACTACACCATATTTTATAGGCAGGCTTGAGGAGGCGGTGACTGATATATGTAGGGTCCACAGATTGGTTCGACCAAGTGTGACATCTACATAGTGCATGGGGAAGACTGGTCACCCCACCATAATCTTATTATGCAAATGGAGTCTTTGCCTGGCCTGCGCCATACTGTCTTCTCCTTACAGTACGCACGGTTTAGCAAAGAGAAGGGAAGACGGAGCTGCCATTTTGAACATGCCTAGTCCCAGGTAGCCTTTTCCTATTGGCACAACTGCCGGCATTCATCCGTGCAAGCTTCCAGCTTGCTTGTCTATGGCTGCAGCTTGATTTTACAGGCTGTTCTTTATTAGAAAAGAAAATTATTTGGGGGCTGCTTTTCATTAAAAGGAAAACCTTACCAAGGACTTCTGTACCATCGCTATCTGCCGAAGTAATTTCTTCTTCTGCATGGTTACTGTGTGATTCATTTTTTTTTAAAAAAAAAGAACTTTGATTTCTTGTGATTTCCAGTAATTAAATGAAGATTTTTAGGAGTATCATTTAAACATTCCTCAGATATGTTAACTCATACCCTTTATAACTGATCATGAACATTGTAATGAAATGCAAGTGTTTATAACCTCTCAGTGGAATTGAGGAAAGAAGTAATAGAATCTGGTGCTTATCTCCTCCCAAACTAAGCAATTGAAAGCAATATCCAGGCAAAACAGAGCCCTCAATATCAGTGGAATTCCAGAGTTGGACTGAGTTGTCAACTTTTTCCCCTGGATTCTGAGTCTACCAGTTAAGAGCTAGAAACTCAGGGCCAAAGTGTAGTATATGTGTAGATGGATGGATGGATGGATGGATACATACATACATAACTATTTTTAAAATGTCACTACTGTGTTATGTTTAGAGTAAGAATTTCAGAATCTCTAAAGTTTTAAATAATTGCCAAGCCCAAATCGTCTGTCTTGGTGCTCATTATAGAATATGGTTATAGAGAAACTAGTCATTGGATTAAGAAAGTAATTCCATTGCCTTATTACCAATGTTATACCTCAAAATAAGGTGTGACTGTAGAGCAACAGTGTATCACTACCTTGTGTAATTGTTGATGAGTTTAGAAATAAGAAACTCAAACATAGTTTCTTTTCTGTAAAGAAGAGGATAAAATAAAATCTTTTTAGATTTGAAGTGTTCCTCTTTAGTAACAACCAAGTGCCCAAAAGCGTGTTGTTGTTTTATTTTATTTCTTCAGACATGTGTCTTATGTGTTTGTAATTAACAAGATTAAGCAACATTTGACATTCATGATTATTTTCAACTTAGCATATTATCTTTTTCCTCTTCGTCATTTTACTTCATCATTAATGCTTTGAATAAATATCATTACAAAAAAATCAACAAAATAATTTAATTTGGATGTAGTGTGAAGCATGGAGCTTATTTTACTTCTTCTTTCCTTTATGAATAATTTTATCTTAAACATAAGAATATCAAAGCATTAAATAATGCTCATCAACTAAGCCAAGTGCCCAGTAAGTCTAGCTTTTCATTACGAGTACCAAATATTACTATCTCACAAGTCCACAATTAAGGGGTCAGCAGTTCTTCATCACATTTAGTGTGTGTGTTCATTATACAAATAATAAATGCATTCATATTGTAAAGTATGCAGATAATATATAAGAATATCTAGTAAAAGTTAAAGTTCTCACCCTGCAGAAAATCTTGATCTCTTCACTATTGATAGTTTATGTGTATCTTTTCAGATCATTTTTGATATGCATGACAATTACCACTTAAAATTTCAAAGAATGTTATTACTTGAATTTTACTCAGATTCTAATTATATGAAATTCAGTTCACCCAATCTGAAAGTGATATTCATATGAGAATCCCAATTTTTTTTTCACCAGATATTTGGAAACTTTCCTATTGCTAGAAGAAATAAACACAAAAGTAGAATGCTGTAAAGAGTGTCGATGTATCCAGTACTACTATTGATTTTTCAACATGAAAGCATGAATTTTCTTGTATGGCTTGTGGTATTTTTCTCACTACCTTATCAAAAATGTTCTACTGTGTTTCAAAAACAAACCTGTCCTTCTGCCTACATAGCGTAAGAGTTAACTGCCATCACAATACCATAGAAAGAGTATGGGTTTTGGAGTAATAAAACCTGAGTGTTAGTTTCAACTTCACCCTTTAATAGCTGTGAGTCGTTAGGTAAATTATGTGTATTCTCATCACTTTCCTCATTTCCTCATCACTGAATAAGGAATAGCAAAACTAGCCATCTCCTTAGGATTGTTTTCAAGAACAGATACATTGCAGTTTTTGTCCAAGGACTTATGATCCAAAATAGACATGACAGACATTGTATCATTCAGGATTGACTAGGTTTTGTGCTTGCTGGATATAACAGACCTTTATTTCTTACACCATATGTCCAAATGTAGACATGGAGGGGGTTCTGCTCATTGTTCACTCAGAGACACAGGCTGAGGCCTCATCTTCACAAGGTGCTTCCTCAGTCACCTTGGAAAGGGGAGGAAATGAACCAAGATAAATAGTGGCCCTTAAAGCAGCCACATGGATGCACACATTTCATTGGTCAGGACAGGTCAAATGGCTCAGGGAAGCTGGGAAAGACATTCCATTGAGGTAGAGAGCTGAAAATTAGTGAATAAAACTAATGACCACCACAGAAGTGTTAGCAAATGTTAGAAATAATATAAAGTAGGAAAGGATGAAAAGTCATTCTTTGTTATTTTGTTTCTTGTTTTTGTCTGTTTTGTTTTTGAAGTCGGAGTTTCACTCTATCACCCAGGCTGGGGTGCAGTGGCATGATCTCAGCTCACTGCAATCTCTGTGTCTCAGGTTCAAGCGATTGTCATGCCTCAGCTTCCTGAGTAGCTGTTACTACAGGCATGCACCACCATGCCTGGCTAATTTTTGTATTTTTAGTAGAGACAGGGTTTCGCCATGCCGGACAGGCTGGTCTCAAACTCCTGACCTAAAGTGATCCACCCACCTCGGCCTCCCAAAGTGCTAGGAATACAGGCGTGAGCCACCCCACCCAGCCTATTCTTTTCTTTGATCCCAGAGAGATCAAAAGAGACTTCCAAGGGAAGATAACAAGTCTGGGGACACAAATGGGAGACTTGGGTGGTATCAGGCATGGAGAGGAACATAGCTTGAAAACTTCAGTAAGAAGAGAAAGTGAGGGAGGGATGGCATCAAAGTGAATGATTTGGGTCTCATACGTGTCTGACCAGAGATCAACCCCACACTTTCAGATTTGAGGAGGGTCGCAAACTTCAGCCTAAGTTTACTGATCCTCAGTGGCCCCTGTACATCATCAGATGGGGATATCTGTCCCACAAAATGACCTCAAGGCCACACGACCCCACTTTTCTGCTCAGTTCTTGATATGGCTTCTAGTGTCTGGTCTCACTGTAGCATTGTGGTGTTACTTTTGGACTTTCTACAGCTCCTGGTGCTTCTTTATCATGAAAGATCACTTACCAAACCAGAGTTAGCAACACCACAGCTTCATACACCACTGAAACAATCACACAAAGTTTTCTGTCCCCTCAGAACCTCTAAAGAGCACTCTATTTTCTTGGTGCTTGAAAATAAAGGGAGTGAGTCTCTTTTATTATTTACAAGGAAGACATGTCAAATGAAAAAAGTTTAAATTTCATTATGCCAAGTCCAGTGTTTTTGTTAAACTTCCTTAGCTTAATTGTAGAAAGGTTACAAGTCTACAAGATGCTTAGGATTCCATATATATATATTCACACATATATATTCATATATAATATATATGAAAATAAGTTATGTACATATGTATATATACATAACTTATTTTCAGAGTAGTTCTTCAAACATACCACAAACTGTGTTCAGATGGGGGGGTGGGATGTGTTTATGTTTGCGTGTATGTGAGTACACTGAGGGAAGGAAGAATAAGGAAAGGGGAAATGTGAAGCTTCAAGAAGGGGAAATGAGGAATGGTCTTCTTGCATTTGATCAGGTGGAGAACTGTGGTCAGAAAATGTATGTATGCTTTGATTTTAAACTCTTAATGCCTTCTTCATTTGATGCTCAAGGGAAGCAATGGTACAAAATTAAGTGGTATAAAATTAAAATTGTGTGGATCAGAGAACTGGAGCAATTCTGTGCAAATTACCTTGAACACCCAAGCCAGCAAGCAGATCAGCGGTAGGAGCAAAAACAGGCGTGGTTACTATGGCAACCTTATTCTGATTGAGGAATTGTGATTCATACCTGACCCCACATTTTCCTTTCCCTTCTTAATTGGGTCCTGAAGATTTATAGTGCTACCAAACCCTCTCACAGAGCGATACCACATAACCAAAGATAGCTATCTCCTAGCAAGGAAGGCACAAGTAACTTGGGATGAACAAGGTTCAGGGTAGGTAAGGCTTAGCCAGGGAGATAAAAGTGAGCAAGAATCATCAGAATGCCAAGCCTCCAGGCCATGTCCTGCTATACCACAGCCCTGAAATGACAGAACCAAAGTAAGACCATAGAAGATGGGTCAGTCTGTGAACAGCAGATAGAAAACCATGAGTTGCTCTTCTAATGATCAGAAAAACACTCATGGATAAGGGAAACAAATCTTTGTCCAGAAAGTAGGAGTGGGAAGTACATCTCCAGCTTGCATTTCTGAGTTTCAGCTTTCTCAACTCTAGGACAGACTAAAAATATATACCTTGAAATGTTGCTGTAAGGCCCAGAAACACAATAAATTATCTTCAACTACTCAGATTAGTTGTCTGCAATCCCTTCTGAGAGGGAACTTATGGGTGGCCACACTAAGAATAATTGCAAGTTCTTGGCTGATGTTTTTACCTTAAAAGGGAAAATCAAAGTTCAGGGTCATTGGCAAAGCCGTGAGAAGCTCTCACAATAATTTTTATTTTCACGTACTAAATAAAGTGATTTTCAGTGGTATTTAATATCAGTAGTAAGAATGGGTACTATAGAATTAATTTCCATTTATCTTTAATCCTGTATTAATATTAATACATCACTGATGACATTAATAGAGAAGAAAAAGAATGGAAAGTGAGGGATTGTATTTAGGAAAGAAAATCTTCTACTTAGCTCCCCAAACTCTCGGGATCATCTAAATAGGGACCCACACTGCCAACGTATGCTTCTCCTGTTGGCTGTCACATTCATCAGATAGCCTGATCCGGGTTTCTCCTCTCTTGAAGGAAATATGATGCATAGACTGAGTGAGTTATTTTGTTTATTTTGGTTTTGTTTGCTTGATTATATTTTTCTCATATGGGGCAGTGTAGGAAATCATGTAAGCCTTATTACCCCACAACAAGGTGTCTCTAGATCATGCCCCTTGTTCAAAAGGAATTTCCTTCAAGCATTTAACTTTCTTGGAAGGTATTTCCTCTGCAATATGTTCTAAAATTATGGCTAGATGGTGGAAATGCTGCTTTATGCTTCAGCATTCTGACATCGTAATCCTGAGGTTCTTGACCTGGAATCTATGGGTCTATTAATGGAAATCAGAAGGCCTATGAACCATTTGAAATTGTATGAAAAAAATCTGCATGTAGTTAAATATATGCAGTTTTCTGGAGCAACTTCTCTTGGCATTCATCTGGTTCTTAAGTTTGGCAGTGACTCAGAAGGTTAAGAATTATCACAATCTGAGTTCTTTGTGTCTGTTCTCTTCTTGGCACTAGTGTTTATCAGTGGATTGTCCACTGAGGGTTTGGTGAGAGTAGGAAAGGGGCAACATTAAAGACATTTTTACTGTCTTGGAAAAATATGCAATTATAACATTTAGAGTCCATACAACTGTGTATGGCATAGCAGATTAAAGGAAGTGAATGGAAGTTGGTTTCAAATTACATATTTATCAAGTCAATTTGGAGGCATTTTTAAGCACATAAAAGTAAATCTACATATGTTTGAATTTCAACTACAAAGAATTTATGGTCAAGAGAGATTATGGTTATATATATAACTACATATACTTTATACAGTATATACAGTACTATATAAATAGTATATAGTATTTTGTGTATATGTGTATATGGTACTGATCAAGATAGCCCTCCAGTGACCATGATTGTATACTATATTTTGTCAGATTCGTTACTCACAGTTTTATGTGGAGGTTCTTCAAACATAAAGCTCTTCTTGCCATTAATTGTTTTCTAAGCCTCTAAATATTTATTTACTTGATTATGCACACCATTATTCTGAGCAATTTCCCCTACTCTGTCTGGTTCAGATATGTCTTATTTGAATCGCCAATCTCTAGTATGGAGACAGTCCTATCCATACCACATCCCAGAGAGCTAAAGAAGGAGTGGCTTTGTTCTCCTGTGCATTTTACCAGACATACATCAGTCCCTACAAATCAACCTGGTAGAATTTCTTTTAATAAGGAAGTACTGAGAGAGACAAGATTTAGCTATATCATGTAAATCCAAGCATGAGTATTTTATATCGTGTTTGGACCCAAGTACTCAATAATTGATTATGAAAATTATATAAATTCTAGCACTAAAACTCAAGAGGTTAGTAATTAAAAAACAAAAGAGCTTTTTTGTTTTAGCATTTCAGGCTCATGCTCATCATGCGTGACATCTCACACAGAACAACTGAATCTAGTAATTACAAAAAGAATAAAACTAAAACAGCTTATTGGAGCTGATTGGGCTGATTTTTTTTTCAATTTGTATACTTTACACAATATATGTTCTATTAAATTATTCTAAAATAGGCTGTGGGGGTTTTTCCCCCCAGGATAACATGAAACAACTAAATCACCAGATTTTTTTTTAATTCCAAATGACACCAGTGTTGCAAAGTCAGACCTTTTGAAAAGGACTTAACAGAGGGCCACGAGACATGATAGGTGCTTAGGGTGCGATTTTAATACCAACAGACTGGAAAACAAACAGCATAACCCAGACAAGATGTGACATTGTTCTTTAGCATCCATGTGAAGAGGAAGTAAGATCTTTCTGGGATGTGCTTCCCAGTCACAGGTGTGGAAGAGAAATATGTTGCATTCTTGATTTACTGCACTGTGTGGGAGATTCTGGTTTGGGGTAAGGAAAGGGAGCATTTCATTGCTTCTTACAGTAAAACTTCAGCTCACTTAACTCAGCTGGTGCTTTTGTTTCAGTCTGCCACAAATGAACAGTAAAAAAACATGAAGCATCCCTTAATCCTGTGAGCCTGGGGTGTGCTGGCTCCTCTCACTGCATTCTCCAGCTCTGTTGCCAATGGAAGTGAGAGATTGACCCCAGGCCTGCAACCACTGTTCTTTGCTCTGCCACTAAACCACTGAGCTGTTGACACTTTAATTGTTTTATACCAGGAGGAAACCAATTGTGTTGATGTGAATGTCTTATTCATCAAACATTACAGCCTTCACATTTTTAATGAGCTGACACTCCTAGTCCAATACATGCAACCACAGTGAATCAAGACAAGAGTATAGTGACAAAGTTTTCTAAATTATTGCAGTTGCTCTTTAAAAGATTTGATAGTATTTCGGAACTCCCAATGCTACAATTAGAAAGTCTGTCTGAGTTGTGTATTAATCGAACATGTTCGAGTTATAAAGGATGGCAGTGTAGTAAAGGTAGGAGTTAATAATGTATATTTTTTCCTTTTCCTTTTACATGCATAGACAAAAATAGAGACATGAGTGAACAAACTATTTATAAAGTACCTAAGGCGGCATCTTTCTGATGTATGAAAATGTCCAAATTATCCCCATGGGCTGTGTTTTGAAAACTGCAATACTTGGGAAGAAGCTTAGTTTCTATGTCATCATTTGTCCAGAACATTGAATATTTCTCATGGGTGGAATAAAACATTTCAATACTAAATGTTACAAACCTGGTATTTTGTGAGCAGTTGCAGCAGTCATTTGAAGAACCAGCTGCATTATCTGATTTGATGGCATCCTAAAGAAGACAATTATTTACCCACAGACTTTACAGTGGCAGCTCAAGACTTCATGTATATGAAAACTGTATGACTGCCCTTGGGTTGGAACCTGGGACTCTCCACCCAAAGCCTCCAACACCTCCTCTCTGCATATAGAAGAAAGCCCAGACCCCTAAGCAGGACATTTCAGGCCGTTTACTCCACCACCCTCACCTACCTTTCAGCTTTTCCTGTGTCTCTGTCTGCATCTGTATCCTAACAGGCAAACATGTGTCTGTCCCATTGGCCAGTCTGTGTTTCCCAGAGTCCTTGCCTGTGCAAGAATGCCCTTCTTTCTCCCTTTCTAGACATTAAATTGTTACGTACTTTTCAGTTATTCCTCACTGCAGTGGCACCTCTAGGATAGCACTTGTATTTTCCATGTTGACTTATAGTTAGCTGTTGTCCTAGCCACCTCCCCTTCCCAATCTTGAGCTCCTTAAAGACAGCAGTGGCATGTTGGTAAATATTTAACAGTTGGCTCTCCAGAAAGAGAGTAGAATAGTCCTGATTGGTCACGTTTGTCTATATCCTGTCGTGTAGATACTCCCATGATGGGTGATTTCAAGAGTGGCTGTGTTTAACAACTGGCAAAATTCCTGAAAAGTTTCACATTCACATCTCTTGAGGCAGGTCAAGCCAGTTCCAGAACACCACTGGAATCCATTTTTAATAGTCCATGTAGTACTCTCCTCTTTCACCCTAAACACTCTTCTTTGCTTAAAAATAGATGTTCAGCAAATGTTTCCTGAATTGATTTAGGCAAATCAATTGATGCTGTTGCTCCTTCACCACTGATCTTATAGCAGGGGTTATTTCTGGCAGTGATTCAGGCAACACTTGTACTTCTTCTCATTTCAGAGTGGTGGCCTTAGCCATCTCCTCCATGCCACACTGCACAGGCATGGGTGAATTTAAGTAGATGGATTTTTTCTGAATTGTGGTGGGGAACAAGTTGATGGTCTTAAGTTCAACAACCTCATTAGAGCAGAATGTGATTGACTGTGACTTCAACAAAAAACAGAGAAGAAAGCCTAAATCACAGAGTCAAGACTGTGTCTCTTCCAAGGAGATAAGTGGAAAAAAGTGGAAGATCCCTGGACAGTCTGGAGAGGTGAGAAGAGAGAAGGCTGCTGGCTCAGTTCCCATTTTATTTTCACCTTTTACCATTCTCAGTGTCTCAGATTTGTAAAACTTTTGTGACTCACACTTTCAGATAGGAGTGTCACTATACTTTTCATTTTAGTTCGTGTAATAAAGTGCCAAACCTTGTTACCTCTGTTTTTATAATAAACTTGGAAGTCACTACTGTGCATATTAATCCTGTTGTTCCTTTGGTGACCAGCTTGTTCCATTTTGCACTGCCCCCACCACCCACATTTTAGAACCAAAAGTCCCAAATCCTAGGCCGGGAGTGGTGGCTCACTCCTGTAATCCCAGCACTTTGGGAGGCCAAGGTGGGTGGATCACTTGAGGCCAGGGGTTCAAGACCAGCCTGGCCAACATGGTGAAACCCTGTCTCTACTGAAAACACAAAAATTAGCTGGGCATGGTGGCGTGTGCCTGTAGTCCCAGCTACTCTGGAGGCTGGGGCAGGAGAATCACGTGAACCCAGGAGGCAGAGGTTGCAGTGAGCCGAGATCACACCACTGAACTCTGGCCTTGGCAACAGAGTGAGAGACTCTGTCTCAAAAAAAAAAAAAAAAAAGTCCCAAATCCTGGAAACCTCCTCAGTTCAGAGACAGCTGGTCACCCTAGTTCCTGTAAAGGTTGTGGGTTCTATCATGACTGCTCTGGTATTTAAATCTGCAATGTACCTCCTATTGCAGATATTTCAGAAGACACTGAATCATGACTAAAAGGATTAGAACTTCTTAAAAATTTGAGTTCACAAAATCTATTATCTTCCAAACAGAACCTTTCTTCAAAGGTCCTATCTTTCAGGCACTTTTATTAAGTGGAAGAATACATGGGAAAGTACTTTGGATAGGAGAAAATTCCACATGAGCACAAAATGCTGGTATTTATTTCTCATAATGGTACACATTCCGTTAATTATGTCTTTGACAGCTCATCTTGGATTCTATAGAAATATAGCAACATGCTATGGTGGGATAACTAGTATCAAAATACTTTAACCAATTATAATTTTGCATGGAGTGCGTGTTGGAGGGCTTTACATGTAGTACACAGAGCTTCGCTTCCACGGATGAATTCAGTGATTTGTCCTTGGTCGATCAGTTGTTCGTTGGCACTGTTGTGAAGCAGCTTCGTGTTGTGAAGCAGGTACATGGGAGGGAGTTGGCAGGGGGCTTAGCGAGCTGTCTAGCACCCGCCACCCTTAGCTTGGAGTTGTTGGACCCTCATCACTGTCTGCAGACATTTCCTGGTGGAAACGATGTGCTATAGTGGTATGCACAATGTGTCACTTCATGTCACTGTCAGGATGTGTCCTCACAAGAATAGATATTTCTGCTGTAATATGACATCTGTGTTCCCACCTGTGTTCAGCAGAATACTACAGTAAAAGTTGCAGGGCTTTTGTGGTGGGGGGGAAATAAGGTAAAGGGTAGTCCACTTCAAATATATTGAACTTGATAAGCGCAGCACTCAGAAAAGCAGTAAAAATTAAAATGCTAGCAGAGTTTACAGGTGAAATAAACTTGATGTAAGGGTTGAGGCTGCCCAATTTTGGATGCAAGGGCAAAATGCTCAAGGATCCAGGAAGATTGTACAATAAACAGTTAATTCCAAGACAGAACATGTAACCAAACCAAACGAAAAGAAAGCATGTGGGATGCAGTACTACAGGCCTCTTGGGCTTGCATGCACTGTATTTATGTATCTTGCTCATGGCTGCTGTTACTTGGTGACTCAAAATAACATTGGAAAGAAATCTCCCATGAACCAACATGACTTCTGGTTCATGCTGACATCATTCTGTATTAAGCAAAATTATATGTGATCTGATTTATGCTACAGAAATGAATATTTTGTTTTGCATGTTTCCGCTAAATAAGATGGTTCACAAAACAGGTTCAAAGTCGTAGGTGACTGTATGTTTGGAATTCGAAACCCTAAGCATGAAAAACTGCTGCAATACATTGGATAATAATACCAGACAAGTTTTAATTTGGAAAAAAGAAATCCACCCAAAGTAGAGTCACATCTCCTCTAAAATCTTTTAATTAAAATCAGACATGAACCCTTGTGTTTCTCTATTAAATACTTGGTTTTTAGTTGTTTTATGAGATTTGTGTATATGCATTTTAAGTTGAGAAAAAATGCACACTCTGGGGAGTGACTTTGTATTTGGTTTGTTTAAATATAGTTTAGTAGGACTGTAATATATAAGGAGGGTTAAGGGTCAGAATCCTATTTAATTAACTTATAAACACTTGGGAGTCAGTCACTTGTAAAGGTATGCTGAGCAAATAAGGCTTCAAATAACATGAAATCTTTGAAAAGAATATGCCACCTTTGGTGAAGGCTTTTCTATTAACCTTGTCATTAAAACTGTTTCAATGAACTACTTCAAACCTCCCAGTTTTTATTTATCTTTATGATATGTTTAATCTTTTTTAAAAATGATATATGTATACAATATTATATGTTTTTTTATTAAAAAAAAAGATTAAACATGCCTTGGTGTATCTAAGAAGACCTAAATCAGTACTTTTCCCTATGTTTGTTTTCCCATTGGCTGAGACAGGAAGAAATCCCAGAATTGCCATCCTTTTTGTCCATGTGTATCTAAAATATGACCAGTGTTTTCCATTTGCATAAATCTGATTTAATAAACAGTCACACCATTAAAATAGAACATTCTTTTCAATCAAGGCTAATTACACATCATATAATGCCTGGTCTTTAATGAGGATTTCAATAAATGTTTGTTGATAATGGTGATTATTAAAATGATATGTTAAGTCAGTCTTCTCATGTGAGAAATGCTTTGTTTTGAAATGTTAGACTTACAGCTTTGCCTAAAATTTTTTAATTAAAATCACCACTTTGGCATGAAGCTTAAAATGTGCAAAGTTGCTGCAATTAGTGCATTGTGCATCCATATGGATGTTACCAAACAGCTTTCAACTTAAAGGATTTGGGCTATTTTGAATGATGGGCCTTCTGTTAAGCTTAAAACAAAGCCTGACTATCTCTGCATTCATTTTAATTAATATTCTCTTGCTGGTCTCAAAGATGTGTTCTCTTCTAGGGGGAAGAAGCATGATTATCATAAATCAGAAATAAGTTACAGAAGTAGGTTTGACTAATTTTCTACTTCCTTCTGTTTCATACCATTTCCTCCAACTCCTACCCCCTTCTCAAGGAGCCTCAATGCAGTGTCAGAGAAACTGGAAAACACTGATTTCAGATATTCTAAAAGAAAACCTGTATTTCTAGCCAAATTATAACACATTAAATTCACTCAAAGAATAAGGAAATTAAGCTGTCCCAGATTTTCTGAATTCAGTATGAAGTTTAAAACTTACCACTTTGAATCCAGCATCCATATAAAATCTACAGTATAAAATTTGACTATGTGTTATATATACAAATATGTGTGTGTATACATGTATTTGATATTTTTACTTTAGAGAGATTTGTGTTTGCCTAGGTGCTTAGGGTTTAACAACCTTATGTGTGAACTTAATTCTCTATAATAGGAAATGCTTCTTGAAGATGAATTAGGTAAAACAATTTGTTTGTTTTTCTTGGTATTTTAAGCAAAACCAAACTCAAAGTGGCACCGTCTTGTAAGTTTGTTTTTTTCTTTTTCCGGGACATTGTTCATGTGAAACCTTCTTGACATGGTACTTGGGGAAGGGAATCTCTCTGGACTTTGTTCTCGACAAAATCAGAATAAATTCTTTAAACAGTTACGCGCTTTAGTTAAGGCCCTGGTTTTCTGACTGTGTTCAAACATCTCCCCTACAACCACTCTCCATATACCTTCAGAAGGATATCTACTCCAGTGGTCACTGGGATCCTCTGACTGTCTGGGTGCCCAAGTAAGGCCCATTTTGAATGCTAGTTTAAAAGGCATACAGCTAAAATGATTTTTTTTATTTTCATTAAACTCTTAAGAATAGGCTAAATGTGAAAAATTACAAAGCAGAATTGTAATTTACCAGAACATGTGGGTAGAATAATTCATCCAACATGTGACTGGACAGGCACAAAATCAGTAAGTCCAGTATAGAACACCACCATGGTCCTGTTTTTCTCTTTCATTCTAGCATTATGGAAACTCATTATACATCCACTAAATTTGGCACAAAGTTATCCTAATTTTTTCATTATTACCTGGATTATTTATTTTTATTTCCTTTTTGAAAGCATGTAATTAATTGCGTGCCTATCTTTAAATGCCTCCTTATGTATCAATATTTTGAATTCTACATTTGAGAAGGAGGTTGGAAGTAGTTTTATTCTAAAGCTAATACATAAAGCTAAATTTGATCAAATTATAATTATTTTTTTCTTGAAGAGAAACTAAACGTATTATAGCTTTATACTGTCTTTACTGTTATGAGGTAGCTTTCTTTCTGTCAAATGTTAGTATTTTTTTCTTCTCTGTTAGGCATATTTACAAAGAAGTCTCCTAAATAGAAATGAGCGGATTACCTCACAGCTTCACATACATCCTGGAGAATATCCTGTTCACAATTTAGGCGATGAAAGGAAAACCTACAGTTGTTTTAATTTGGAACCAAAATAATCACTTCTCTCCAGTGAGGCTTAGAGGGGGAAAAAATGTGCCAGAGTTGTCTTGTAGAAAAAAGAGTACTTTGAGGAAGGGCAATGCAGCAGGAAAAAAAAAAAACAACAAAACACAGTCAAACAAACGGAGAACCTTAGAGTGCATAAATAGGCCAGTGAAACACAGACCACCTGATCACATCGAAGCACACTGAGTGGGGGTCCTCAGCGATGTTGTCCCTCCGGCATGTAAACTGCATGCATGTGTGTAGTGGTGTGTGTGTGTATGTACACACAGAGATTTAACAGGAGCACAGAGGGAATTAGAAAGAGCCTGGCTCGTTTTTAATTTGGGTCTGTTTGCTTGCATTTAGCACTTAAGGGCTTCTACATTCAGTTTGCTCAAAAGAGTGATGAAGCACTCCTTGCTTATGCCTCAAATCAGAAATGCATGAAGTGCAGCTGCAGAGATAATACATTTTCCCCAAAGGCTTTGGCTGAGCAAATTAGGTGTCAATGGGGTGCCTGCGCAGGCAGTACTCTCTCTAATTAGTCTCTTGAGCCTAGTTGGTGGCGGGTATGAGATGATCTAATCAATTGGTCTGTGTCTGATGGTTCGTGTAAAAATCCTACCAGGCAGACTCTCTCCCACAGGTCACCCACCTGCACAGCGGGACTGCTCATTTTCATTTTTCATCTCCTCCATCACATGATGCTGACAGTTGGTTTTAAGAAAATTGAATCCAAAAAATATCTAGTTCATAGGGCACATGGGTCAGAACAAAGTTGCATTATGGGTACGGGCGATCCAATTAATTAATATTTATAGCCAAGAAGCTCTATGTAGATATTTCTGAATAAGGATTTTATCAATCAAATCCAATTTCTTGTTTAAAACATTCATTTCTAGAGAGAAAGAACATTGTAAAAGCTGAAAGCAAGATAAAAATGGCATCCACTAATCTTATGATTTATATACCTATGAGTGGCTATGCACATAGTTGAGCTTATAATTCATGTACACTGTTCATTTGTGTTGTGCATGCAACATGTTTTAATAATAAAGGTAAGGGAAAGAATTACATTGATATTATATTTCACTTCCCTGTGATTGTAGTATACCCTCTCTCCTTCCACCTAAATCCCCATTCATCAAATGCATGATTGCATTTAGATTTTCTTAAAAATTTTCCAGCAAATCTGACCTACCTTATATGCACTTATTGAAAATTGAAGCTGATGCTGCTCAAGGAGGGAGAAGGGACATCCCGTGCTGCTGGCTAACAGCACCAGGCAGGGTAGCTGGCACAATTTGGGCCATTCGGAGTCATCTCACAGAGATGGGAAAGAGTCTGCCTCTCATTGGCGCCTCTCTTCTGTTCTCATTATTGGCTTCTTCCATTAAATGTCTAAGCCCAAACCTAATCACTGTGTTCACTGTTTATTATCCAATTACTATTATTACATATTATCCTTTATTATGCAATTCTGTTTATGCCCTAGGTTAGGTACATGTGATTCTCCTAGAGATTACACTCAAAGAATCAGGACAAGGCAAGAACAAACATCATCGATGTCTAAAAAACATCTTAACCCAACAGGATAGTGAATATGCCATTGACTGTGGTGACAACATAGTTTATTGTTACGTGAAATTAGATGTACTGGAAATCAAATCATTCCTTTCAAATATAATGTCATGGAGTTAAAAAAAAAAATGTAAGTTTTGCCTACAGGAAGGTGTTAATCCTACCAACCATCCTCAGGCTGGTGGTGTATCTGTGAATGGCCTGCAGTGTGTGCAGTACTGTGCCATTTCACAGGCATCACATTTGCCTTCAGTGAATGTGCCATAGGGAACTCTACATATGAGAACATATTTCACCACCAAGTCTTCTGATTCTACAATTTCCCCTTTATTCATTCAACAACTGTATATTGAGTGCCTGAGCCGGGCCTGGGCTGTGCTCTGGGGACACAGCAGTCTACAAAATCAAGCTTAATCAAGAACATACTGATGCCACCTGTCCCCTGACTTGCTCCTTCACAGGAAGTGTCTTCACACCTCTGGAGGGACTAAATGAAGTCTCTGGTTCAGGAAGTCATTGTGGGTACCAGGTCTCCATTCTGTTGATTAAAATGGTAAAAGAGGAGAGAGCCAGGAAAGACTACATCATTTGGATATAGTTGTAGGAACTTCATGCCTGGGCAAGCAGATATCAGGACAGACCTAAAGCTCCCATTTAGCTGGAGTGGGCAGGCTTCCAGGAAGAGCTGGAATCTCAACTGCTGTTTAAAGTACATGGAAGAAAAAGGACAGTTTTGTCATCTGCTTAATAAAAATGTGAAGGCTGATAGTGGGGTTGAGGATTGGCTGAGGATGCCTGTGGACAAATGTGCTTGAAGTACTATGAGGATGAGTGCTTTCTCTTCTTGATGTCATGGTCCTCAAAAAGATGCCAGTGCCTAGATCAGAATGCATAGTTACATGGAGCAGCATGTAGAGCACGTTCTTCGTTTCCCTGAAAGAACAAGGGTAGGCTGGGGACAAAGGAGTTTGTTCCCATGTAATTATTTTTGCTAGGGTGGTGACTTCTTTAAGAAGAGGTTTGATAAAGGTATATCTGCACAATCAAGCAAGGATGAGGAGTGGTCAAGTGAGCCTTATGGAGAACTGCCCACAAGCAGCAAGGATTTGAGATAATAACTGTTGGGATGTAGAGGTAGCAAAGGGCCTATGTGTGGTATCCATTTACCCCCAGGCCTCTCCTGGAAACTTAAGGCTTTTGTTTTTGAGGACAGAGAACTCTCAAGAATAGAAGGTTACCCCTACCTCATACCATATACAAAACTTCACTCAAAATGGACCAAAGATCTAAATGCAAGGGCTAAAACTATAAGACTCTTAGAAGAAAATATAGGGGTAAATCTTCATAACCTTAGATTTCACAATGGATTTTTAGATATAACACCAAAAATATAAGCAACAAAAGAAAAAAAAAGATAAATTGCACTTTGCCAAAATTAAAAACTTTTGTACATCAAAGGACACAGTTAACAGAGTGAAAAGGCAACCTATGGAATTGGAGAAAAATCATACTATAAGGGATTAACCAGAATGTGTAAAGAACTCCTACAACTCAACAACGAAAAGACAACCCAATTTAAAAATGATCAAAGGACTTGAATAGACATTTCTCCAAAGAAGATATTCATATGGCCAACAGCCACATGAAAGAGTCCCCAACAGCTTGGGCATGGTGGCTCATGCCTGTAATCCCAGCACTTTGGGAGGCCAAGGCAGGCAGATGGCTTGAGCCCAGGAGTTCAAGACCAGCCTGGACAACATGGTGAACCCCTGTCTCTACAAATATAAAAAATTAGCCAGGCATGGTGATGTGTGCCTGTAGTCCCAGCTACTTGGGAGGCTGTGGTGGGAGGATCAGCTGAGCCCAGGAAGGTCAAGGCTGCAGTGAGCTAGGATTACATCACTGCACTCCAGCTTGGGTGGCAGAGCAAGACCCAGTCAAAAAAAAAAAAAAGATGCCCAACATCATCGATCATTAGGGAAATGCAAGTGCAAATCAGTTCATACCCACTAGGATGGCTATAATTTTTTTTAAACAAACAAATGTTTTGGCAAAATTGGAACCCTTGTGCATTGCTGGTGGAAATGTGAAATGGTACAGCCATGATGGAAAACAGTTTGGCAGTTCCTCAAAAAGTTAAACATATAATTTCCATATGACCTAGCTATTCCACTTCTAGATATATACCCAAAAGAATGGAAAACAGTGTTTAAACAAATACTTATACATGAATATTCAGAGCAGCACTATTCACTATTAGCCAAAAGATGAAACAACACAAATATAAATCAACCAATGAATGGATAAACAAACTGTGGTATATTCATACAATAGAATATTATTCAACCCTAAAAAATAATGAAGTACTGATTCATGCTACAACATGGATGAACTTCAAAAACATCATGCTAAGTGAAAAAAGCTAGACAAAATGGGTAGCATATTATATGATTCCATTTGTATATCTAGAACAGGTAAATCCATAGAGACAGAAACATTAGTATTAATAGTTGTCAGGGGCTGGGACAAGGAGAGAATGGGAGTGACTGCTTAAAGGATATAGGATCTCCTTTGGGGGTGATGAAGATGTTTTGGAACTAAATAGAGATGATAGTTGCACAGCATTGTGAATGCACTAAATGCCACTAAATTATATTCTTTTAAATGATTAATTTTTTATATAAATTTTGCTTCAATTTTTAAAAAGAATGGAAAGTTAACTTGCCAGAAACTCACCATAGTAAGTGGGGGAAATGAGCAGATGGTGGAGAGAATGCTCTTTTTATTTTTATTTTTTTTATTTTTTTGAGAGGGAGTCTTGCTCTATTGCCCAGGCTGGGGTGCCGTGGCACAATCTCGGCTCACTGCAACCTCTGCCTCCTGGGTTCATGCCATTCTCCTGCCTCAGCCTCCTAAGCAGCTGGGACTACAGGCACACACCACCACGCCTGGCTAGTATTTGTATTTTCAGTAGAGACGGGGTTTCACCATATTGGCCAGGATGGTCTCCATCTCCTGACCTCGTGATCTGCCCGTCTCGGCCTCCCAAAGTGCTGGGATTACAGGCATGAGCCACCGTGCCCGGCCACTATTTTAATGGTTCCTGAGCATAGGAGTGGAATTTCTGCTATCTGGACAAGGTATTGCTGGGTTGCTGCTATGCAGGGGTGATGTCCTTGATGCCACAGCCTGTGTGTGCAGCAGCAGGACAGGTGCACTGTGAAGTCTCAAAAAAAGGACAAAACCTTTGGGATCAGGCACCATCCAGGGTTCCCCCTGCATCTGGGAAGATGACTCTATGGCCCTGTAGCTGGAGACATGAAGGCCTCACCAGGCCTTAGTGACCAGCAGCTTCTAAACTTAGCTAAGGAACTGGTTCTGGGATTCAGTGCAGCTAATGAACCGATCCCTCAGCTATGTGCCTTGAACCTGGGAGTGTTTCCACCCATCCTGGCAAGGCATTCTTTTCCCATCCTGGAGACTCAATGAAAATGCTTAAGGGCCAAAAGGAAGTACGGAAAGGGACAGAGTGAAGCTTCCTTCTTTTTGCTTGAACCATTCACCCACAAGTTGTTATTGTTTTAAGCAGGCATTATTGGAAACACGCAGTCCTATACAGGATGTTGGGAAGAGGCTGCCAATTCAGGTCACACTGGCCAATTTTCATTCTGCTGGAACTGAAATAATGATAATAGGCAACCAAGGAATTATATACAGCTGAATTTTTTTAAAAGCGTGTTTGTGATCCGTTTTTCTATTTCATGTTCATAAAAATGAACATAATGATACGTCCTTTTAATGGTCTGTATGATGCTACAGGCACTTAATTAAGACCAGTATTGCTACTAATGATTTAGGGAAGGAAATTTGCTGAATTTCTTTTTCTCTAAATATCCAAGAGGAAGATAGACCAATTCAGTTGGTGGAGTTAAATGATTTTAAGAGAGGAAAGTGTAGTCAGAACATTTGTTTATCATATTAGAAGGATTTTTTTTTGGTTAAGGAGGCTATTCTGCTTCATATTTATGTGTTTGGAGTGGCTGTGGGGAACATCAGTGGACTCACTTTGGACTGACCAATTTTGATGTTTCATGTAATTTAGAAGAAATGAATGGTGTAGATTTTTTATATAACAATTTTCTATTTTCCTCCTTCCAGGATTAAGTTGTCATCATTCTGGGAAGAAAAAAAAAACATTAATGAAGAGGCCAATAATATGAAGGGAATCATGGATCAGTTTTCTTTCGCTCCCTGTGGTGGATTTCACTTACAAGAAAATTGAAGCTGGCAAGACCCTGTTTTCTCTGCAATTTATTTAAAACCTTGCACGCATTTGGATACCTTGTGATTTCCAAGAACTACGTGAAGATTAAGCTTTGCTTACTGATACATGGCATGTATTCTTTTCAGTCTTTTGTGTTTGATTTTGTTTGATTTCCCTCTGCAGCACAGCGTCTCTGTAAAGGTTTTTATGCTTTCACCAGCCATGTCTTAAATACATTAAGACAACACATTTGGTGTTCACACTTCTTCAGTAATGTCTGAACTTGAAAGCCACAGAGTGGCATAAAACAATGTGTGTTTTCTTTGAGAGCAGTGCACATTTTGCAACCACTAGGAAGGAAATTTTCTGCTAAAGCAAACCCCTGTTCTCTGACTTGACAACTTGGCCCCGGACTGTGGGGCCCCACCTGTTGCTTACCTTTTGAGGTAATTTTGCAAATGTGGTTTTTTTACTTGGAAATAACTGCACATTTATATATAGGATATTGGACTCTGCTTAGCATTTTCAAGCCACATAGCATGACTGTTTTTTGAATAGGTTGGAATTGAAAAAACAATTATCAAACGTTAAGAACAAAGACAGGGATAAATTGCTTACATTTCAACCTCTGGAGATTGAGGTAACTTTTTGTGTCTGGGTCTTGTCAACATCTAATTTTTTTCCATCCATTCTGTTACACTTTGTATTTTCTAACTGGAGAAAAGAGTGAGGAACAGAATGTTTTAAATCTGGTGCAAAAGAACTATATCTGCTGGATGAGCCTTGAAAGCAGTCTTGGCCTGTTAGGGCTTACAAAGTAAATTACAAAGTGATCCAGTTCAAAGTTTGCTTAGTTACAACAAAGCACCTTTAAAAAAAATACATTTTAAAAAAACATTCCAAGCCAATTGGAAGACATCATTGGGTTCTTACTTTAAGACATCTCCTGGAATAACTGTTCAAATGCAGGTTTTAGAAACAATGCAGGAATCTTGCTTTAAAGATGAAAAAGGGAATGGGCCAGCTTCCCTTACTCAAGGAGTTGAGGGACCTTGGAGGATGAAGGCGAGTATGTGACACTGGAGAAAAGTGGACCAGGCATGTCTTTTGCTTTGATCTGGAGGGAGGGCTGCCTGATGCAGGCCGGCTCCCAGTGGGGCAGGCCTCGCTGCAGAATGCCCAGTAGTACTGCGGCCAAGGGGACAGTTAGGAGACTTCATCTAAAGCATGAAACCTAGCTCCTCTACACACAAATTCCTATGGAAATACCTTTGTGTACAGTGTCTTACATTTTCCTATTAGTCAGAAAGAAGGAGAGAATGAGTGAGTGCTTGAAATGTGTCATACTGTTTTAGGATCAAGACTAGGAATTAGGAGCCAGGTTGACAAGGACTTTTTCTGAGAGTTGGGTGAGGGTAAAGCTTTTCTATAATCAAGCTCAATACACCAAGGAAACTGGATCCAGAATTCCTAAACTTTAAAATGGTACTGTCTGCGGAGTGGAGTATGGATGGTTATGTCAAAGTCATAGTTCATCCTATCCAGATGTAGCATTCATGGTAAACTTTTAAGTGCTAAGCAAGGAATTATTTACTGATTGGTTTTAAAGAGAGCAGAAAACACCCAAGTGTAGAATGTCTACTGTTTGCTACCTAGAAATCTTTTCCATTCCTCTTTCATACATTCCAACCCACTGGAAGTCTTTAGAGGTATTTTGATTTAAAGTATACTTAAATTAGGATTTCTTAAAGAAAACATAGGGAGAAAACTTTACATGCAATTAAAAATGGACTTTCCTGTGATTTGTTTTTAATCATTCATTTGGAGAAGAGGCATGACCTTTGTATTTCACTAAGTTTAAAGCAAGAGCAACTGATGATTAAATGTTGCTTTTTAATAAGGTTTTTAACTTGAAAATTTGAAAATATTTAATGTTGAAAGACTTCAATTAGGGCTATTAGAGTTATATCTCCCTGTCGTAGGCAGCTTCTTCGGAGAAGTGAAATATAACATTACTCAGTGGACGGAGAAATCTGTTTTGTTACAGAGACATGCCTCTCAGAAGGTCAGGAGGTTTTGAGTACCTATCCTTGCCACCCATACAGGAAATCCAAAGTTTGGTGTCTCTCTCTCTCTGTCTCTTTCTTTCTCTTTCTCCCCCCAAACCCCTCTCACTCCCTCCCTCCCTCTCTCCTTCCCCTATTTGCAATCATATTCTCCCTCTGCTTCTTTTCTCTTCTGCCCTCCTTGTGGGCAGTCATGAAAATCAATTCAGACTGTGTTGATTAGCAGATTTATTATTCTATTGAGAAAGCACTGGAATGTTTTGTGAGATTATTTTTATATGAAGGAATAGCCTGAACTCAAACAGATGGTAAGAATAGTACAAACACCTTAGCACATCACTGCACACACAGTATTCTGAAAGGAGATTTGACACTTAATTCCCATTTTCTTAAAATAACAGTTTTGTTGACTTAAAAATATGAGATACATAGGATGTGAAAAAAAATGTTTGCAGTACTCAGCAAAAAATAGGGTACATAAAGCAGGGTGGCTGTCCATCCACTGATTCTGGGGTGAGAAGCGATTTCTACCTCGCAAGAGTGACTAGAAAGTTTCTAGGAGCACCTCCAGGCTTGCAAAGAAAGTGAGGCCTCTTGGTATCCTTTCCTCAGTGTGTATATGACAGCCAGTATAATCAATACCCTAGGTTATGCGTCTATATGATACTCATCTGTGAATATTATTGGTTTTGTAATCTTTGTTATATAAGAGGATGTTTAGGCTGTATATACTGGGGTAGATTATTGCCTGCCCCTTATACATAGGAATATGCTGCATAATTGCGCATAACTTCCATCTCCCTTACTGGCTTGTAGGCAGAGGAAACTGTATATGTTACTGCCTTGTACTTTTCTCATACACCAAAAACACACCAAAAAAATCAATAAAATAAGCAATCTTCTATTCTCATTCCTTTTCCCACAGCAGCATATTTTAGAGGCACATACAAAACCTACATTCTCTAGTTGGGAGTGGATTTTTAAAGTTTTCCTTTTATCTTTTATTTTTTTTTGTATGATGCACTGAGATGTGTACTTTCTAACAGGGGATTGGTACCTAAGAAATGTGGTAGCATTATTCAGAAAACTATTATACTTTCAAATGACACATAGTAAGGAGAATGGAATAATACATGTTGCATATTTGTTACCAGTTGTAATTTGTCTGTATTATGAAAGATGTAATGGTTTGTCAGCTGTCACTGTTGTTTTCTTGTAACATGATATGGAATAAAGTATAGCAGAATCTCCGTACATGTTCTAGGTACATCTTCTTGGTGGATGCCCAGTAAGAGCATATACCATATCAAAGAAACATTGACTTAAAAACCTCTTGAACACAACCATTCTTACACAGTGAAATAAGAACAAATACACAATATGTGGGAAGGAGTGAGTTATCTGGAATGGTCCAGGAGTCTGTTAAACCCTCCCCTTTCCTTGATTTGCTGTGCCAAATTTATGTAAAGGAGTAGAGACCATGCGAAACAGATCTGTGAGCTGCAGGATCTTCACAGTTCCCCCAGCCCCTTCCTGATGTTCACACATGTCACATGTTCTGCCCATCTCAGATGGATCTGGAGCCTTTCTGGTTCTGTTTAATGGCAGCCCTATTTATCTTTTATTGCCTCCTTCTCTATTTTTTGCACATATTCAAAGATGGGGTGAGTAGGTTACCCTCCACTGAATACAAATACAAAAGCTTGAGTGTACTGGTGTTCTGCAAGAAGCATGACTGTTCTTTCTGAACTGAGCTTACTTCCCTGAACACCACGCAGGAGGCATCTGCACCTGAAACTGCAGGGCATTCTTGGGATCCCACGTTTGGATTGACAGTGCCAACCTGGGAGGCCAGTCCCTTTTCCATCATCACCTTTTCCTTCTTGTCAGATATGTCATAACCCCAAACAGGCCCCCATGATTTGATAAATTGCTAATAATGTTCATGCCAGGTATTTGGTGACTTAAAAGTGTTCACGGGCTGGGCGCAGTGTCTCATGCCTATAATCCCAGCACTTTGAGAGGCTGAGACGGGTGGATCATCTGAGGCCAGGAGTATGAGACCAGCCTGGCCAACAAGGCAAAACCCCATCTCTACTAAAAATACAAAAATTAGCCGGGCATGGTGGCGGGCGCCTGTAATTCAGCTACTCGGGAGGCAGAGGCGGAGGTTGCAGTGAGCCGAGATAGCGCCGCTGCACTCCAGCCTGGGCAACAGAGAGACTCTGCCTAAAAAAAAAAAAAAAAAAAAAAAAAAAAAGTGTCTCACAAGTTCACGTTCCATGTTAAGAGGACCCCCAAGACTCCCAGCTTTCTTCTGGGCAGACGTTTACCCACCAGGAGCAGCTACCTGATGTTTTCCTTCACCTGCTCTTCTCCTGTAACCTCTGTGATTTCAGTTTGTAAACCCTTCGCACAAAACCAAACATAGGTGTCCTCAGCCGATGCATATTTCTCTCCAGAAAAGCTCATGAGAGTGACCGCATCTTCATCCCCCAAGTGCTTCTTCTATTTCTCCTGAAGCAGTAAATCGTCTATACACAGGCAAACGCATTTCCAGACAGTTGCTGCCTCCACTACTGGATTCTGGAACGGGAGAGTGCATGGAGGTAGACGTCACAGTAGCCAAGGTAGAGATAATAGGCACATTTCTTAGTTAAATGGGAGCCATAAATCACCCTTGAAACTGATTAGAATTAATAGAAGTGTGAAATTAGTAACTTGTTCCAGGGAGTTGTTTCGAGGGAGCAAAATGTATGGCACTGTTTCACCTCCTAACAGCCACAGTAGCCTGTAGGCTCATTGTTGAGATCACTCCCAGCAGCCTTGCAGCAAGGTCACATTTTAGAGATGTAATCACATCAGCTCTTAGTAGAAGAAAGAAGGGGATGGAGGGTAGATATCTACAAGAGGCCAAAGAAACACCTTTGAGAAATATTTTTAACTTTTTTAATGTGGCAGTACAAATGTCAAGCATCATCTCAGTTTCATAATTGCCCAACGTTCCTGTCTTTCAGCGGGGCCTATTCCAGCTCTGCCAGGTTGGAGGACGTGATGTGTGCTCACTGAGGCAAGCAGTTCGAGTCAGGAGGGCGGCACTCCTATAGTCGCTGTTGGCCTCCCGAGTAAAGAGAAACCAGAGGGGAAGGTGTTGGAGCAACCTTGTGCCACTGGGTTAACACGTACAGTTGCTGAATAATGGCGGGCATTGTAAATCTCTGCAATGAGAACCCCACAGTGGCCCAGCAGCCTGCTGCTACCAGTGGGTGGTGGCGTTATGGGCATTAGCTTTGAGAAGCTTATATAGCAGAGGGGGATAGGATAAAGGACACAAATCAGGGAAAAACTGACAAGATTAAAAAAAAATCCAAGGCCTCGTATTTACTGTTCATCCCCCATGCTCTCGGTGTGCTATATTGTCTGCGTTGAGTCATGCTGAGAGAGAGCCAGGCACAATAATAGCTCAGAGCAGCCTTGCAGCCCCAGAGCCATCCTCTGCCAATGGTGCTGACTGTGCTAGTGGAGAATGGGATTCTGATAGAGCTGTCTTTTTTCTCCTTCCCTGCGAGACCACCAATAATTATGGAGGGCATGCTGCACAGATGGCGTAAGGGTTCCCCGTTGGGGTGTATCCTGAGAAGTGACCCAGCAGGGGTCCCTGCAAAGCTATGTGCTACATAGCGCAAGGTGTGCCTGCCTGAGAGATGCGGATAATGCCAGGGATACATGTTTGAAACAACGGTTCAAGGGTTTAGAGAGGTTAAAATGGAACTTAGCTTATAAATCATACTACAGTGAGAAACAATTAGTCTTTTGCCCCCTCTCCATCTTCAACCAAATCTCATCACTGGGTACCTTTCTTCCTCAAGAAAGGCTGTAATCCACTAAGATTCCCTGGGAAAAGCAGGCCAGTCCTGCAACCATCTTGCTTAACATTTGGGAAATTCAGACCTTCATGTATTTATTCCCTTAGCCCAGTGGTTCTTAGTCCTGACTCTCATTTGAATCACCAGGAAGTTTTAAAAAAAAAACCCCACCCCAAACCATTCAAGAAATATTATGGGTGGCGGGGGGTCTGCTTGGAGAAATCAACAGGTGATTCTATTGTGCAGCCAGCGTGAGAACTGCTAGACTCTTCCTTTCCTCCTGCCTGTCTGCTACTCTAGGGTGAGGGTCAGGAAACTGTTTCTATAAGGGCCAGATAGTGAATACTCTAGACTTCCCGGGCTGCACGGTCTCTTTCCCAGCTACTCACTTTGCTGCTGTAGTGTGAAAACAGCCATGAACAATACATACATGAATGAGCATGGATGTGTTCCAATACAGCAATTTGTGGACACTGAAATTTGGGTTTCATATAATTTTTACATGCCACAAAATATTGCTTTTCTTTTGATTTTTTTTCTTTTTTTATTATACTTTAAGTTTTAGGGTACATGTGTACAATGTGCAGTTTTGTTACATATGTATGCATGTGCCATGTTGGTGTGCTGCACCCATTAACTCATCACTTACATTAGGTATATCTCCTAATGCTATCCCTTCCCCCTCCCCCCCACCCCACAACAGGCCCTGGTGTGTGATGTTCCCCTTCCTGTGTCCATGTGTTCTCATTGTTCAATTCCCACCTATGAGTGAGAACATGCAGTGTTGGTTTTTTGCCCTTGCGATAGTTTGCTGAGAATAATGGTTTCCAGCTTCATCCATGTCCCCACAAAGGACATGAACTCATCATTTTTTATGGCTGCATAGTATTCCATGGTGTATATGTGCCACATTTTCTTAATCTGGTCTATGACTGTTGGACATTTGGGTTGGTTCCAAGTCTTTGCTATTGTGAATAGTGCCGCAATAAACATACGTGTGCATGTGTCTTTATAGCAACATGATTTATACTCCTTTGGGTATGTACCCAGTAATGGGATAGCTGGGTCAAATGGATAAGAACTATTTAAAAATGTAAAAACTATTCTAAGCTCACATGCATCATTAAAAAAATGCAGTGGGCAGTAATTTGCCTGGGGACTATAGTTTGCTTACCTTGGTTTAGAATACAGCCTTAGTAATGGGGTAGATAAGAACCACCCCTAACATTTGCAGGACCCAGGGTAAAAGCAAAAATGAAGGCCCACATACCATATATCTAAATATTTAAAGATACACACCCAACTAACAAAAAAACTAAACCTATTCTATTCTCTTACTTTGACAAATATGCCTTTATAATGAACTTGAAGGACAGATTCATGGTTAGATTCTTGGACTCCTCAAAGTTCCTCACCAAACTGTGGCAGTACAGAGGGAGCCAGTTCAGCTTGAGACTGACCTACTTCTTTTTTTTTTTTAATTGTGTTATTATTATACTTTAAGTTTTAGGGTACATGTGCACAATGTGCAGGTTAGTTACATATGTATACATGTGCCATGCTGGTGTGCTGCACCCCTTAACTACTCATTTAGCATTAGGTATATGTGCTAATGCTATCCCTCCCCCCTCCCCCCACCCCACAACAGTCCCCAGAGTGTGATGTTCCCCTTCCTGTGTCCATGTGTTCTCACTGTTCAATTCCCACCTATGAGTGAGAACATGCGGTGTTTGTTTTTTTGTCCTTGATACTTTACTGAGAATGATGATTTCCAATTTCATCCATGTCCCTACAAAGGACATGAACTCATCATTTTTTATGGCTGCATAGTATTCCATGGTGTATATGTGCCACATTTTCTTAATCCAGTCTATCATTGTTGGACGTTTGGGTTGGTTCCAAGTCTTTGCTATTGTGAATAGTGCCGCAATAAACATATGTGTGCATGTGTCTTTATAGCAGCATGATTTATAGTCCTTTGGTATATACCCAGTAATGGGATGGCTGGGTCAAATGGTAATTCTAGTTCTAGATCCCTGAGGAATCGCCACACTGACTTCCACAATGGTTGAACTAGTTTACAGTCCCACCAACAGTGTAAAAGTGTTCCTATTTCTCCACATCCTCTCCAGGACCTGTTGTTTCCTGACTTTTTAATGATTGCCATTCTAACTGGTGTGAGATGGTATCTCATAGTGGTTTTGATTTGCATTTCTCTGATGGCCAGGGATGGTGAGCATTTTTTCATGTGTTTTTTGGCTGCATAAATGTCTTCTTTTGAGAAGTGTCTGTTCATGTCCTTTGCCCACTTTTTGATGGGTTGTTTGTTTTTTTCTTGTAAATTTGTTTGAGTTCATTGTAGATTCTGGATATTAGCCCTTTGTCAGATGAGTAGGTTGCGAAAATTTTCTCCCATTTTGTGGGTTGCCTGTTCACTCTGATGGTAGTTTCTTTTGCTGTGCAGAAGCTCTTTAGTTTAATTAGATCCCATTTATCAATTTTGGCTTTTGTTGCCATTGCTTTTGGTGTTTTAGACATGAAGTCCTTGCCCATGCCTATGTCCTGAATGGTAATGCCTAGGTTTTCTTCTAGGGTTTTTATGGTTTGAGGTCTAACATGTAAGTCTTTAACCCATCTTGAATTCATTTTTGTATAAGGTGTAAGGAAGGGATCCAGTTTCAGCTTTCTACATATGGCTAGCCAGTTTTCCCAGCACCATTTATTAAATAGGGGATCCTTTCCCCATTGCTTGTTTTTCTCAGGTTTGTCAAAGATCAGATAGTTGTAGATATGCGGCATTATTTCTGAGGGCTCTGTTCTGTTCCATTAATCTATATTTCTGTTTTGGTACCAGTACCCTGCTGATTTGGTTACTGTAGCCTTGTAGTATAGTTTGAAGTCAGGTATTGTGATGCCTCCAGCTTCGTTCTTTTGGCTTAGGGTTGACTTGGCGATGCGGGCTCTGTTTTGGTTCCATATGAACTTTAAAGTAGTTTTTTTCCAATTCTGTGAATAAAGTCATTGGTAGCTTGATGGGGATGGCATTGAATCTATAAATTACCGTGGGCAGTATGGCCATTTTCACGATATTGATTCTTCCTACCCATGAGCATGGAATGTTCTTCCATTTGTTTGTATCCTCTTTTATTTCATTGAGCAGTGGTTTGTAGTTCTCCTTGAAGAGGTCCTTCACGTCCCTTGTAAGTTGGATTCCTAGGTATTTTATTCTCTTTGAAGCAATTGTGAATGGGAGTTCACTCATGATTTGGCTCTCTGTTTGTCTGTTATTGGTGTATAAGAATGCTTGTGATTTTTGTACATTGATTTCGTGTCCTGAGACTTTGCTGAAATTGCTTATCAGCTTAAGGAGATTTTGGGCTGAGACAACGGGGTTTTCTAGATATACAATCATGTCATCTGCAAACAGGGACAACTAGACTCCCACACAATAATAATGGGAGACTTTAACACCCCACTGTCAACATTAGACAGATCAATGAGACAGAAAGTTAACAAGGATACCCAGGAATTGAACTCAGCTCTGCACCAAGCAGACCTAATAGACATCTACAGAACTCTCCACCCCAAATCAACAGAATATACATTTTTTGCAGCACCACACCACACCTATTCCAAAATTGACCACATACTTGGAAGTAAAGCTCTCCTCAGCAAATGTAAAAGAACAGAGATTATAACAAACTGTCTCTCAGACCACAGTGCAATCAAACTAGAACTGAGGATTAAGAAACTCACTCAAAACCGCTCAACTACATGGAAACTGAACAACCTGCTCCTGAATGACTACTGGGTACATAACGAAATGAAGGCAGAAATAAAGATGTTCTTTGAAACCAACGAGAGCAAAGACACAACATACCAGAATCTCTGGGACACATTCAAAGCAGTGTGTAGAGGGAAATTTATAGCACTAAATGCCCACAAGAGAAAGCAGGAAAGATCTAAAATTGACACCCTAACATCACAATTAAAAGAACTAGAAAAGCAAGAGCAAACACATTCAAAAGCTAGCAGAAGCAAGAAATAACTAAAATCAGAGCAGAACTGAAGGAAATGGAGACGCAAAAAACCCTTCAAAAAATTAATGAATCCAGGAACTGGTTTTTTAAAAGGATCAACAAAATTGATAGACCGCTAGCAAGACTAATAAAGAAGAAAAGAGAGAAGAATCAAATAGACACAATAAAAAATGATAAAGGGGATATCACCACCGATCCCACAGAAATACAAACTACCATCAGAGAATACTACAAACACCTCTATGCAAATAAACTAGAAAATCTAGAAGAAATGGATAAATTCCTCGACACATGCACCCTCCCAAGACTAAACCAGGAAGAAGTTGAATCTCTGAATAGACCAATAACAGGCTCTGAAATTGTGGCAATAATCAATAGCTTACCAACCAAAAAGAGTCCAGGACCAGATGGATTCACAGCCGAATTCTACCAGAGGTACAAGGAGGAACTGGTACCATTCCTTCTGAAACTATTCCAATCAATAGAAAAAGAGGGAATCCTCCCTAACTCATTTTATGAGGCCAGCATCATCCTGATACCAAAGCCAGGCAGAGACACAACCAAAAAAGAGAATTTTAGACCAATATCCTTGATGAACATTGATGCAAAAATCCTCAATAAAATACTGGCAAACTGAATCCAGCAGCACATCAAAAAGCTTATCCACCATGATCAAGTGGGCTTCATCCCTGGGATGCAAGGCTGGTTCAATATACACAAATCAATAAATGTAATCCAGCATATAAACAGAACCAAAGACAAAAACCACATGGTTATCTCAATAGATGCAGAAAAGGCCTTTGACAAAATTCAACAACCCTTCATGCTAAAAACTCTCAATCAATCAGGTATTGATGGGACGTATCTCAAAATAGTAAGAGCTATCTGTGACAAACCCACAGCCAATATCATACTGAATGGGCAAAAACTGGAAGCATTCCCTTTGAAAACTGGCACAAGACAGGGATGCCCTCTCTCACCACTCCTATTTAACATAGTGTTGGAAGTTCTGGCCAGGGCAATCAGGCAGGAGAAGGAAATAAAGGGTATTCAATTTGGAAAAGAGGAAGTCAAATTGTCCCTGTTTGCAGATGACATGATTGTATATCTAGAGACTGACCTACTTCTTTTCACTTCCCATCCCCAGCTCCATCCACGATTTAAGGGGCCGCAAATGCATGTGTGTGGACATCCCAGCCCGCACATCCCCATTATCCATACCTTCAGCAAACAGCGCCTCCTTGGGCAGCCCTTGGGGATGAGGTACATGCCCTCTGGAGGGTGGTCTCAGGGAAGACTCCATTTGCAGAGTGTTCCAGGATCATGGACATCTGGAATATATGGAGAAGTGGGGGAGATAAGTTCCTGTTGGGCATGGCACTATGGATTCCTCATTTTGTAGAGAAGGGCTATGTCTACAGAAGGCTGTTTGATCATAGAAACCAAAATGGGGGCCCCTCTTGCCTGGGTCTAAGTGCACTACTGGTGAGTGGTAGGAGCCTAAGAAATAGCTCCAGTGTGTTTTCAGGTCCCTTGTGTGTTTCTTTGGCTTACTCTACTCCAAACTCATTAAAACAAGCCTCATCATAATGTGAGGCACAACCAAGGCAAGGGAACACACATTTTTTCAGAACATCTTTTGAAATTAAAGGATCTGGATGCTTGTCAGTCATGTACTGGAGGCAGCTGCTACCAGTTCACAAAAACCAGTTCTGAAATATTTAGGAATTTTGTAAGCCAGTCCTTAAATCATTGACAGCTTGAAATCAGATGGAAATATTTACACCACAAAAATTGGCAAACTCTGCAAATCATGTTTGGATTTTTTTGTTGTTGTTTTGAGAATAAGTTTCCAGCACACCACTACCTCCCAACCCCTCTCTTTCCAGCCTCATCTCCTGTGCCTCCATGTGCATATCCTCTGCCCTCACCATGCCGAAGTTCCCACAGATCCCTGGATGTTCCAGGCCTTCTCATGCTGCTGTTCTTTTGCACGCAGTGTTCTCTCTGATTGGAAAACCCTTCCCTGTTTTTTTGATTAAATTCCTATTGATCCTTTTAAGACCTTTTTCAAAAATTATCTCTGCTGTAAAACATTCCAGAACTCCTCTGAAACAGTTTCTCCCTCTTCCGTGTCCCCACATCACTTTCAAAATAGTACCATACCGGTCTTATTTTCAATCTCTGTATCCTCAAGCCTGAAAATGGTGACCAAGGTGTAGTAGATGTTTAGCCATTTTAAAACATATTAATCAATTATTAAAAGATAATGCAGATTAAATAAGAGTGAAATGGAAATTTTTTTCTTTCTTTCTAAGAAAGAACCCTTTCTTAGAAAGGGTTTAGTTGAAAGACTTCAAACAATGTAAGTATACTGTATGTATACCACATGTAATGATATGGGATTATATGCAAGGCAGGGCCTGGCTCTATGGGAGAAACCAAAGAGGAAAGATGTCTGCATGTCCTCGCAGGAGCTCATGATGCACAGAGGCAGTGATTCCTACACCTGGCTGACTATCAGAATGGCCTGGGGAGCTTTCTAAACATTCCTGCTGAATCGCAGTGGCTAAGGCTGCAGCCCAAGTGTATATACACTTCAGATTTTCCTCAAGTGATCTTCTGTAGGGACCCCATATGGAAGTTTAAATACATAACCTCCTAAGTGGTCTGTTTGCCTCCATCTCTGTCCTCCCTCTGTCCTCTCCACCTGAAGACTATTCCAATTGCAAATCACTTGTGCTGCATTCCTGCTTCAAACTTTCAGTGGCTCCTTCTATCCCCTATGGTGAGTTCCAAGCTCTGTGTAATGGCATTAAGCCCTCCACCTCGCTCTCACCGTCTCCCCTTCCTTTCTCTCCATTTTCATGTCCTCCCCCTGCCTCTCTGTCTTCTAGCCTCAGGGAATGCTGGGTAGTTTCCACTCCTTTGCTTAGCTTATACTTACCTTCTAGCCGGGATTCCTTCTCCTCCCTTCTCAGGTGGTCACATCCCACTACTGCTTTAAGACTCATCTTTTGCATCACCTCCTCCACGAAGCCTTTGCTGACAAGGCCCCTTCCACTGAGTAGCTGACCTTTTTCTCCATTTTTCCCTCCATCATTCATAGAATTTAACAGAGCCTACCTAAGTTTTTTTCTCCTGGACTAGACCAGCTAGACCACATTGCACAGCTCCCCTTACAGGTGGATGTGGCCAGGTGGCTGAGTTCTGATGCATGGAATATGAACAGAAGTGAGTGCAGCACTCCAGGCCTGGCCTATGAAGCATGCATCACATAATTCCCGTACTCTTTTCCTTTCGCACCAACTCTATGCAGGTGAACATGGAAGTCACATGTCTAAGAAGATGGAGCCACAGTATGGAAGAATTACCATTTGGAATTCAGCCACATTATAATCTTGAAGGGAATTCATATTAGCAAGATGTAAACTTCCATTGTAGATTAACTGTTAAAAAAACTTTAAAAGTTATTCTACACTAATGTATTCAACAAATGATTATTGAGTACCTACCACATGTCTGGGGTGTTCTGGGTGCTGGAGATATGATGGTGAACAACTCACAGTGGAAAAGAGAATTTTTAAAAAATACAATGCATAATTTCAAGTCGTAAGAGCTGTAAAAAAATGGAGTATTTCTACCATTCACTTTTTTTTTTTATTTTGAGACAGGGTCTCACTCTCACCCAGGCTGTAGTACAGTAGCAGGATAATGGCTCACCGCACCCTCCACCTCCCGGGCTCAAGCGATTCTCCCACTTCAGCCTCCCAAGTAGCTGGAACTAGAGGCACTCACCACTATGCCCAGCTAATTTATGTACTTTTTGTAGAGACTGGGTTTTGCCGGTTGCCCAGGCTGGTCTCAAACTCCTGGGCTCAAGCAATCCACCCATGTCAGTCTCTCAAAGTGCTGGGATTACAGAGATTAGCCATCACACCTAACCAACACTTTTAAAATTTGATTATAAGTACCCCTTATGTGCCTGCACACTAGAATCTGAGATTTTGAGGGAGAGTAGTGGATATTTTCATCTTTCTAACTATAGTTCAGTAAATGTTGATTAAATGAATGAAGTTACAAGGTGTAATGTGGCAGGGACAGTGAAACATAGTGCAAAGGGAGAAGAAAAAAAGAGGATATTCCTTCTAGCTGAAAGTAACTAGGAAGGCTTCATGGAGGATAATGGCGTCTAAGCTGAGCTTTGGAAACTGATTGCCATTTTAACACATACCTTACTGAAGTAGGGGAGAACATCACACTAGGATAAAGGAAGAACCCAAAAAAGACATAAATATGAGAAATGCAGGGTGTTTGGGGACATCGAGGCACTCTGCTTCAGCTGGTGCATAAGGTGTGTGAGAGGGACCAGTGAGGAATAAAACTGGGCCATGGAGACCCTAGGATCTAGACTCTAAAATGTTTGAATTTCACCCTGGATCGTCAAACAAAGAAATGATGTAATCTAGCCTTTGCTTTGGGACAAATCACTTTGGCCTAGGTTGCTTACCATTTTTCACTTCACCAAGCATCTGTTAAGTGCCTTCAATGTGTTAGACATTGAGCTAGGCACTACAGGTCATGAACTGGTGAGACACTGCCCTTCCCTCACAGTCTAGTTGGGGAAGACAACTATGTAGACACAATTTCAATGCAACAAATATGCAAATACAATTTACAGAAGTAGTACAGAAAAAGGTATGATATTTTGCTTTGGTTCTGGGGCAGAGGTGGGAGTGGGGAGAGTGTCTTGGAAGAACATATGTGAGTTTTCCAGCGAACATGGGCAGGCTTTCCAGACAGAGGAGTAAATGCAAGCACACAGAGGGAGGAGACACCATGTACGCCCATCATGTTAATTTGACCCTGATTCCAAGATTGCACAGTAAAAACATCAGTGTTCCAAATTTTCTCTATCGAACCTATTAATAAATAGTATAATTCAAGTTATCACTCAACTTTGAAATAACAAACACCTCCAAGGGAATTCTGCACACTGATTCTTCAGAGCTTGACCTCCCCCCGCCTCATTTCCCCAGAGCAGGGCTTTTCTGATCCCCTTCAGGACCTGGAGCTCCCTAAGGAAGTAAGATACCTAGTCTTGCTCATCTCATTTCTGCAGCTTGTATGGCCCAGTTCGAGGGTTCACCAGGTATTTGAGGTACAAAGAGATCCACTTTATGCACACAAAAAGCACATAAAGTGGAACCTATTGACAAGTGAGTTTTCCATGTGTTCACAGAGCAAAACAAAATATGAAATTCCCAAGTCTTTCCCATTTTCTGTGAAGTAGCGGAAGATGTATTGAATGAATGCACCTCTGATATGAATGCCACAATGACAACATGTGTTCTGATATGTTTTAATAAGACCCCAAAGGAAAGCCACACCTTGGGAGAGGCAGGCTGAATTAACCTTCAGTGTCTATGTCTATTATCTGCTAAGTGTACTAGATAATTCACAGTAGGTTGAAGAAAGCTTTATTTTTTTCCTGATGTTGGTCATTAATTTTAGGTGAGGTTGCATGCTTTCAATTGTTGCCAAAATTGAGAGCCCAATACAAATGTCATTTAAGGATCCTCATACTGCTCATTCTATATTATTTAAGATTAAAGTTTTATTCATAACTTTATTATTGCAATCATATTTTTGGTCATCTCATTCTGTGAGTGAGTTAACAGACCCTGAGAGTACAGATAAGTCCTGACTGAAATGTTGTCACCTTTCCACAGAGGTCATCAGCTGCCGTCTAAGGTCCTGACTGTCATTAGCTGATTGGCTGGGAGGGAGGGTTCACTGGGAAGCCTGGAGTTTGCACTACCATCTAAGCCTACATTTAGGTCTGAAAGATGAAGTAACATTTCCAAGATCACAATATTATAAGTGATAAAGTTGAGGCCTTAGTCCAATCATTTTTGCGGTTAGGCTGAACCCTAGAAGTGCAATGCAAATGCTGCCACTCCAGTTGCAAAGTAAATCTTTGAGCTAATGTCTTCCCTGTTTTTGATGACCTCAGTGTGATATTTAAACTCTGTGACAGACTATGAATGGGCACCCTTGTGCTGGTGGCTCTAACTCAGGAAATTATCTGTCCTTAATAGGATCACGTGAAGCCTCCAGATCTTATTAGAACTGTAATTTTTTTCAGCAAGGACTCCATATTTAACAACAACAACAAAAAGTAGAGACCAAGCATCAATTTCTGGAAGTAATAACAATGACTTAGGCTGGTGCATAAGGTGTATGAGAGGGACCAGTGAAGAATAAAACTGGGCCATGGAGACCCTAGGACCTAGACTCTAAAATGTGTGAATTTCACCCTGTATCATCAAAGAAATGACATAATCTAGCCTCTGCTTTGGGACCAATCACTTTTAGTTCTCCATCACACTAAAAGCAAGTCTCTGCCTGGTGCAGTGACTCACGCCTGTAATCCCAGAACTTTAGGAGGCCAAGGTGGGAGGATTGCTTGAGGTCAGGAGTTTGAGACCAGCCTGGCCAATGTAGTGAAACCTGGCCAACATAGCGAAACCTGTCTCTACTAAAAATACAAAAATTACCCAGGTGTGGTGGTGTGCACCTGTAATCCTAGCTACTCAGGAGGCTGAGGCAGAAGAATTGCTTGAACCTGGGAGGCGGAGGTTGCAGTGAGCTGAGATTGCACCACTGCACTCCAGTCTGGGCAGAAGAGGGAAACTCTGTCCCCCCGCAAAAAAAAGAAAGAAAGAGAAGAAAAAAAGCAAGTCTCTACCCATCCTCCTTGCTGGTGAGGACAGGAGATGGCTCTAGCTGAGCAGTCTTGCTGAATCCTAGGGAGGAGCAGCAGAGAGCACTAGACATGTAACTTCCCCACAGTCTCAGGACTCAGGGGTTGGGCAGCATTGCCTTTCATGCAGGGCAGTTAGTGGCCCTGCCCAGGCCCTGTGCTTAGAGGGCCCTGATCTAGCCCTCCTCTGCCTGTCCCTCCGCATGGTGTGAGGAGTCTGAAGGGCAAGGGTATGAGCCCTCTACAAACTGCAGATAGGGTCTGTATGGGCCTCTTCCCTGTTCTCCTGAAGGTAGACCATGACTGCCTTTATGAGCACCTCTACGCCTGAGGAGTGGATGAGGCGCAGCTGTTTGCATAGGCTGAAAACAGAGCTTGGATGTGTGAACTGGGGTGTCCTGCAGGTCCCCCACAGTTCAGGGAGGATCTGGGGATGGGATGAGAAGGGGCCTCCACGTGTGGTCCTGGGAGGTACAAATGTGCTAGAGTGGACATTGGGGGTTATTGAGAGGAAACCCCAGGGTGAACTAGACTAGAGTACCCAAAAGAGATTAGCAGAGCTGAAAAGGTTATTAGGGACTAGCCTTGAGGTTTAGTGTCAACAATTTCATGTGATGACAAGGGAGCCAAACAGAAGTAGAAAACCAGGGAAGAGGAGAGAAAAAGTGAGAAACAGAGTAGTCCGGATGAAGTCTGCAGATGTCAACCAACACTTAACAACTGGTGGATTTGCACAGCAACCTGGGATACCATCTTACTAAAGAACTCTGAGAATTGCCATTCACACAGAACAAAATGTGAGTGGTGCTTCCTTGTTGCAAATATTGTGGAATAATATTTGCTATTATTACTGCTATTACTATATAATAAATTGCTATATTTATTGCAATATAATAAATTCTCCCAACATTTAGTGTCTTGCAATGACAACCATTTTATGATCTCTCACACTTGCTATGGCTCAAGAATTCAGAAGCAGTTCAGCTGGTGGTTGTAGGTTACAGTTGCTCAGTGTAGCTGCAATCAGATGATGGCTGGGATTGGGTCATCTTTAAGGCTTTGTTATTGGCATATCTGGTACCAGAGTTGGGAAGACTCAAAGAATTGAGAGCTGAAACACCTGGAGTGGAACACCTCTAAATTAATATGGCCTTTCCACAAGGTCTCTTAAGCATGATGGTTTCAAGTTAGCTGGAACTTGAAATGCACCAAGAGAACATGCACCAAGAGAACAAGACAGCCAGGTGGAAGCTGTACTTCAGGGGTCCCCAACCCCCAGAGCTGTGGACCTGTAATGGTCCGTGGCCTGTTAGGAACCGGGCTGCACAGCAGGAGGTGAGCAATTGGCAAGTGAGTCTTACCACCTGAGCATCACCACCTATCAGATCAGCAGCAGCATTAGATTCTCATAGGAGCGCGAACCCCATTGTGAACTGCACATGTGAGGGATCTAGGTTGCACACTTCTTATGAGAATCTAATGCCTGATGATCTGAGGTGGGGCAGTTTTATCCTGAAACCACCCCCTGGCCCTTGTCCATGGAAATATTGTCTTCCTTGAAACTGGTCCCTTGTACCAAAAAGCTTGGGGACCGCTGCTGTATTAACCTGGCATTCCATTTGGTAGAAATGCATCACTAAGGCCAGCCTATATTTAATGAAAGAGAATTAGACTCCACATTTTGATAGAAGGAGTCTCAAAGAACTGTGGACATGTTCTAAAATCATAACAGTCTGCCCTCTGATGCAAGTTATTTATGTTGATTCCATATGCAAAATACACTCACTGACCCCCCTCCTAAGAGCCATAGATATCTCAGCTGTTACAGCCCCAGTCTCAGGGTCAAGGGCCAGTAGCTCATCATCTGAATCAGGCTCAGGTGCTGCAGCTGACACTCTTCAGCTTCAGATCCTCATTTACATCTTCTTGAGGACTGCTCCTCATCTCAAGATCTGTGAACTAAAGTGACAAGTTGTTTGCCTTCCACAAACCCAGCATATTTTGGTGGGCTAGACGTAGGACAGTCACTATAGACATTTCAAAAACAGAACACATATGGTAATCAGTAGTCCACAGCAGCTCTGAGATCCAGCCAGGAACAGGTTGCCAGTTCCTTGATTACAGCTCAGTAATCTCTCTAGGAATGATTATCCCTGGCTCTTGCCTCCATTCTCTAGGCTATTGGTTTCTCCCTCTGAATTATCGTTCCTGTCCTATTAAATGTTCCCCGTCTTTATGGCTGAGTGGTTTTCTCAGTCTGCTTCTTTCCCCTAGAATTTCAGAGGTCCAAAAGCCTCTTTTCATTTTGTACTATCTCTGTCTCTTTTAGTATAAATTGGCAATATTTTCATTAGTACACATCTCTTTAAAACTCTGTGTGTTTCTTATAAATCTAACTGGGATTCACTTGTAACCTCAATGAGATAAACTTTTTTCTACTTTATGCTTTTCTCTGGCTATTGTGGTACTTTGCCCTTAAGATTCTTGGAAGCATTTTTGTTTAGTAGAGATGGCTGAGAGGGATGCCCTTACAATCTTTAAGGGGATCTTTGACTGTTTGAAAAAAAGCCCATGAAGTACTTCCTTAAATCTGAGTCGTAACAAAGGATTCTAGAGTTACACTGTTGCCTTCATCTTTAAATGAAAATTATGCATTATAACGTTAGCCTCATTTGCCATCTGGAGAGGATAAGACTAAGAAATAGTTGTATTTTTTGGAAACCCACAGTCTTGGCTCTTTTATATTTAACAATTTTTTTCCTTACTTCATCTCTCTGCTCTCATATTTTACCATGGGCAGTTAGAAGAACCAGGCAGCACCTTCAACATTCTGCCTAGAAATGTCCTTACTAGATTGTGAGATCCTTAGGTATATTTTCTGTTTTCTGTGCTACCACAGTATCTAGAGGATATTGCCAGGCATTCTACCACCTCATAACCCGGGCCTCCTTTCCTCTAGCTGCTGATACATTTTGCTCACTTTTCTTTCATCTTTTACTGACAGCCTCTTCAAAACTCTTTGCATTTCCACCCTCCACTCAGGCCCCAAACCACTGTCACATGTTTTAAGTTTTGTTATAGCAATACCTCACATCTATCTATTGTTGTGAAACAAATCACCCTCAAAATTGGTGATGACCTAAAAATAAACAACTTAAAAAATGTTTCATGGTTCCTGCAAATACAGTATTCTGGATCAGCTTGTCTGGGAGGGTCTGGCATAAGAACTCTTGACATCAGATGATTCTGGGATTGAGATCCACTCAAAGGCTTCTTCACTCCCATATCTGGCACTTGCATGGGGAAGGCTTGAATAGCTGGGGCTATTCAACTACTGGATCTCTTTAGGCATCTTTCTGATTGTCTATATGGTCTCTCTCTCTCTCTCTCTCTCTCAAGGGAGAGAGCACCAGGCAGAAGCTTATCTTTTGTGAACTAGCTTTGAAAACCACACAGAATCACTTCTGCTACCTTTGCAAAATGAGAAGCAAATTGCTAAGGCCAGCCTGATATTTAAAGGGAGGGCAACTAGACTCCACCTCTTGATGGGAAGTGTTTCCAAGAATTTTCAGACATGTGCTAAAATCATCACACCTCTGGCGTTGAATGACACAGAGGCCCCATCCTAATACCTGTGTGCCTGCCAATCAGGAAGAGTTTGGTAGAAAATCCCAGACTGGGATATTCTTGGAATTCTGGGAGTTAGGTCTCCCGATTTTAAAATTACCTGCAACTGAATGTTATACCTTGTAATCACTTGGGAAACCTTTGTCTACCCTATTGCTTTTGAATCCTGAGGTGATAACTGCCCAGAGTCCCATTTGCCTCACAGGAAACCACGTGTTACATAGAGGAGTGATGCTGTCTGTCTCTCATTAGCTTCCTGCTTCCCAAAGCCAGGCAGCAACTGTCCCAAAGGAAAAATAATCTGCATCAAGTAGCCAACAAGCACTCTCTCCATCTCTAGTCTCACTAAGACTTGCTAATGCTTGGATTTGACTTAGCCTAGGTAAGTAGCTTTTTAATACTAATTTTTAAAAACCCTGCTGTGCCAAAGAATTAAATAAGCAGTCATCTAGCTTTAAATGTTTCACAAGGAACTAAAATAACACCTTTTGGGACAGGCAATCAAGTTTTCCACCCTACCTCATCCAAGGCAAAAAGAACTCTCTTGTCTACAAGGTTTTGATTGTGTAGAATGTAAGTTTTGTGGCCATAGCTAGGACAGTATACAGTCAATTTTCTAAATGTAAAGAAATGCTTGGGGAACAGGGATTTTTATTCACAGGCTAACAAATGAAAATGTGTATGTGGGTATGGGAGCTGGTGCAAGGAAGTGAGATATTCAACCCTTGGAGATGACAGGAGTCCCCTTTTCTGTATTTAGACTACGTCTCCGCAGTTCATGAAAATACATGGCTTGTTCTTTTCCCCTTTAAACTATTCTCTCTCTGACCTTCTTTTCCCCCAGCTTTATTTGTTTATTTTTAAAAATAACTGAGTCACATGTGATTCATTTCTAAAGCTTAATACTTATGCTCAAACACAAATCCCATTGTTCACCTCCTTAGGGAGAGTGAGCTACTCCAGAAGAAAAAAGTAGAGATTTTGTATATGTTTTTGATTCTGTGAATTTATATTAAAATAAATTGTGCAGAAAATGTGACAGACCTTTGAGTAATCTGAAGGTACTGTATTATGGACCAGAAGGGAAATGACTGAAATACACAAAGCTTTGGAGGGACCTGGGAGGAGAGATTTACATTCAAAGTTTTTTGCTGAATGTTCTTGTCGTTTTGAATGCTGAGAATGCATCTATTGTTCCAGGGGACTCCTGCATCGCCACCTTGTTCACTTTCTCTTCCCCATTGTTAATGAGTGTTGTTTGGAGCCTATGTGGTTTTAATAGAGACTCAGCTAAGGTAAGCTTCGGAGATCATTTGTTTGGTATAGAGTAAGATGAGTGGGGAAAAGTCAGCAGGAGGGAAGGGTTGGAAGGACAGTAGGCTCTGATGACAAAATATCACATGGAATCAGATCAACTTCCAGCTTTTAGCCTCTTAGTTTTAATCACATCTTTCCTTCCTGTGTATCAACAATATTGCTGCCAAAACCCTACAGCTAAGAGTGACATAAACATTCAAATCTCCCAAAGACAGATGGCAACATAAATCTCCATTGTTGCTTTCTTAGAGGATTCCTAGCCTATTGCCATGTGTGGTGAATGGGACATTAGAGGTAGCTATTTCCCACAAGAGCGCTTTTTAGATTCACCTTCAGCAAGTAAAGATGCTTCATTGTTTTGGGGGAATTTTGCTGGCTAAAATCCTAGGGATTACAACAGCAAGAGAAAGCTAATGCTTGAATGAAAGTCATCAGTTAGCAACTCCACAACTTCCTTTCTGTTTGGCCTCCCAGAATAACAGATGAGGTTGTTACAGACACTGGCCACCCACTACCCAAAAAGTCTGTCATGATTATACAGACTGGTCAGGCTAACAGGTTGCTTTAATCATAGTGAGGGAAAAATGAATGGCCAAGCCCTGTTTTGTTTTGTTTGAAATAGAGTCTCACTCTGTCACCCAAGCTGGAGTGCATTGGCACAATTATAGCTCACTGCAGCCTCGAACTCTAGGGTCAAAGCAATCCTCCCACCTCAGCCTCTCAAGTAGCTGGGACCACAGGTGCATGCCACCACATGTGGCTATTTTTTAAATTTTTTGTAGAGATGAGGGTCTCCCTATATTGCCCAGGCTGATCTCAAACTCCTGGGCTGTACTAGTCCACCTGCCTGGGCCTCCCAAAGTGCTAGGATTTCAGGTGTGAGCCAACACACTTGACCTAAGCACTGTTTTTGATCAGAAAATCTCAAACATATTTGAATCTGCAATCATGCACTTAACCAGAATATGGCCTTTTGCTGAATTTGCCTTATTTTAAAGCCCCACTTGTTCTATTCTATGACAGCCTTTAGTCAAGGCTGACTGATCTTCACTAAATACATTGCAGCCTTAACACATTTTTGGATATACTTAGATATTAGTCCCCTCTATCTGTAAATATGTCTTTGTTTGATTTTAGAAATCCAAATTTGCACATCTTCAGGTATTAATTATGGCTTTCATGGCAATCTGCATGACAGGAGGGGTCACTGAATGTGTCATTACTCTGAAGGGGATACCTGGTCCCTGGGATGTTCACATCTGTCTTGAGTGCCAGGGCAGAGCAAAATGAGCCCACATCAGTCTTAGGAGAGAGAACAGAGGAAATGTGAAACAGCCAATTTAAGAATCATACTGAGAACACTAAGACAGAATAGAGACCTGACATTTCATGAGACACATGGTACTGAGAAACAAAGATCTAGCTTTAGAAGACGAGATGGAGTCCATAATCTCTGGTTAAAATCTCTTCCTCCATGAACATAAATGTTAAAACAAGCAACTTCTCACTGCCAAGGAACTCCAGCGGAATTTAAACACATCCAAAGAAGGATGTATTTAAGGAAGGACCCTAGCACAAAGATGTACCTAGCATGCAGAATCCTTTGTTTAGAAAGATAATTGAAGCTTTCTAGAGATTAAACCAATTAAAACAAAGCACCTGTGTCTCACAGAATACCTCGAGTACTGTAATGGGTAATTCTCAGGGTTTACTCAGCTCTGAACTTGATTGAACATGAGCGTCAGTATTTCCACTGCCTCTATGAAACACAGGCCCTCAACATTTCCACCTGAACAGCTCAAGTTGTTCTTCCTGCCACTCACTCATCACCCTCCTAATCTTGCTCCATGATGAAGCTGAGGGAATCCTCAGAAGCCCTCACCTGCTGTACACGCTCCACTGGTTTCTCCTGCATTGGGGATCAGTCCATACCAGGCACCAGGGCCCTTCCTGACAGCACGCACCTCCTCTCTCTTGCTCCCCAGCTTGGAATTCAGTGCTCCCACCAGCCTGAGCACTGGCCTATTCTTTCTCTCACCTAGAGGCCTTTGTTGGGTACCCTCAACACTTCACTACACCACAACTCATACTCCATCTTGTAACTGTCCCCTCTGCACGATTTGAAGCTCTGCTTGCTCTACAGCAACATAGGGTCTGGAAATGACAAAGATGTGTCTCCCAGCTACATCCTGAGTTGTGGGGTTTTTTGTTTTGTTTTACTAGCTATTGCTTGTTTTTAAACTATATTTTCACAAGACTTGTGACACACATACAGAAATGGGTTTTTTAATATTACTGTTTACATAAAGGATAATCATGTAAACAAACCAGAGACTGAGAGGTGATTTTTCCCATTTCACCCTTCATTCCTTCTTTGTTCATTCCACAAGCCTTCTATGTGCAAGGCACTGTGTACGTAAGGAATGTTTGGGAGAGAAACAACCACCTGCAGCCACACTGTTTTATGGCCCTCTGCTTTAGGATTTTGTTTCTCCTACCTTCTAACTTATGTCCTTATGCACATTTATTCATTTACTTAAGAAACGTTTGTCAAGAACCAACTGTGAACTAGGACCTACGATGGGCATTGAGAACTCAGTGATAAACAGAAGTTGTCTCAGCCTCTGTTTCCATGAAATTTGAAGTCCAATGGCGAGGACAGGCAGTATCAAACTGTCCTATAACTATACAATCAAACTGCAATTACTGCAACAAAGGAAAAAAGAGGGTACAATGAGAAGATACAGCAGGGGGGCCTGACCTGGGGACTTAGGAAATGTTTCCTTCAAGAAGTAACTTTTTCACCGAGATCTGAGGTTAGAGGAAGAGAAGGAGCAGGTGAATTGAGAGAAGCCAGTTTTGGGAGTGGAATGGGCTGGGGATCTGTGGTGGTGAAGCTGGAGAGTTGGGCAGGGACCAGGGAAATTCAGGTCATATTAAGACTTTTAAAGAATGTGAAGAAAGGATGTGATCTGCTCAAATTGAGATTTCTCAGTTTACCATCCACTAGATTGTAGGTTCTTCATGTCCTGAGGCTGCATCAAACTCCAGCAGAGGGTTTTGAATGCAGTTGGTGCTAAACTGATACTGCTTGAGCAAGGGGAAAGGTTGTCAGTGCTGTGACCATGCACTGGGATGTTAATGGTGACCTATCTACTTCAGTGGATACTTGTACCTCCAAACCAGGAGATGCTGCCAGAAGCCACAGTGCTTTCCCCTAGGCCACACAGATCAGAAGTGAAGGGGCCGGGACACTCTTTTTTTTTTTTTTTCTTTTTGAGACAGGGTCTCGCTGTCACCCAGGCAGCATGCAGTGGTATAATCTCAGTTTACAGCAACCTCCACTTCCTGGGACTTAAGCAATCCTCCAGCCTCAGCCTCCTGAGTAGCTGGGACCACAGGTGCGAGCCACCACACCTGGCTAATTTTTTTTTTTTTTTTTTTTTTTTTTTTTTACTTTTTGTAGAAACAATGTTTCACCATGTAGCCCAGGCTGGTCTCAAACTCCTGAGCTCAAAGCAATCCACCTGCCTCAGCCTCCCAAAATGCTGGGATTACAGACATGAGCCACGGCACCCGGCCCACTCTATTTTCAGTTAAGAAATGTTTCAGTTTAGATAATTTCTCTAGAACAGAAAGAGGTCTGAGCTATCCCCTGTCTGGATGCTCATTAGGAGGGTCATTATTTGGCCACTATCTCGTCTGCAAAACATGTTGTGCATTATTCTAATGGCAGTGGGGCGAGTGGGGTGGGAAGTGGATTCTCTTTCTCTGGTCCTTCCAGCTCTTCTCTTTCACTCAGAGAGTCTGTGATAAGCGACACATGGTTCCATATTCCCCGACTTTGCTCTTTCATATTCTGAAGGCTTTCGACACCCGTTAATTCATCACCACCCACAGGCTGGCCAGTGGGAATTTGGGTGTCCTAGTGGGATTCTGACTTCTATGGGATTGACTTCTTTTATATCTTGGAATTGATGCTCAGCAAATATGGCAAATGCTCCCATTCTCTGCTAGAGAAAATGTCACCTTTGAGGTCATTAACAATACATTTGCCATCACCATCTTTAGATAGTAAGGGAAAGGCTTTTTGGAACAGAGAGAACAGATAGAGATAAATTTCAGAAGCCCTTTTCATGCAATAATGATTTTCTCAAAATGGAAACAGATTTCAAGGATCTTTGTCCCCTCTGGAGAAGCTTTTCTTCCCTGTGTGTGCACAGTATGTGAATATGATTATATAAATGCAGTGGGAAGACAAGCTCCTGATCACTCTTTAAATCACTTCATGCTATGATCTCATTTTTAAAGCCACTAGAAACCATCGTTGATGGCTAAATTACTGACATATTTTTAAACAGCTTCTGTATTTAGCTGTTTGGCTGTTTTCATCCCTTCTTCTCCCTCATGCCATTCTGTGATGCCGCCTCAGCCTCAGAGATTCAGCCTCAGAAATTCAGCGTGGCCGTCTGCTGAACACATGAATACTAAAGAATTGGTTTCCTTAGTAACAATAACCATGAGGCAGCTCGCAGAACTTCCTGCCTTCTGTCTGTCCGAATTTGTTTTCTGTTGGTCACATGGAAAAGACACCCAAACCGCGCCTGCCTATATAGGATGCACATAAATGTTGTGACCCATGAGCAGAAGGGAAACTTGTCTCTGCTGATTTCCTATTTCTTTTCTCCACATGTTTGTTGCCCTGTTCTGTGTGGACAGGGCTAAGCCAGGGCACCTGTGAAGGGCCATGGGCCATGTCGGAGCTCATCGTCTTTCTTCTAATAAAAATCTGGAACCACAAAACCATAATGCAAGACACATAAACGAGATGACCCTTTGTCTGTGGGTCACTAGTGTGGAACTTTACAAAATAGAATACATACCATTAACGATATTTTAAGTGCTAAAAAGAAAATGTTAATTGCATAGAGAAAGCTTTGCTGGTTTTCCAGGTTTGTTTTTCAAGCATCTTTCTGTTGTGAGAAATTGCTAGAACCAGTCCTGTGGGGCATATCATCGCACTTCACAAACTGAGGCTTAAGGAGGCAAAATGACTCCCGCACCGTGACAATGCTAGGCAGCTGCAGAGCCAGTAGTCAGACCCAGAGCTGTCTGAAGGCAAAGTCCAGGGTCTTAAGCACAGGCAGAGGGAAAGTGGTTGTCCAAAGTGCTCTGGTGTGATGGGCACACTGGCAGTTCGCTTTTGCCAGGGCATGAGATGTAGGGTGAAGTGCCGAAAGAGGCAGGCAGGCTAGCTCAGGGAGGCCTTGCCGATGAGTGTGGCTGTGAAGGGAACCTACAGAAGGGTTTTAAGCAATGTTGGCAAATGATCTGATTTGCATTTTGGGAAGATCGTTCTTGGGAATTTTGAGGATGGATTTGAGGGGCTAGAACTGGGGGCAAGGAGATCTGTTAGCCCCTTACAGTCAGTAGGCCTGGTAAAGAGTGATGTTGGCCTGAATCTGGGCAATAGGGATGGAAAGGAAGGGACTTCCCAAAACTTTCCCCACATGGATCCTTCTGCAGACGCCTTCTCCATCATCGCACCTGCAGCTGAGGCTTCAGGGTCATGGGGCTCTCTCTGAGACTCACATGCTCACAAGCGAGGGCTACTCTTGATTTTGTATTTTCAAATCTTTCTGATTTTACCCTACCCTTTCAGACCCCCCAGGGCATCTCATTTTCTTTTCAACTCCCAGAGTCTAGTACAGCGGGAGGCACTCAGCAAAAGCATGTTGAATGAAAGGACAAATGAATTGGAGCAGCTTCCAATTTCCCTCCATTAATAAAACCTGTGGTCCTGACCATGGCAGTCCTATTGCTGCCCTCATTCATAGGTGCTCTAGGAAGCTGGATGGATGCTCCCATCAAGCATGAGATATGAGCAACCTGGTTGTCACAATGCAAGCACTCACTGATAGATATATTGTATCATTTCCTCTCTTGAATTTGAAACTAAGTGACAGATGTCAAACTTCATTTAGACCCTGTGGCTAGAAAAAAACAGAACTCCAACAAACCATCATGGCACACGTTTACCTATGTAACAAACCTGCACATCCTGCACCCTTACCCTGGAACTAAAAATAAAAATTAAAAAAAAAAAAAGAATTCAAAATGTTATCTGTGTAGTTTCATATTTCTTAGATAAAGAGGCAAGGATGGGCCCTCTCTCCACAATGTCCTACCAAAGGAAAATAAGGCCAAAGTCTAACGGGATGGTAACCGTTTGAATTGGACACCACACAAAGAGATAGCAGAGATGTTCCAATCAGTTGAGGACCTGCTGTGTAGCGTTTTGAGGGCAGGCCAGTTCATAGCTAATAATTTTAATGGCTTCTTCCATCTGGTGGTATTAATTTGTCCTCGTCCTAAAATAAGTAAACATTTTAAAAACAAGACATAAAACCAGAACAACTGTGAGGTAAACTCAATGACATCAGCTGCAATGGAATGAAGCACACTTACTATTCTGTGGCCCAGTACTTTAGCAAATAAACCAAGCCTTCCTACTTTTTGTACTTGTTAACAAAAAATAGGTAAACCCCTTATCCACTTTTTTAAACAGCTTTACTGTTCTTCTGTGTTAAGTGTACAACTCAGTGATTTTTTTTTTTTTTTTTTGAGACAGAGTCTGGCTCTGTCACCCCGGCTGGAGTGCAGTGGCGCAATCTCCGTTCACTGCAACCTCTGCCTCCCACGTTCAAGCAATTCTCCTGCCTAAGCACCCCAAGTAGCTGGGACTAAGGTGTGCACCACCACACCTGGCCAATTTTTTGTATTTTTAGTAGATATGGGGTTTCACCATGTTGGCCAGGCTGGTCTCAAACTCCTGACCTCAAATGGGCTGCCCACCTCAGCCTCCCAAAGTGCTGAGCCCCAGGCATGAGCCACCACGCCCAGACCAATTCAATGATTTTTGGTAAATGTACAGGGTTGTGCCACCATTACCAGGATCCGATTTTAACACATTTCCATCACCCCAAGAAGATCCCTTATGATCATTTCTCCTGCACATTTTAAAGTTATGTAAAATTTTTCATCTAAATTTAAACAAGATTAATTTTTGTCAATAGGAGGTGGACAAATATTAAACTTCTAATATGAAGTGATAGATTGAAATTGGAGTAACTATTTAATGGCATGAGGGAGAAATAGACTTTCTCCTATTGAATAACATACCTCAAATCTGATAGAAATCATGTAAAATTTTATTTAAGATTTAGGATTGTGTCACTTGAAATCTGGTTCATAATAACAATGATAAGAGAAAAAATAAATGAATATAAATTGAATATTCTCCAGTGCCAGGGGCTGTACAAGCCCCTGCATTCATCTTCTCATTGAATCTTCACAAACAAACTATAAAGTAGATACTATTAATAGCCACATTTTACAGATGAGGAAATTGGGATTTAGAGAGATTAAATAACTTGCTGAAAGTTAGTTACATAGTCAATAAGTGGTGGAGGCATATTCAAACTCAGGCAGTCTGACCCCAGAGCAGGAGCTCTTGGCAAATTTTGTGTTTTCAAATACAAAATTTGAAATTTGATTTGCTATCTGACCATCAAAGGCAGCACTGCAAGTGAGTTGGGGGAAGGAGTTGCTGAGGGATGAGAATTCAGGCTGATGACCTTGCTATAATCCCTCCTTTCCCATTGATTCCCTTTCCTGCACCTAGCTCTACCACACAGCCTCTAGATCTACCACAGAGCCCCAGGTTTGGAATGTCTAAAGAAAGCTGTGCTCTCCCAAGGACTCCAGCTTGTGAGAACCGAACGCCATCCTTTAACCCAATGCTCCTTGGCATTTGCTGCATGTTGGGTAGCCAGAAGCCCAACTCAGTACCCAGCATCCAGAAGAGCAGGACTGAAATGGGCAAAAGATTCAGGGAAAAACATGTGCGGAACCCTATCCACCTTTTCTATGATAAGATGTGTTCCTGTTAAAGAAACAAAAATCTGCAAATAAATGCAAAGGCAGGGAATGACTGTAGCTTTCATATTCTCTGATGAGGAGGAGGCTTATGGCCTGTAAATCACTGACCAAAGGCAACAGACCACCACGAGGTCTCAGAAAAATACTGGAAAACACAACTAGTTCTTCAAAAAGCACACAATTACCATATTTTAGCATATGGATCCTCACTGAATTATTTCACAGTTATAATTAGGTTGTTAATGCAGTGCAGAATTGGACCATATAATAATTTGGTATATACTTTATCTAATCTGATGGAAATGCAACATTTAGAGGGCCTGGCTTTTTTTTCCCCCAGAAACAATTAAAAAGGTCTTTTTCAACTTAAGAACTTTAATGTCACATATCACATTCTTCCTTTTTTAATTGTGTTGGGATTTGGGGTGTGTGTATGTGTGTGAGAGAGAGAGACAGAGAGACAGAGAAAGAGAGAGAGAGATTCAACCCAAATTATGGGCTCAAGCCTTACACTTTCGTCTCTGATTTGTTTCCAGCAATCATTTAAGTTTCTTTTTTTTTTTTCTTGTTTGCTTCCCCCCTCCCGCCTTTTCCTTTTTGCCATTGGTGAACAGAAACTAGATTTTTTTCTCCAGGACAATTCTCTCTTCCAGTCATAGTAAATGCCAATTTCATTTCCATCTTATTATTTTTCTAATTAAACATTTGTCATGCAGAAGAAGATCTGAGGTGCCTGTGCTTTCCATTATGTAAAATATTCAGTTATGATCATCGCTCTGGAATGGTATTTTGAAGGTGTTATGGAAAGAAATCAAGGAAAATAAAATAAACTGTATTTTACCTTGGGCTTTTGCCGGTTTATTTTTTCCCTAGTTTGCCACAGTTTCTAATATTGACTGTCTCCTGTCATGAGGGATATCATCCTGCTTAGTATCCTTCAATGAGGAGAAGTTTCTAAAATCTGTATCTAAACATTTTTAAAGGTTTAAAATCTAACCCTATTTCATACAGCATTAGACTCCTTTCCCCTTCTTTCTTTTCTATCCACACTTAGCAAAATGTATACTTCCATACCTGAGGAAATGCACTTGAGTTCAAATTATTTCAGAACAAATCAGGAATATGCCAGATGTACAACCTGATATTTCTCGGACATTTTTTTTTCTTCTTATGACAAAACCCAAGGGGGTAGGCTCTGTGAAAGGAGAGTTTATTTTCTAAATTCTTTTTTTTTTCTTTGAGATGGAGTCTCGCTCCGTCCCCCAAGCTGGAGTGCAGTGGCGCAATCTCGGCTCACTGCAAGCTCCGCCTCCCGGGTTCACGCCATTCTCCTGCCTCAGCCTCCCGAGCAGCTGGGACTGCAGGCGCCCGCCGCCACGCCCGGCTACTTTTTTGTATTTTTAGTAGAGACGGGGTTTCACCGTGTTAGCCAGGATGGTCTCTATCTCCTGACCTCGTGATCCACCCACCTCGGCCTCCCAAAGTGCTGGGATTACAGGCGTGAGCCACCACGCCTGGCTATTTTCTAAACTCTTTAAACACAAAGCTTTTCCATTTTCTGGGGCAAGAGATTTTTCCCAAACATTAACAATCACATCTTACATCTATGTTTACATCCATACATTTATATCTATATGTTCCATATATGTGTGTATGTATATTATGTGTATCTGTATTATACTTTTATTTTATCTGTCTATTACTCTATAAAAACTTAGACTGTAATTTTTTTTTTTTTTATAACAGAGTCTCGCTCTGTCGCCCAGGCTGGAGTGCAGTGGCACCGTCTCGGCTCACTGCAACTTCCATCTCCTGGGTTCAAGCAATTCTCCTGCCTCAGCCTCCTGGGTAACTGGAACTACAGGCGCCTGCCACCACACCCAACTAATTTTTGTATTTTTAGTAGAGATTGGGTTTTGCCATGTTGGCCAGGCTGATCTCAAACTCCTCACCTCAGGTGATCCGCCTGCCTCAGACTCCCAAAGGCTGGGATTACAGGCGTGAGCCACCATGCCCGGCCTAGACTTTAATTTTTAATTATTTTCAGAGTTTACACAGAATTAGCTGTGACATTCAGTTTTATAAAGGTGGGACCATTTCCTCGCAAATTCTCACAATGTATCCTGAGACTTTGCTGTTGTGGGAAGAAAAGCTTGTGTACTTTCTGCAATTGCCACCTCCTGAAACACAGTGTGTACGGTGTGTGTGTATGTGTGTGCGCACTAGGCATTGTGCTGTTATTTGGATCTCACTGTGAGTAACTGTGTGTGTGGTATTAGGAAAATGGAAGATGCTGCTGTCGTGGCCCCTCCTAGATTCCATTTACTGAGCTAGTGACTCTGCTGCAGCTGCTTTGGGTGTTGGCTCCTGAAGGCCCGCAAATGCCTCTACTTCTGAGGAAATTGCCCTGTGCTAATAGGGGAGACACCTCACCCAGGAAGTTAGTGGGAGAAGGCCACAGCCAGTGACTGGTGGATAAGAGCATAGAAGACCAGCACCTTGGCCTCAAGAGGAAGCAATTCTGTGGTGTGGTCAATGTTTCAGAGCCCTCCCCCATGATCCAGGCCAAGAATGGAATTTCCATGAGACCACATCCTTCCCCTTCCCTCTCTGGCTTCACTGTCTCCTTGCCAGGATTTTCCTGTGGAGCACTTTCTCAATAAATCACACACACCCAATCCCTGTCTCAGGCTCTGCTCCAAGCAACTTCTTTCAGTTTTGGATATCCAATATCCTAATCGGTAAAACACGGATAATAATTTTTGCTTAGTCTATTTTTCAAAGTTTTGGTACAAATGGCAAATAATGTGCAAGAATTTTGTTAACAGCCAAAGGTGTAAAAATATTTCTTAGGCAACATGATAAATATTATTCATGTTAATATTTAACTTTAGCTTCCATGAAACTATAGCTGAGTTCCCCCAGCTTGGGTTTTCACACTTTAGGCTAATGTCCACTGTGTTCATTTTATTCCCCAGGAAGAGCTGGTTTGTAAGAGTTGCTGCCCTGTCTGCTTTGCTTTCTGCACCTGGGCTCTGCAGGGTAAGTGAGTGAAGGAGACGTGAGTCCAGTGAAGGGCCATGTCAGTCTAGAGAGCACACACCTCCAGCCAAAGGCTAAATAAACAGGAATTCAGACCTGGTCTTGCCTGATATTTAGAGGGTTTTAAGTGAAGCTAGCCACCAGATTTTTAAACAAAATCTCCAGATTCTTGAATATAAATATTTTTTTTGAGAACTCCACCCAGGCTGGAGTTCAGTGGCACAATCATAGCTCACTACAGCTTCAAACTCCTGAGCTCAATCGATTCTCCCACCTCAGCCTCCTGAGTAGGTAGAACTACAGGTGCGTACAACCACACCCAGCTCATTTTTTATTTTATTTTTTGGGGACACAGGGTCTTGCTATGTTGCCCAGACTGTCTTAAACTCCTGGGTTCAAGCAATCCTCCTGGCCTGGCCTCCCAAAATGCTGCGATCGCAGGCATGAGCCACTGTGCCTAGCTTCTAACAATAGATTTTTAAACAATTTTAACACCCTACTATTCAAGCAACACATGACTGGGGGCCTAACTGAGCTAGCAGTGTGTTACTTCTGTCCAGATTTTGGCCCTTGAAAGAACAGACCAGATGATCCCCACTGAGGCCTCAATATTCAGCACAACACTCAGCATAAGGCAGATGAAAGGCTCTGGATAAACAGGACCACCATTAGAAATATGGGTTTCCAAGGAGTTAAATAAAGGACTGCTGGTTTCAGTAAATAGCTCTCTACTTTGTAAAAATCACTAAGCATATGATTCTTTTCCCTAAACAGTATTACAACATATGCAGAGTTTTATTCAGTTGCCAGCTTGCTATTGCACAACTTTTCAAGGACACTGAGTCTGTTTCCTCGTGTATTAAACGGAAACAATTATGTCTGACCTGAAAATAAGTGAAAGCATGTAAAAATGCTTTACAAACAGTGATGATCAATCCAGATGGAAGAAATCATTGTTCTCTAAATTCTGCCCTGGGAGCTAAATCCCACACTCAGAAATTTTAAAACAAGGAACGGAGGCTTTCATCTTTCTTCTAACATAGTGTTTCCTTAACTTTAGTTGAGATTTTTGCTTTAAAAATGGCATTATTTTCTATTACTATTAATTACTTTTTATTTAAGTCAAATACATTCTTTTCCTCACTATCAGCCATCTTTTTCAACTACCAATTTTGTCTTTTTGTTGTTACTGTTTTTTTGTTTGCTTGTTTGTTTGTTTTTTGAGGCAGAGTCTTACTTGCCCAGGCTGGAGTGCAGTGGTGCAAGTTCAGCTCACTGCAACCTCTGCTTCCTGGGTTCAAGCAATCCTCCTGCCTCAGCCACCCAAGTAGCTGGGATTACAGGTGGGTGCCACCATGTCCGGCTAATTTTTTAATTTTTAGTAGAGATGGGGTTTCGTCATGCTGGCCAGGCTGGTCTCAAACCCCTGACCTCGGGTGATACTAACACTTTTTTTTTTTTTGAGGCCTCCTCATCCTCCCAAAGTGCTGGGATTACGGGCGTGAGCCACTGCACCCAGCCTCAACTACGATTTTTTTTTTTTTGGTCTAATTGAGACAGTCTTGTTCTGTTGCCCAGGCTGAAGCACAGTGGCACGATCTCAGCTCACTGCAACCCGCCTCCCGGGCTCAAGCAATTGTCCTGCCTCAGCCTCCCAATTAGCTGGGATTACGGTGTGTGCCACAACACCCGGCTTTTTTTTTTTGTATTTTTAGTAGAGATGGGGTTTCACCATGTTGGCCAAGCTGGTCTTGAACTCTAGATCTCAGGTGTTCCACCTGCCTTGGACTCCCAAAGTGCTGGGATTACAGGTGTGAGTCACTGCTCCCGGCCCTCAACTACCAATTTTATCTTTGTCCTAAGCAATAATATCCATAAATCCACAGGTTTCATGTCCTATATTTAACTTTTATACACTTACACACACACACACACATACATACACACATACATACACACACATGTGTGTGTAAATACATACATATGTGTGTGTGTATGTATGTGTGTGTATAGAATACGCATCTGTGTGCCACCTAAAATCAACTTGCTTATCACCAATTTTTTGATTCTCCCCTTTTGATATATTATGCTCCACTAGAAATAGTAAAACTTCATGGAAAAATTTTCTGCCTCTTTCAATTTATTAATTTACTTATTGAACATTTGTCAGCTACTGTCTATCCCACGTAAACCTAGAACAGGCAGGAGAGAATTAAAGTCACAGAGTTCCCCAACATTTTAAACTCCTCTAAAGAGCTTTGAAAGTCAATGCAGCTAATGAACTTCAAGTAGGAAACGCTCCAAATCTTCCTGCTCCAGATTTCTACGGACTTGGTAATGCTAGTGAGTCACAGAGGGTAAGCCTTAGAGAGCCATATTTGCAAAGTGCCTAAGATCTCTCAGACTCTACCCTAGGGGACTCTAGGTAGTGTCACAAGTGAGTTTTAACAGCAGAGTCTGGTGGCGCCTTCTCAACTGCTTTTATGCAGGAAGCTGTCTGCAACTATGTTCCTAACTACCCAAGCCCCCTAACATTGTAATTTCTAAGATTGGCTTTAGTCATTTTATAAGATAATGGCATTCAAACTGGTCTCCAGTAGGATATGAGACAATGTTAATAATTACAATCTGCATTTAGGCGGCGCCTCTCCTGGCAAGCACTAGAGTTTTACAAACGTTATCTCATTTTCATCTTCATGACACCCTTGTGAAGCAAGCTTTTTTTATTGCATTTCTACAGAGAGAGCAGCTGAGGCGTGAAGAGGTTAAATGGATTACCCAATCTGAAATCAGAGACCTCAAACCTGGTTTGATGTTGTCTAAAGAAAGTATTTGTAATGTGTTTGTGGGGGAGTTTAATGCTAAATGCAGAAAATGTCTCTGAAAATACTTACATTTAGGTCTGTAAACTCATAGACTCTTTAAATCTTGTATTCAATGTGGCATCAATGGCATGCACCTTCTCTAATTAGCAAACAAACATTGAGGCTTAATTCCAGAGTCTGACATACTAAATACTCTCTGCCAGATAACATAATAAATCTTTATGTAGCACTTGCATGCACCAGGCATTGTTCAAAGAGCTCTCTAAATATTAACCTATTTAATCCTCATAATGACTCTACGAAGGAGGTACCATTATACTACTCATTGTACAGGTAAGGAAACAAGCACAGAGAAGTTAGTAACTTGCCTAAAATCCCTCAGCTGGCAAGTGGCAGAGCCGGGATTTGAATCCACACAGTCTGATTCTTTTGATGAGAGCATTCTGCAGTCATTAGGCTTATAATAGTTATTTGTTGCAAATGTTCTGTTTCTCATTTACTCAAGCCAAAGTTTTTCCTATGTCAGTGGTTAGCCTCTTAACCCTATTTCAGGCAGAATCCTCCTATTTAGGCCAATGATTCTTTCCCCTCTGATTGTGTTTGTAATCTAGGTGATGGCTAGCTGGTATACTAGCAGAGTGAGTGGAAAAGGTGTCAGAAAAGGGTATCAGAGGCTCAGCGACTCAACCCATCTCATTAGAGTCAACGAGGCACCTCTTAAAAGTATAGAAGAATGGAAATCCTTTCTTCATTTGTGCTTTGGAAAAAGAAAAAGAGTAAAATTCTCCCACCAGTTTGCCCCAGAATTGGGATGAGTTGTTATAGTAAGCAAAGATGTTTTTCACAAGTGATTTATGCAATATACATTATGTTTGCTTTCAAAGTGCTGTACACATTTATTATCTCATTTGATCCTTACACAACACCCCAGTGAGGTAATCAGGAAAGCTATTTTTATAATAGCCATTCTACAGATGAGAAAACTGAGGCTCGGCGTCATTGAATAAACTTGTCCAAAGTCATCCAGCTAATGAGCTGCAGGAGCAGAGTATGGGCAGTGTCACATGTATTAATAAGCTCTGTAAATTATCTCACCTCATATTAAGCTTAATAGCTTCTGGTGATATCATTACTAAAATCAGACGTTTAAACAAATAAGTCAGAGCGATTCATCCTCAGGGTTGCAGACATTCAGGACACTTGAGAACATTTAATGATTTCCAGCTTCAGCTCCCTTCCTCAGTGAGAGAACATAAAACAGACTTTTCAGGGTCATGGAAAGGAGAAGGGCTTCCAGATGGCCACTTCTACCAAACCTGGGACGTGTACTTGCTTGTTTGCCCAGACACTGCCTACTGCCTGAATGAAGGGGAGCTCTAGTCCCGAGAAGAGCCATCTCCCTTGTTGCAGAAATGTGTCCCTCCTCCATTGCAGACACTGTGCTGAAGAATTCATTCCACCAAAGAAGGAATGAACAGGCAATTCCCTGGGATGAGTAATGTATGGGCTAGGAGTTGAACCCAGGAGGTCAAATCTGCTTTTACTTTCTCTATTACATGTTTTCTATAGAAAATTCGTTATTTTTCTCTTCCAGTCACTGGAACAATTGCAGTGAATTACCATTTGTGATTTAAGATATTTTGATACTTAGTCTGCCTATTTTTTACACATGCAATTCAATTATTTCACTAATGGGTAATGGGTCAGTATTCCAAGCATTGACTTCGCCCTTCCTCTGCATAAGATCTTTAGCTCCAGTTGACAGGGACCCAATTGTCTGATATGAGTCCCTTTGGCTTTTCCTCCCTGCTGCCTCAGGATCTCCTGGATTGTCTCCCCCAGATCCTCTTTCATAGGAGAGGTGGCCTCCTCCCTTCTCCTCAGCATTCTCTCTGTTGTCTGTAATTTCTCATTTGGTGATTTACCCACTCACACTATTATTACTTTTGTGTCTGACAGAATGTTTCCTGTCAAGTATCCTTTAAAGCCACTGACCAATTTCATTTATAAATTAAAATGCAGGCCGGGTGTGGTGGCTCCTGCCTGTAATCCCAGCACTTTGGGAGGCCAAAGTGGGCAGATCACTTAAGGCCAGGAGTTTGAAACCAGCCTGGCCAACATGGTGAAATCCCATCTCTACAAAAAATATAAAAATTAGCCATGCATGTTGGCACATGCCTGTAGTCTCAGACACTCGGGAGGCTGAGGCACGAGAATCACTTGAATCCAGGAGGCGAGGTTGTAGTGAGCCGAGATCACACCATTGCACTCCAGCCTGGGTGACAGAGAGAGACTCTGTCTCAATAGATAGATAGAGAGATAGATAATAGAGAGAGAGAGATAGATAGATGATAGATAGATAGAGATAGATAGATGATAGATAGATATAGATAGATGATAGATAGATAGATGGATAGATAGATAGATAGATCCTAAATAAAAATTGGAGCAACAAGGAACCAGAAAAATATCAAGATTAATATACCATTACCAAGTATACAAGGATTACTCTAAGATTGTAAGTATACTCCAGCATCAGGAAACCTATTAATGTAATTCACCATATTCATGGATTGAAAGAGACAAAACTCATATGACTATTCCACAGATGTTGAAATTTGATAAAATGTAACATCCTTTCTTGATAACAGCTCTCAAAGATTGGAATAGATGGACACTGTTTCTTTAAAATGATAAATGTTTCATCTCAAATGTCAGCTTTATTCTTTTTCTCAGGTTTATTCTTAATGGGAAAACAGTAGAAGTGCTCTCATTCAAGGAAGAATAGGACAGTTGGCCAGGTGCAGTGGCTCATGCCTGTAATCTATTTCCAACACTCTGGGAGATCGTGGCAGGAGGATGGCTTGAGCCCAGGAGTTCAAGACCAGCCTGGGCAACATGGTGAGGCCCCACATCTACCAAAAAAAAAAAAAAAAAAACTTAGCCAGAAATGGTAGCACATGCCTATAGTCCCAGCTACTCAAGAGGCTGAGGTGGGAGAATTGCTTGAGCCTGGGAAGTCAGGCTGCAGTGAGCCATGATAGTTCCACTGTATTCCAGCCTGGGTGACAGCACAAGACCCTGTCTCAAAAAACAAAACAAAACAAAACAAAAGAATAGGACAGTTCCAGTATTATTTAATATTGTTCTGAAAGTACGAGCCACTATAATTAGACAAGAGAAAGAAATAAAATACAAAACAGCAAAGGAAAAGAGGTAAAATTATAATTATTGGAAAATCTTAGCTAATCAACCATAGAACTATAACAAACAATAGAAGAATTTGATCTAGATGTGTTATTCAATGTGTAGAGATATGGACATTCTCACCTTTTGCTGGTAAGAGTATAATTTGATACCACTTATATGGAGGTTAATTTGGTATCAACTATCAAATGTAAAATGTATATACCTTTTGGCTTAACAATTTCATTTCTAGGAATATATGCATGTACATGCACATATGCAAAATGATATAGTTACAGGATATTTATTGCAGCTTTATTTTTAATAAATGATTAGAAGCAAATGCCAATGAATAGGAGACTGGTTAGATAAATTATATCACGTAATAGAATATTATATAATCATTAAAAAATGAGGCGGCTTTCAGGGTGTTGAGTATTGGTGTTAACTATTTCTACAATACGTTGGTAAATGATGAGAAGGAGGTATAAAATCACATGTAAAGTAACTTTCCATCTGGACGTAAAAAGAAAGGAATGAAAAAAAGACAATACATATGTTTGTGCTTTTATGTAAATACCTAAGAAACTACCAAAAGTGGGTGCATCTGGGAGTGAAACTGGGTGACTGAAAAGTAAGAAAGATTCATTATTTTGCTATTGGTTTTTGGTATAAATTGTTAGTAAAACAGTTTTTAAAGTATTAGTAAAACAAAAAATACTAAGAACCAAAATAAACAAATAAGCAAAAGACCAAGAAATCCACTTTCTCCTAAAGAAATGGAAAAGAAATCCACATGGAACCTGCTTCAGTATCCATTGCTGTATAACAAACCATCCCAAAACTGAATAGCTTAAAACAACAAAAATTTATTATGCCTTACAATTCTGTGAGTTGACTTGGCTCAGCTGGGCAGTTCTGCTCCACAGGGCATAGCTGAGATCACTCAGGAACTGCACTCAGTGGGGAGCTTGGCTGGTGCTGGTACTCACAAGATGGTGCTTCAACCTCCAGAACCTTTCCATGTCTTCTCATGGTTCAGTAGTCTACTGAAGCTGCTGGATAGCATGGTAGCTGGCAGAGCACAAACATGGCAGCTGCCTGACGTTTGAAGTCTTAGGCCTGGAGCCAGCATGGTATCACTCTTTCCTCATTCTACTAGTACTCAAAGACCAACCCAGATGCAAGGGATGGGGAAATAAACCCCGTATCTTGTTGAGACGAATGGCAAGGAATTTGCAGCCGTCTTTAATCCACCACAGACCTCCACATTTGCTCAGCTCAAATCACTACAAGTTATCACAATATTATTTGGAATTATTTCTTGAAGTGTTAATAAATCTGGGTCAAAATCTCATCTTGTGCAGCTTTTAGTAGTTACTGTTTCTCCAAAAGAACAAAAAAGCTCAATTTCTGGCCTTAGGTTAATAGAAAAATAATTTATAGAATCTTAAAATTTAAGACCTGCTTTAAAAACTGTTTAAAATTCAGTTAGAATTTATATAGGTCTGTTTTATAGATACAAAGATCAGGTGGCACATCTATGAAATCTAGAGAAAGTGGGTGAAATGAATTTTCATCAACTTTTTTCTTTTCAAAAAGAAAAACCAATATGTTTCTGCAAAAAAGATGAGTATTTCTGGAAGGCAAAAACAACTATAAATCAGAGGTGTCAACTAGCATTATTACTAACTCTAGAGAAGAGCCTGCTCTGGATGCCCTGCCCAGAAACTCCTTGCTGGCCACCAGGAGTCCCACTGACTTCCCAAGAAAGCTGATAAAAAGGATGTAGGGCTTGAGATAAGGCCTCCAATCCACCAGAGTGAAAATGCCCTGTCAGCTATAATCCAGCCTTCTCACCAGTCCTCAAATATGTCTTATTTCTTCTTGCCTCTGAGTTTCTGCAGATGCCATTTCTCTGTATCATGATGTCCCACACTCTCCTTCCCACATTTTTGTTTCTCATTTTGACTTAGCTAACTCCTTTATCCGTCAGGTAATGGGATTATATTTCTCATCCACAGTGAAACTTTCTTTGATCCATCCCCTTCCCAAAACTAAGTCAGATGCTCTTGGGACAATTACCACCTCTGTTATATAGAAAGTTTTGCAGAAACTGCCTGACCTCTTTTCTGGGGCCTTCACCTGCTGCTCAGGGGTGGCCCTCAACAGCTATGTCTGTCCTCTAACACCAACATCCCTAGCTCAGTCCAGTTAGTCCAAAGGCAGACACTAAATACAGGGTGGACCAATGACATTCCCTTTTTAACTGAAATGATTACAGTTGTTGATAACTAAGTCACACTAATGAAACATAATAGAAGGAAGATTCACAAACTGTTGCCAAAGAGGTAGAGCTAATTTTGTTCCTGCACTTGTTTATCTCTTCCTTGGATCCTGTTAGACTTCTCCAGTCTCTCCCATGAATTCAGTTCTTTCATGAAGTTTTCCAGAGTTGTCTATAACTCCCGACCAAAAGACTTAACACAATTTATACCAACTGGCATGAACTCACACTTGCATGCATGATTGAATGGTTAAAGTATTTGCCCTATGTCCTTTCTTGGAGCTAGAATGTAAGTTCTGTGAGGACAGGGAAGGTGTCTGCCTCGTTTGGTGTTGCATCTTGAGTACCAAACAGAGTGCCTGGCACACAGTCAGCACTTAACAAATATTTGTTGAATGAACGAATTGATGGAAATAAAAGACTGATGCAACTCTTTGGGAAGTGCCTGGGAAAGAATGACTTCACTTTGGCTGGATGAGAGGTTTAAGGGACCATTGTGGATTTGGATTCCATGTTAGTGAGAAATGCTTTGAATTGAAACCTTTGATTAGATTGCTCAGGTAGTCTCTTAGCTCAACTTTTGGAAAATGATGTCTCACAATCCTATCTTATTTTGTGGGAGGAGGAGTAAGGTACAAACACCTTGTCTACATTTGAATGCCAAGATTGGCTGAAGGAGATTTCTCACCATGGACAGGAAAGTCTCTCAAAATTGAGTCTGGGCAGGAGGGGAAGATGCTCTGGGACGCATAGGACATTGCAGGACTGTGTGGCCCATTATAGACCCATTCCTGAGAGGGCAGCTGTGCAGCAGGAACAACCCTGATGTAGCCTCTGGTGGTTACTATGTAAGGACAGAGCAGCCATGACAGCCATTTTCAGCCGGGAGAGCTGCTGGTGGGTAGATGGGAGTGAGAAGATAGGGGAAATCCCATTTCCTGTCTTCACCAGTCACCACGTATAAGGCAAACTGGAAACAGGGCTGGCAGGGATGACATTTCAGTATCCAAATTGATTCTAAAGCCACAGAGCTCTGGGGTTGGCCCCTCCTCTCCAAGCTGTTAACACTTCATGGCTAGTATCCCAAGAGTTATACTCTCAGCTGCATGCTGAGGTATTTTAGTAAAAAGCAGGGCTCCTGCAGGACACAGGTTTTTAATTCATCACAGAAGTGCATCTCTTTGTAATTTTATATTTTTTGTAGCACATGAGCCCACCAGATAACTTGGTCTGATGTGTGAAAATTGACTTCAGGAAATGAGAACTTTGTATTTTTATGTTTTAGCTATCTACTTTCTAATCGTCCTGAAAGGTGAAACAACTTTACATTAGAATATGTCTTGATAACAGCCAAACTGTGGATGAAAAAACATTTCTAAACTATGGAATGATATCCAACTAAGAGTCAAGGACAGGCTGGGGCAGGCACAGTGGCTCACATCTGTAATCCCAGCACTTCAGGAGGCCGGGTCAGGATGACCTCTTGGGGCCAAGATTTCAAGACCAGCCTGGGCAACACAGCAAGATCCTGTCTCTACAAAATTTTATAATAATTAGCCAGATGTGGTGGTGTGTGCTTGTAGTCCTAGCTACTCTCTGGCCAAAGCCAGAGGATTGCTTGAGCCCAGCAGTTGGAGGCTGCAGTGGGCTACGATCACACCACTGCACTCCAGGCTGGGTGACAGAGTGAGACTGTGAGACCCTGTCTCTCTTAAAGAAAAAAAAAAAAAGAAGAGAGCCAAGGAGGAATGTCTGATTTCCCAACAGTCACAATCCAGTAACCCTCAGGCCTAGTGACTCACCTCATTCTTCGTGGGGAGGGTTCCAGCTCTGCCAGTTCAAGTTTGCCCAATCCTGTTAGGAAAATACTCTGCCAATGTACAGGTGTCTATGTAGAGGTGAGACATTTTTGTCAATTACCATGGGTTCAAGACCACCAAATCAATTTTAGTAACAATTTTATTCAAAACATTTCTTAATATTTGGTGAGTGCCTATAGCTTTAAAATGTTTGTTTAACAGTTCTTAAAAGGCCTTACTCTAGTTAGCTGAGGGGGAATTCTATAGGCCAGTGGCTAAGCTCCTACATGCTGTAGTCAGACAGCCTTGGTTCAAATCTCCATTCTCATGTTCATTAGGATGTGACCAGTTCCTTAACCTCGCTACACCTCATTTTCCTCTTCAGTGAGATGGAGATAATAATAGGACATCCCTCATAAAATTGATTAACTAGCACATAGTAGGTGCTTAATAAATGTTATTACTCCAGCTATCTTTAACCCTGATAATAGAAAATTATTGTATAAATTCAGCTTTCTTTGTGCGGCAGTTTTTAAAAACTGCTACAAATTCTCTGACACTGTTCCCCTTGAGGCGGTGTCTGTGCCCTCCACTTGCATCTGGGCAGGATTGTGACTGCTTTGATCATTAGAATCTATCGGAAGTGGCACTATGTAATGTCCACGGTTCAGTCATAAAAGAACATGCAGCTTGTGCCTTGTTTGCTGAAACAGAGCCACCAGGTAAAGAGCCCTCGACTACCCTAAGGCTTCCATGCTGGAGAGGCCACTAGTAAGCACTCTGGCTAACAGTCCCATCCGAGTCCAGCCATCCGGAAGTGGATCTTCCAGCCCCAGCTGTTTCAGTCCTCAATTGCTCTAGTTACCCCTGCTCCCCATCAGCTGTCGGAGTCCTCCCAGCTGAGTTCTCAGACTGTGGAGTACAGACAAGTCATTCCCACTGACCCTGGACACATACCTGGCCCCATGAATCATAAGCATAATAGAATGGTTATAATTTTATGCTACTAAATTTGGGGTGATTTGATACACAACAATAGGAATATGGAACATTTCAGAAATAATGGATATAGCGGTAACAATGGGATAAGAGGGAAAATTTAACCATATCGAAATCATCAGATCCTATCTTGATCTATGTGCACATTTTTCAAACACATATATAGTGTCTAATGATTGCAAAGTTCACTTTCGAAGCTAAAAGTTCTATGTTAATCTGCAGGACCTGCAGCAAACAGAATGTCATATGAACTCCACAGTCTGAAAGGGCCCAAGGGGAAGCACACTAGCCCATGTAGACAGAGATTCCCCTTGCTTCTGTTCTTGAGAGAACTGAGGGGAAATGAAAGCTGAAAATAAAAGCCCTTGGTTTAAATGGATCCCCATTGCATTTCATCCTATCAGATCAATAATGCAGAGATTCCTAAAATCAATGTGCTGGGGCAGTTTTAACAAATGCACTTGCCTGTTCATTAATATTCTGACTTTTAAATATAAACACACATACCTCTTTGTTGTGATAAGAATTACAGTATATTAAAGACAGCAAGATAAACACTACCCATTAGGTTATCAGTTTAATTTTATAAATGAGGAAACTGAGGTTCAGTAAAGCAAGAAAAACTTGCCATGATAAAAGAAACAACAATGCCTTTTACCCAGCACCAAAGAATATGCCAATATCCAGGCCTTTCTTTGGATGCAGAAATAAACATGAAAATGCTGAGTACATCCCCTAAAGTTCTACCCCCGGTTCAACTCAAATCATAGGAAAGCTACATATTAAATTTATGGTTTTACCTCCCTACGTGAACACCTTCCCTGATCTAAGATGGATTCACCATTGCAGCCTAGTTTTCATCATGGTTAGGTGTAAGAAATGGCCTTCTGTCATTGCCTGTATGGGGTTTGATATATTTCACACTAAAAGATCCAAATGGCTGTCTTAGAGCTAGGTTCATAGAAGAATTTTGTATTTCCTAATGATCTTGGTTTAATTAGATTACAAAAGCTCTGGAATGGATCTTGTTTCCCTTGGCATGCGGCTGTGTTAATACATGTGGTAACCGCATGTGAATCCTCTTTCGTCCATTGACAGGCTGTGTGAGCAAGTCACCTTCCTAAGACTCCATTTTTGTATCCTGAATGAGGGTGACTATTCTACAACCTGCACCAGAGTTGTGAAGATTAAACCAGGTACTATGACATGATGGCAACTTCCACACAGGAAAATGCTTTTTCTTTTTCTTTTCTCTTCTTTTTACAAAAGCATGATGATCTTTTCAGCTAGATTTCTAATAAAGTACAAACAGCTGAGTGCTTTTCTTTATCCTGGCCAAAAAATTATTGTCATATGTGAAGCAAAAATACCTGGGTACATGCCCCATTTGTTCTTTTTTGAGGCAGGGTCTCACTTTGTCACCCAGGCTAGAGTGCAGTGGTGCGATCACAGCTCACTGCAGCCTCAAACTTCTGAGTTCAAGCAAAGCTCCAGCCTCAGCCTACCAAGTATCTGGAATTATAGGCATGCGCCACCATGTCCGACTAATTTTTAATTTCTTTTTGTAGAGACAGGGTCTCTCTATGTTGCCCAGGCTAGTCTTGAACTCCTGGCTTCAAGTGATTCTCCCGCCTTGCCCTCCCAAAGTGCTGGGATCCAGGCATGAGTAATAGCACCCAGCTTATTTGTTCATAATTATAATTCCAAAGATATTTATTATTATTATTATACCCTAAGTTCTGGAATACATGTGCAGAATGTGCAGGTTTGTTACATAAGTATACACGTGCCATGGTGGTTTGCTGCACCCATCAACCTGTCATCTACATTAGGTATTTCTCCTAATGCTATCCCTCCCCTAGGCCCCCATCCCCCAACAGGCGCTGGTGTGTGATGTTCCCCTCTCTGTGTCCATGTGTTCTCATTGTTCAACTCCCACTTATGAGTGAGAACATGCGGTGTTTGGTTTCCTGTTCCCGTGTTAGTTTGCTGAGAATGATGGTTGCCTGCTTCATTCATGTCCCTGCAAAGGACATGAACTCATCCTTTTTTATGGCTGCACAGTATTCCATGGTGTATATGTGCCACAATTTCTTTATCCAGTCTATCATTGATAGGCATTTGGGTTGGTTCCAAGTCTTTGCTATTGTGAACAGTGCTGCAATAAACATATGTGTGCATGTGTCTTTATAATAGAATTATTTATAAATCTTTGTGTATGTACCCAGTAATGGGATTGCTGGGTCAAATGGTATTTCTGGTTCTAGATCTTTGAGGAATTGCCACACTGTCTTCCACAATGGTTGAACTAATTTACCCTCCTACCAATAGTGTAAAAGCCCTCCTATTTCTCCACATCCTCTCCAGCATCTGTTGCTTCCTGACTTTTTAATGATCACCATTCCAACTGGCGTGAGATGGTATCTCATTGTGGTTTTGATTTGCATTTCTCTAATGACCAGTGATGATGAGCTTTTTTTCACATTTGATGGCTGCATAAATGTCTTCTTTTGAGAAGTGTCTGTTCACATCCTTCGTCCAATTTTTGATGATGTTGTTTGTTTTTCTCTTGTAAATTTGTTTAAGTTCTTTGTAGATTCTGGATATTAGCCCTTTGTCAGATGGATAGGTTGCAAACATTTTCTCCCATTCTTTAGGTTTCCTGTTCACTCTGATGATAGTTTCTTTTGCTGTGCAGACGCTCTTTAGTTTAATTAGATCCCATTTGTCAATTTTGACTTTTGTTGCCATTGATTCTGGTGTTTTAGTCATGAAGTGTTTGCCCATGCCTATGTCCTGAATGTTATTGCCTAGATTTTTCTTCTAGGGTTTTTATAGTTTTAAGTCTTTAATCCATCTTGAGTTAATTTTTGTAAAAGGTCTAAGGAAGGGGTCCAGTTTCAGTTTTCTGAATATGGCTAGCTAGTTTTCCCAACACCATTTGTGAAATAAGGAATCCTTTCCCCATTGCCTGTTTTTGTCAGGTTTGTCAAAGATCGGATGGTTGTAGATGTGTGGCATTATTTCTGAGGCCTCTGTTCTGTTCCATTGGTCTATATATCTGTTTTGGTACCAGTACCAAGCTGTTTTGGTTACTGTACCCTTGTGGTATAGTTTGAAGTCAGGTAGCATGATCTCTAGCTTCGTTCTTTTTGCTTAGGATTGTCTTGGCTACACAGGCTCTTTTTTTGTTCCATATGAAATTTAAAGTAGTTTTTTCTAATTTTATGAAGAAAGTCAATGGTAGCTTGATGGGGATAGCATTGAATCTATAAATTACTTTGGGCAGTATGGCCATTTTCACTATATTCATTCTTCTATCCATGAGCATGGAATATTTTTCCATTTGTTTGTGTCCTCTCTTATTTCCTTAAGTAGTGGTTTGTAGTTCTCCTTGAAGAGGTCCTTTACATCCTTTGTAAGTTGTATTCCTAGGTATTTTACTCTCTTTGTAGCGATTATGAATGGGAGTTCTCTCATGATTCAGCTCTCTGTTTGTCTATTATTGGTGTATAGGAATGCTTGTGATTTTTGCATATTGATTTTGTATCTTGAGACTTTGCTGAAGTTGCTTATTAGCTTAAGGAAATTTCAGGCTGAGACGATGGGGTTTTCTAAATATACAATCATGTCATCTGCAAACAGAGACAATTTAACTTCCTCTCTTCCTGTTTAAATACGCTTTATTTCTTTCTCTTGCCTGATTTCCCTGGCCAGAACTTCCAATACTATGTTGAATAGGAGTGGTGAGAGAGGGCATCCTTGTCTTGTGCTGGTTTTCAAAGGGAATGCTTCCAGCTTTTGCCCATTCAGTATGATATTGGCTGTGGGTTTGTCATAAATAGCTCTTATTATTTTGAGATATGTTCTATCGATACCTGGTTTATTGAGGTTTTTAGCATGAAGGGGTGTTGAATTTTACCGAAGGCCTTTTCTGCATCTAATGAGTTAATCATGTGGTTTTGTCATTGGTTCTGTTTGTGTGATGGATTATGTTTATTGATTTGCGTATGCTGAACCAGCCTTGCATCCCAGGGATGAAGCCAACTTGATCATGGTGGGTAACCTTTTTGATGCGCTACTGAGTTTGCTTTGCCAATATTTTATTGAGGATTTTCATGTTGATGTTTATCAGGGATATTGGCCTGAAATTTTTTTTTTGTTGTGTCTCTCCTAGGTTTTGGTATCAGGATGATGCTGGCCTCATAAAACGAGTTAGGGAGGAGTCCCTCTTTTTCTATTGTTTGGAATATTTTCAGAAGGAATGGTACCAGCAACTCTTTGTACCTCTGGTAGAATTCGGCTGTGAATCTGTCTGGTCCTGGGCTTTTTTTGGTTGATAGTCTATTAATTACTGCCTCAGCCTCAAAACTTCTTACTGGCCTATTCAGGGATTCAACTACCTCCTGGTTTAGTCTTGGGAGGGTGTGTGTGTCCAGGAATTTATCCATTTCTTCTAGATTTTCTAGATTATTTGTGTAGAGGTGTTTATAGTATTCTCTAAAGGTAGTTTGTATTTCTCTGGGGCCAGTGGTGATATCTCCTTTATCAGTTTTTATTTTGTCTATTTGATTCTTCTCTCTCTCTTATTAGTCTGGCTAGTGGTCTATCCATTTTGTTAATCTTTTCAAAAAACCAGCTCCTGGATTCACTGATTTTTTGAAGGGTTTTTCATGTCTCTATCTCCTTCAGTACTGCTCTGATTTTAGTTATTTCTTGTCTTCTGCTAGCTTTTGAATGTGTTTGCTCTTGCTTCTCTAGTTCTTTTAATTGTGATGTTAGAGTGTCAGTTTTAGATCTTTCCTGCTTTCTCCTGTGGGCATTTAGTGCTATGAATTTCCCTCTAAACACTGCTTTAGCTGTGTCCCAGAGATTCTGGTACATTGTGTCTTTGTTCTCATTGGTTTCAAGGAACTTATTTATTTCTGCCTTAATTTTGTTATTTACCCAGCAGTCATTCAGGAGCAGGTTGTTCAGTTTCTATGTAGTTGTGTGGTTTTGAGTGAATTTCTTCATCCTGAGTTCTAGTTTGATTGCACTGTGGTCTGAGAGACTGTTTGTTATGAATTGCATTATTTTGCATTTGCTGGGGAGTGTGTTACTTCCAGTTATGTGGTCAATTTTAGAATAAGTGTGATGTGGTGCTGAGAAGAATGTATATATTCTGTTGATCTGGGGTGGAAAGTTCTCTAAATATCTATTAGATCCACTTGGTCCAGAGCTGAGTTCATGTCCTGAATATCCTTGCTAATTTTCTGTCTCATTAATCTAATATTGACAGTGGGGTGTTAAAGTCTCCCACTATTATTATGTGGGAGTCTGAGTCTCTTTGTAGGTCTCTAAGAACTTTCTTTATGAATCTGGATGCTCTGGTATTGAGTGCATATATATTTAGGATAGCACTTCTTGTTGTATTGATCCCTTTACCATTATGTAATGCTCTTCTTTATCTTTTTTGATCTTTGTTGGTTTAAAGTCTGTTTTATCAGAGACTAGGATTGCAACTCTTGCTATTTTTTTGCTTTCCATTTGCTTGGTAAATATTCTTCCATCCCTTTATTTTAAGCCGATATGTGTCTTTGCAGTGAGATGGGTCTCCTGAAAACAGCACACTCGTGGGTCTTGACTCTATCCAATTTGCCAGTCTGTGTCTTTTAATTGGAGCATTTAGCCCATTTACATTTAAGGTTAATATTGCTATGTGTGAATTTGATCCTGTCATTATATTAGCTGGTTATTTTTCCCATTAGTTGGTACAGTTTCTTCATAATGTTGATGGTCTTTACAATTTGGTATGTTTTTACAGTGGCTGGTACCCGTTGTTCCTTTCCATGTTTAGTGCTTCCTTCAGGAGCTTTTGTAAGGCAGGCCTGGTGGTAACAAAGTCTCTCAGCATTTGCTTGTCTGTAAATAATTTTATTTCTCCTTCACTTATGAAGCTTAGCTTGGGTGGATATGAAATTCTGGGTTGAAAGGTTTCTGCCAAGAGATCCGCTGTTAGTCTGATGGGCTTCCCTTTGTGGGTAACCCGACCATTCTCTCTGGCTGCCTTAACATTTTTTCCTTCATTTCAACCTTGGCGAATCTGATGATTTTGTGTCTTGGGGTTGCTCTTCTCAAGGAATATCTTTGTGGTGTTCTCTGTATTTCCTGAGTTTGAATGTTGGCCTGCCTTGCTAGGTTGGTGAAGTTCTTCTGGATTATATCTTGAAGATTGTTTTCCAACTTGGTTCCATTCTCCCCATCACTTTCAGGTACACCAATCAAACATAGATTTGGTCTTTTCATGTAGTTCTATATTTCTTGGAGGCTTTGTCCATTTCTTTTCACTCTTTTTCCTCTAATCTTGTCTTCTCACTTTATTTCATTGGGTTGATCTTCAATCTCTGTTATCCTTTCTTCTTCTTGATCGATTCAGCTATTGATACTTGTGTATGCTTCATGAAGTTCTTGTGCTGTGTTTTTCAGCTCCATCACGTCATTTCTGTTCTTCTCTAAACTGGTTATTCTAGTTAGCAATTCATCTAACCTTTTTTCAAGGTTCTTAGCTTCCTTGCATTGGGTTAGAACATACTCCTTTAGCTTGGAGGAGTTTGTTGGGCTCCACCAAGTTTGAACTTCCAGGCAGCTTTGTTTACACTGTGAGAGAAAAGCTGCCTACTCAAGCCTCAGTAATGGCTGACACCCCTCCCTCCTCCCAAGCTCAAGCATCCCAGGTCAACTTCAGACTGCTGTGCTGGCAGCAAGAATTTCAAGCCAGTGGATCTTAGCTTGCTGGGCTCCATGGGGGTGAAATCCACTGAGTTAGACTACTTGGCTTCCTGGCTTCAGCCCCCTTTCTAGGGGAGTGAACAGTTCTGTCTTGTTGGCATTCTAGGTGCCACTGGAGTATGAAAAAAAAACTTCTGCAGCTAGCTCAGTGTCTGCCCAAACAGCCACCCAGTTTTGTGCTTGAATCCCAGGCCCCTGGTGGAGTAGGCACCCAAGGGAATCTCCCGGTATGTGGGTTGTGAAGACCGTAAGGAAAGTGCAATATCTGGGCCAGAGTGCACCGTTCCTCATGGCACAGTCCCTCACGGCTTGCCTTGGCTAGGGGAGGGAATTCCCTGATCCCTTGTGCTTCCCGGGTGAGGCAATGCCCCACCCTGCTTCGGCTCACCCTCTGTGGTCTGCACCCCCTGTCTAACCAGTCCCAATGAGATGAGCCAGGTACCTCAGTTGGAAATGCAGAAATCACCCACCTTCTGTGTTGATCTCGCTGGGAACTGCAGAGCAGAGCTGTTCCTATTTGTTCATCTTGCCAGTCCCCCACCCCAAAGATGTTATTTTAAGAAATATTTGTACCCACACTTTAGAAACCATAAATTGACTTCCCTGTTACCTTCGGCCAGGAGATTTCAGGTTAAAGCAAGAAACGAACAAGAAGAAAACGATTTGATCAGACTGTAATTTTAACAGATGCATAACATTATTTCCCTCATACACAAACAAATCATCTAGAAGGGAGAACAGAAATGTTGACTTACAGAAGCACAAGTCTTACTTATTCTCCTAAAATGTCTGCACTGAAATGATTGCAAACTCAGCACCCCACATCTTAGCCAATCAGAGAGGCCTCTTTAAACACATGAGGCGTAAGGTTTTAATTTACAAGGACCCATCTCTATTTCTTTCCCAGGGCCTCGAAGAAGGACTACATTCTAAATCTAATATAAATGCCTGTATGTTCTACAAAAGTTTTCCCAGATAGTGTACACCATTTCCAATTGCACAATGACAATGACAACAGAACTAATTAAAACAGAGTCATGAGGTACTTTTTATATGCACTTTTTTTTTTGGCGAAACTGATGTTTAAGTAATGTATTTAGCAAAGTCTCCTATTATAGTTTAATCTTTTAATTACAAGAAAATTTGGGTTAATTATTATCCTACCTTGATGAAAATTCAGTGATGGTGATTTTTCCCCTTTCATACTTCTTATCTTTTTTTTTTAAATAAAAAATGTGTTTTGTGAGATTTGTGTACAAGTAATCCATGATTCATATTTAGAACTACTGAGCCACACCTTTATATTAAATCTTTGAGTCTTGCCATGTTTAAAATGTAAATTATAACAAATTATGGCTGACTCTCAAATAATAAGTTAGTTCAGGATCTTAATATCAATCAGGATCTTAATATCAATCAGCTGTAAGTACTCTATAAGATAAAAGTCAAGGTAATCACACTGAAAATCTCTTTTGATAAGTGGTTTTACAGAAAGATAGATAAATAAATATATATATATATATTTTTAAAGAGAGTCTACAAATTGAGCCTCTGTGTGTGAATGAATTCAATAACTATTTTACCAATGTCGAGAGCAGATTTGTATGAGAAAGAAAGAAAAAACAAAGAAAGAAAAGACATTCATTTTTAGAATTGTTGCAGAAGAATACAGATGTTATGGAAAATAAGAAATAGCTTATGTAGTAATTTCTGGGTTGGAAATTCAAGAAGAAATGAAATAGAGAACTATGCTGAAAGCTTTAGTAGAGTTATACCTAATGTGTCTCTACAAAGACAATATAATAGACCCCTAGGTGGTGCCACCCAGAAAGAAGGGAATAGTATGGTCTGAGTTTTCTCTACCACCATCAGCTCCCTAAGCAATCAACTTCCCTTCACTAGGAATTCAAGAAGAGTCAGGAACTCAAAGCATAGCAGGCCAAGTTCTCACTTTCTACAACTGACATTCAAAAGTAATATAGGGTGAGAGTCCAACCTTATAAAATAAAAATTCAAAATATAGTAGGTCTAATTCAGCATTTTTCAAGTTGAATCTCACAGAGCATTAATGTCAAGCAAAATATTGATGCAGTGTAATATATATGTGTGTCTATGTATGTGTGTATGTATATACATGTGTGTATTCCAAGTGTGTGTATGTATATGTATATTCCAAATGTGGGAAATACTAAATAAGAAAAAAGTTTAAAAGGGTTCTTAAGCTCAGCAATTCTCAGAGATTATATTAGGCTAATGTGAATCTCCAATAAGGACACAGAATATGGCCTTTTTCCAAACTTATTTGAACAAATTTATTTCACAGAATGCCTTTGGAGAAGATATTGTATTTCACAGAACACAGTTTGGAAAATGCTGGTCTAACTCATTAGTGAATCCCAGCATTTAAGCCCCTAGCATATATATCCTGGTATAGAAAACTATGTTAAATACCGAGCAATCATCTGGTGTGCTCCCAGAAACCACATTTTCTTCTACAATTTTTTCAGTGGACATGATCACATAATGTTACTAACTGGAAGTCCATGGACCTTGGTCAGACACAAGCCCCACTCTGGCACTTACTGGCTATGGGATCTTGTACAAATTACTTAATTGTTTTGAGCCTTCAATTCTTCATCAATCAAAAGGAGATAACATAGGGAGGCTGAGTGGGAGGACAGCCTGAGCCCAGGAGTTTGAGACCAGCCTGGGCAACACAGCAAAACCCTGTCTCCACAAAAAATTAAAAAATTAGATGGGCATGATGGTGCATACCTGTAGTCCCAGCTACTAGTGAAGCTAAAGTGGGAAGACTGCTCAAGCCCAGGAGTTTGAGGCTGCAGCGAACTATGATCCTATGATCATGCCAGCTTGGGAGACAGAATGGGACCCTGTCTCTAAAAAAAAAGAAAAAGAAAAAAAAAGGGATAAGATAATTAGTACCTTCCTCAAAGTTTAAGCAACACAACGTATGGATACATCGTGCAAAATAACACCAAGTATACACAGTAGGTGTTCAAAAATATAGTCTTAACCTGTGTTAATCTCTATTCTTCAACAAAGACAATTCAAGTCAGCCACTCACAAGCCAGCAAAAAAGCAACTCACCTAAAAGCTTAAGATCCTTCAGGTTGGGTTGCACATGGAGCGTTCACCTAACTGCCTGTGTGTCTGTGTACACTCAACTATATGTAATTGGAACTGGATCTCCATCCCTGCTAATTATCCACATTCAACCTGACATAAGCAGTCTGGAGAAACTTCAGAAGATTTGGGAAAGGCCTGATAAAACAAGATCTTTGATATGAGAAAACTTGACTGAGTCTGATGCTTGACAAAGCAGTATCAAGGAAGAATTGGGTTATGTTTATAGTTTTGACCTAACTGAAATATTTTTATTACCAAGTTCATAATAGTTCATACTTACTTAGTAATTTTGATCTGTGGATCTCAAACTTTTCCACATCTTGAGAAAATATTACATTTTATATTCTGTTAAAATACACTGCTCATATTTGTCTTCTAATATTTTGTTACCCATTGCCTTCATTACCTCCCCCAACAGACCTCCTTTCATGACCCTGGTTATTACTGACTAAAACTCGGAATTGTTTCTGATTTTAGTACCTTCCTCTGTATTACATAGTTTTGATAAATTAAATATTGTATTTGTATAATAAATGAAAATCAAGTTTGTTGGTTTTTTTTAACTTTGAAAGACAACTCTCAGAAAATGATTTTTTAAAAATGTTATAAGGTCTTTTATTTACACATTCTATTGAGGGAGAACTTCCACAGAAAACTAACTTTTAAAAAAAGATAAAAAGAACTATAGCTACTTAAAATAACATACAAGGATTAAAATAAGCTTCTAATGAAATTCAAGCCAAATAGGGCCATTTAAAGTGAGGCACATCCCTTAATATTTCTGGATCCAATATTCTTAATTGTAGATTGCAGAAAATTAACTCATTTCTCGATGACATTTTTGGTTGCTTCCAGTTTCATAATCTGGTAAGAATGACATTTTTTCTCTCTCTCTCTCTAACTCTAGCTGTACTTCTGAGCCTCCTCGTAGTAAACTTCACTGTCAGGTGAAACATAAAACAAGTTCAAGAATTTCAGTAGAACAACTTTTGAAGCAAGAGAGTGTCTTCTACTCTGAGAAACAGAACTGAGTGCTCTGCCATATCTCTGTGCCCCAACCCCTTAGGGGAGAAGGAGAAGGATTTGGAGTGATGGTAGGGATGGATGGATGTTTAACACGTGATGCTTCTTGGTAATTAACACATCAGAATAAATTCACTTTTCACTCAGCCTAGTCAGCTCGAATGACTTGAGAGAATAGAACACAGGACAGGTTAAATCTTTCCAAGACAGGAGTGATAGGAGAGAGATGGCTTGATAAAGTTCCTAAACATGGGATACTATCAGCAGAGGAATGAGCATCAGAGTGGAAAGGCTAGAGAAAAAGTGTCCCTGGGAGCCTGGGGGCCAGGATGCTAGAGTGAAAATGAACACTTATTGAACGGTTCAAAGGACTTCAGAGAGCTGTGCTTCCCAACCTCCTTTTCAATATCAAAATGTGTCATAAATTACAGTCAACACACGTACACATGCTCACATAATTGTGCATTTAGTACCTGTTGCTTTAAAAAAATGCTAGCAATCAAATACTTTAAAGCAAAAATGCATTTTATGAAGGTACTGCTTATATAAACATTTGAAAAACAATAACATATGTATCTGAGACAAACAGATGTCATTTTGCTTTAGCAGGTAAAGATATGACTGCACCTTCTTTATAGACACCAACATGCTGGGTAGTGAAATTCTCAGAGACTTGTTAGCATGTAGTACAAGTAACACCCATCTAAGTAGTAACCTTTATGTGTAGATGAATGTTAAAGCTTCCTAATGACAGCCTGCCTCAGGTGCCCTCTTTCAGTCACCCTGGAATCACTCCCTGCTTATGTGGGGAAAGTGACCTTCAATAGTTTTCTATTTTCTGTATAATTTGGCCCAAACGTTTTAGTCTGGATTAAAACCTTTTCTCCTGCCTCCCCTCAAAGTGCCTCAGCTACACTCACCTCTCTGGCCCCCTTCAGCAATTCAAGTGAATTTGAGCTTTAATCTTTTGCACCTTGCACCTACCTCTCCGTCAGAACCCCATTTCATCTGAGCTGGTTGCTTTCTATGTGCCTTTTTGGCTTTGGGATGGACACTGTAACAAGTGATTTGCATTTCTGTGCCTCACTGTACTATGCCCCTCTCTAAGGCTGGCACAGGTCTCCTTCATTTTATACTCTACGACCTAAGAGTGCTTATAGCACAATGGGTGGTTGGTATCTATTAAACAAATGAATGTGTAAATGAATGATAGAAAGTAATTGGTGAAAAGTACGCTGAGATAGAGTCTGATCACAGGCAAAAAAAAAAAAAAAATGGAAGAATTAATAGTCCAATGGCACTTTTCTTATAAAACTGAATTACATAGTCAAACCATCATTTAAAATAATCTTACAAGGAAAACAACATTAATGTGCGTCTGTTGAGACGGATTATGCTGTTTTGGAATTAGGAAGAGAATGTGCAGTTCGCTGTTTGCTTTCAGACTGTTTGTTTGTTTTGTTTATTAAACTGGCGTCTCCAGCTCTGCAGCCCAGCCTGTGGAACCTAAATGGCCCAGGTCCCAGGAGTTCCCATCGGAGCCGTGGGCGTCCCCAGGGTTTAGAAAGGCTCCCCAGGGGCCCAAGCTGCCGGCGAGTGCAGCTCCCGCCGGCGCCACCTCTGCGGTCTGGAGCGGCGAGGACGATCCCAGAGAGGCGCCCCCACTGCCTCGGTCGTCGGGTTCTTAAGTTTTTCTCTCCAAAAATTTAATGGATAGTTTTCTTTTGCTTCTGTTTCTGACTTGATTAAAGAGGCGGAAAAAAAGGAGTTTGACTCCAAGAAGAATGATAGTAGCAGAAGGCGCATCTGGCTTTACTTTCCAAATTCCATCAAAGTTTGTGTTTTGTTTCATTTGACAGCGATCCCGTGAACGTCTCCTCTGGGGAAATGGCGCGACCAAAGCCCGCCAAGCCCAGCCTGCGAACTGGAGGATTTATTAATGTAATATGTTAAACAAAACCTCGACAGACACAAACTCAAAGGAAACCGTGCGCTCCTTAAGTCAAAGGCATCTGTTCTGGAAGCAGAACCCGGTTTGCTGTTGGTAACCAGCGTTAAGAGCAGGATTTTTAAACATGATAATGGATAAAATAAAAGAAAAGCGAAGTCCCGCGGTCCTCTGACTCCTATTCATTATCTCCAGCAGCATATGGGACCATTCTCCTACGTATCCTCGCCTTTTTCTTCTGAAAAAGCAAAAGCAACCAAGCCTGTCCCGCTTCAGAGCAATCCTACTCTTTGTGCCTGAGTAGTGCCACCACCACTACTTCCTCCTCCTCCCGCCTCCTCCTACCCCGCCCTCCTGCCGCTGGCTTTCGCTCTGGCGAGGAGGCGGCCGGCTCCCTTTGCGCCGGGAAGCCGGAGCCGCGATTGGGCGACGGTCCCTGAGCCTCCAGTTCTGCGTCGGTTTCAAGGCTCCTCCCTCCTGGTGAAAGACAGACTACGGGGCGCCTGGAAACCGGTCCGAGGGCGCGCGAGGCAGAGGAGAGGGAGCGAGTTGAGGGATTGACACAAATGGTCAGGCGGCGGCGGCGGAGAAGGAGGCGGAGGCGCAGGGGGGAGCCGAGCCCGCTGGGCTGCGGAGAGTTGCGCTCTCTACGGGGCCGCGGCCACTAGCGCGGCGCCGCCAGCCGGGAGCCAGCGAGCCGAGGGCCAGGAAGGCGGGACACGACCCCGGCGCGCCCTAGCCACCCGGGTTCTCCCCGCCGCCCGCGCTTCATGAATCGCAAGTTTCCGCGGCGGCGGCGGCTGCGGTACGCAGAACAGGAGCCGGGGGAGCGGGCCGAAAGCGGCTTGGGCTCGACGGAGGGCACCCGCGCAGAGGTCTCCCTGGCCGCAGGGGGAGCCGCCGCCGGCCGTGCCCCTGGCAGCCCCAGCGGAGCGGCGCCAAGAGAGGAGCCGAGAAAGTATGGCTGAGGAGGAGGCGCCTAAGAAGTCCCGGGCCGCCGGCGGTGGCGCGAGCTGGGAACTTTGTGCCGGGGCGCTCTCGGCCCGGCTGGCGGAGGAGGGCAGCGGGGACGCCGGTGGCCGCCGCCGCCCGCCAGTTGACCCCCGGCGATTGGCGCGCCAGCTGCTGCTGCTGCTTTGGCTGCTGGAGGCTCCGCTGCTGCTGGGGGTCCGGGCCCAGGCGGCGGGCCAGGGGCCAGGCCAGGGGCCCGGGCCGGGGCAGCAACCGCCGCCGCCGCCTCAGCAGCAACAGAGCGGGCAGCAGTACAACGGCGAGCGGGGCATCTCCGTCCCGGACCACGGCTATTGCCAGCCCATCTCCATCCCGCTGTGCACGGACATCGCGTACAACCAGACCATCATGCCCAACCTGCTGGGCCACACGAACCAGGAGGACGCGGGCCTGGAGGTGCACCAGTTCTACCCTCTAGTGAAAGTGCAGTGTTCCGCTGAGCTCAAGTTCTTCCTGTGCTCCATGTACGCGCCCGTGTGCACCGTGCTAGAGCAGGCGCTGCCGCCCTGCCGCTCCCTGTGCGAGCGCGCGCGCCAGGGCTGCGAGGCGCTCATGAACAAGTTCGGCTTCCAGTGGCCAGACACGCTCAAGTGTGAGAAGTTCCCGGTGCACGGCGCCGGCGAGCTGTGCGTGGGCCAGAACACGTCCGACAAGGGCACCCCGACGCCCTCGCTGCTTCCAGAGTTCTGGACCAGCAACCCTCAGCACGGCGGCGGAGGGCACCGTGGCGGCTTCCCGGGGGGCGCCGGCGCGTCGGAGCGAGGCAAGTTCTCCTGCCCGCGCGCCCTCAAGGTGCCCTCCTACCTCAACTACCACTTCCTGGGGGAGAAGGACTGCGGCGCACCTTGTGAGCCGACCAAGGTGTATGGGCTCATGTACTTCGGGCCCGAGGAGCTGCGCTTCTCGCGCACCTGGATTGGCATTTGGTCAGTGCTGTGCTGCGCCTCCACGCTCTTCACGGTGCTTACGTACCTGGTGGACATGCGGCGCTTCAGCTACCCGGAGCGGCCCATCATCTTCTTGTCCGGCTGTTACACGGCCGTGGCCGTGGCCTACATCGCCGGCTTCCTCCTGGAAGACCGAGTGGTGTGTAATGACAAGTTCGCCGAGGACGGGGCACGCACTGTGGCGCAGGGCACCAAGAAGGAGGGCTGCACCATCCTCTTCATGATGCTCTACTTCTTCAGCATGGCCAGCTCCATCTGGTGGGTGATCCTGTCGCTCACCTGGTTCCTGGCGGCTGGCATGAAGTGGGGCCACGAGGCCATCGAAGCCAACTCACAGTATTTTCACCTGGCCGCCTGGGCTGTGCCGGCCATCAAGACCATCACCATCCTGGCGCTGGGCCAGGTGGACGGCGATGTGCTGAGCGGAGTGTGCTTCGTGGGGCTTAACAACGTGGACGCGCTGCGTGGCTTCGTGCTGGCGCCCCTCTTCGTGTACCTGTTTATCGGCACGTCCTTTCTGCTGGCCGGCTTTGTGTCGCTCTTCCGCATCCGCACCATCATGAAGCACGATGGCACCAAGACCGAGAAGCTGGAGAAGCTCATGGTGCGCATTGGCGTCTTCAGCGTGCTGTACACTGTGCCAGCCACCATCGTCATCGCCTGCTACTTCTACGAGCAGGCCTTCCGGGACCAGTGGGAACGCAGCTGGGTGGCCCAGAGCTGCAAGAGCTACGCTATCCCCTGCCCTCACCTCCAGGCGGGCGGAGGCGCCCCGCCGCACCCGCCCATGAGCCCGGACTTCACGGTCTTCATGATTAAGTACCTTATGACGCTGATCGTGGGCATCACGTCGGGCTTCTGGATCTGGTCCGGCAAGACCCTCAACTCCTGGAGGAAGTTCTACACGAGGCTCACCAACAGCAAACAAGGGGAGACTACAGTCTGAGACCCGGGGCTCAGCCCATGCCCAGGCCTCGGCCGGGGCGCAGCGATCCCCCAAAGCCAGCGCCGTGGAGTTCGTGCCAATCCTGACATCTCGAGGTTTCCTCACTAGACAACTCTCTTTCGCAGGCTCCTTTGAACAACTCAGCTCCTGCAAAAGCTTCCGTCCCTGAGGCAAAAGGACACGAGGGCCCGACTGCCAGAGGGAGGATGGACAGACCTCTTGCCCTCACACTCTGGTACCAGGACTGTTCGCTTTTATGATTGTAAATAGCCTGTGTAAGATTTTTGTAAGTATATTTGTATTTAAATGACGACCGATCACGCGTTTTTCTTTTTCAAAAGTTTTTAATTATTTAGGGCGGTTTAACCATTTGAGGCTTTTCCTTCTTGCCCTTTTCGGAGTATTGCAAAGGAGCTAAAACTGGTGTGCAACCGCACAGCGCTCCTGGTCGTCCTCGCGCGCCTCTCCCTACCACGGGTGCTCGGGACGGCTGGGCGCCAGCTCCGGGGCGAGTTCAGCACTGCGGGGTGCGACTAGGGCTGCGCTGCCAGGGTCACTTCCCGCCTCCTCCTTTTGCCCCCTCCCCCTCCTTCTGTCCCCTCCCTTTCTTTCCTGGCTTGAGGTAGGGGCTCTTAAGGTACAGAACTCCACAAACCTTCCAAATCTGGAGGAGGGCCCCCATACATTACAATTCCTCCCTTGCTCGGCGGTGGATTGCGAAGGCCCGTCCCTTCGACTTCCTGAAGCTGGATTTTTAACTGTCCAGAACTTTCCTCCAACTTCATGGGGGCCCACGGGTGTGGGCGCTGGCAGTCTCAGCCTCCCTCCACGGTCACCTTCAACGCCCAGACACTCCCTTCTCCCACCTTAGTTGGTTACAGGGTGAGTGAGATAACCAATGCCAAACTTTTTGAAGTCTAATTTTTGAGGGGTGAGCTCATTTCATTCTCTAGTGTCTAAAACCTGGTATGGGTTTGGCCAGCGTCATGGAAAGATGTGGTTACTGAGATTTGGGAAGAAGCATGAAGCTTTGTGTGGGTTGGAAGAGACTGAAGATATGGGTTATAAAATGTTAATTCTAATTGCATACGGATGCCTGGCAACCTTGCCTTTGAGAATGAGACAGCCTGCGCTTAGATTTTACCGGTCTGTAAAATGGAAATGTTGAGGTCACCTGGAAAGCTTTGTTAAGGAGTTGATGTTTGCTTTCCTTAACAAGACAGCAAAACGTAAACAGAAATTGAAAACTTGAAGGATATTTCAGTGTCATGGACTTCCTCAAAATGAAGTGCTATTTTCTTATTTTTAATCAAATAACTAGACATATATCAGAAACTTTAAAATGTAAAAGTTGTACACTTTCAACATTTTATTACGATTATTATTCAGCAGCACATTCTGAGGGGGGAACAATTCACACCACCAATAATAACCTGGTAAGATTTCAGGAGGTAAAGAAGGTGGAATAATTGACGGGGAGATAGCGCCTGAAATAAACAAAATATGGGCATGCATGCTAAAGGGAAAATGTGTGCAGGTCTACTGCATTAAATCCTGTGTGCTCCTCTTTTGGATTTACAGAAATGTGTCAAATGTAAATCTTTCAAAGCCATTTAAAAATATTCACTTTAGTTCTCTGTGAAGAAGAGGAGAAAAGCAATCCTCCTGATTGTATTGTTTTAAACTTTAAGAATTTATCAAAATGCCGGTACTTAGGACCTAAATTTATCTATGTCTGTCATACGCTAAAATGATATTGGTCTTTGAATTTGGTATACATTTATTCTGTTCACTATCACAAAATCATCTATATTTATAGAGGAATAGAAGTTTATATATATATAATACCATATTTTTAATTTCACAAATAAAAAATTCAAAGTTTTGTACAAAATTATATGGATTTTGTGCCTGAAAATAATAGAGCTTGAGCTGTCTGAACTATTTTACATTTTATGGTGTCTCATAGCCAATCCCACAGTGTAAAAATTCAGGAATTCAATGAAAAAAGTCTACCCTTAAACCCTCAGATCAGTCTTTCCAAAGAATTACTCTGTTTGCATTGTTGTGATTGACATTTGTGAAGTCCCAAGAAAAGATCTGTTTTCATGACAGTAGAAAATAGAAGTTTGCAAATTATTTCTTTACTCAAAGAGGATTAAAAGAGAACTCTAATTTTAATATTAAAGCTTTCTTTTCTTTCAGGGAATAAATTTACATGACTTTTTATATTATGGAGGTTTATTTTTAAATCATCACCTTTCTCATATTTTTTAGAGGTATTGTCTTATCTCTTCCATAATCTTGGATATTACAAAACCCTAAATAGGCAATCAATAAATGGTTAACTGGCTATGTGTTCATAAACATTTTAAACAGCAATTGGGTTTGTAAGGCTGTTTTGTTGTTTGCTTCTGAAGACCCCTTTTTTTAATCGTTCAAGGAACCTTCTCCAGATAAATTATCTAGTTGGTCTACTCTTAGTCAGAATTTATGCATGGGTGTATATATGTGTATATATAGATAAGTATACACATAAGTATATATGCATTAATTTTTATAAAATAGAGATGTAAAGTTTACTTACATTTCATAATATGGAAATATGGTTATGAGAAATGGAAAATGCTAGATGGAAAACCTCAAATACCTTTACAGGTTAAAAATATCTTTACTAAATTTTCCCATGAAAACATTTTGTGATAAAATGACAAGGGACTAAAATGAAGATCATTGATACAATAGAGTTACTTTCCTTGTTACAATGCAATTGTCTTATAAGTCATTATTCATTTTAAGGAAAATCAAAAAAATTAGATCTTACTAAAAATGTAGCATTTGATTTTAAGTAGCAAGATGCAATTTTGTGTTCCCTTTTTCTTTGTTACATTAACATAATATAGTAGATAGAGGGTTTATTGTATAGACATACACAAAAAAATAGTATTCTTAGGCCAAATTCACACATATCTCCTCACTAAGTAGTTCAATTAGATAATTTCTGGAAAAACATGTTTTTGACATTAATTGCTATCCAAAACTATATTTTAAAGCAGTCTTATTGGAGGTGTCCTTAACATGATGTAACTATAAATTTGATGCAGAAAGGTTTTACATGCTGTGGTTAAATAGCTTTAGAAGACATTTTTAAGTCACCACCAGCCTTTATTCTTAGAAAACAATTTATTCTAAATGATGATGCATATAGAAAACCAGTGTATTCTTTTATTTCTTTTAATACTGGTGGCAAAATAGGACGTGTCTGGAAAACCATAAGGCTACTTGGGATACTGTCCCATTAGCATTGCTGTTTCCATGACAAACCCTATTTTCAGATGGTTTGATTTGCCTATTTTTTTTTTAAACCAGCTATAAATTGGGGTCAATTTCCCCCCTCACAGTGTACTTAATTTAGCTTTTGGAGTAAATATATAAGTAGTATGAAAGACTTCTGAAGCTCTTCTTTCTAAAAAAGCAGTTTTCCACTTAAGCTTTGTGGGGACAGAGAGTCATATTTTTAATTTCAGAGCCAGCCAGTGTCAAACACGTGCAAAAGAGCCGGGCCGGATTTTTTCAGCTTGTCCTATGGTAGTCACTTGTCAGCCTGAGTTTACTGGCCTGGTCCTTTTGTCTCCACTGTAAGTACTGAAGCCTTCTGGTGTAGTTGTATCACCTTAATGTCCAGCATTTAACTAGGAAAGGAGACTACAATGAAGAGTTGGTGGCCAATTAAGAAAAATAATAGACTACATCATAAATCATTTCAGGACTTGAGTGGCCGCAGATCACTGTCCCTGATAGCATGTTTCAACCTTGGTATACATTTTTTTTAAGATGCATATTTACTGTGTGTGCTTTTGCTTTCTAATCCATCTATTGACTATTGGCCACAATTTATATAATGCACATGCAATTAATTGAAACCTGTGTCATGGCATTGGATATCTCTGATTCATTTCTTATTATAATAGTCTGTGTAACTGGGGCCTGAGAGATTAGAAGCAAAATGTAGTCGTACGTATGTCTAGAGGTGGACGCTGGTGATATTGTCATTGAATACTTTGCAGAATACACTAATGTCAAAGGCTTGCAGGATTAATGTGTAGGAACCAACATAAGACATGGAATATATATAAGAATTATCTAGTTACATGACTAAAAAGGAATTGCAATACTATCTTAAATTGAAGGCTTTTATTTCAATGTCCTTACATTTAAAATGGGATCTTACAAGGGAAGTACCAAAAAAGTAAAGTTTATTTTGATGACTCTCAAGATATATATGTTTGTTTTGAATGTTGGCAGATGCCAATAGCCCTTAACATTTGAAAAATGGTACTTGAACATCAATTATGTCTCAGAGTTCCCTTAAACTTTTTGGGCTTAAATATTTTTATTCATTTTGGTCATACCTTTGACAATGGATATGTTAAACTTTAACAATTATAGTGACAAAACAGCTTGCTTAGAACCTGGAAATTAAAACACAATTTCTAGAGTAATTTTTCTAAGTTGTATCATGTTTTGTGGTGACAAATGTCTCTACTCCATTACAGAATCAAGTTGCTATTCAAATATAATACTTCCTCTGGGGATCTTTGTTTATAGGTTGGTTTGGGACCCTAATAACAGGTCAAACAAAAGGGTTTCTCAAAGAAATTTTTCTAATAATATATAAGTTCAAATACAATTTATAAGTACATGTACACAATGAACATATAATAAGTATTCTGTGGGTCATCGTCAGTTTTATGAGTCAAGCAGATCCTTAAATTGCTTGAAAGAATAAGATACAATTTTCCAAAAGAGATTAAGTAAACTATTTCATTGGTATTCTAAAGAGGTGTATTTTTGAATGATAAAATGTAAATAACACTGCATTTTCTTGAGGTATTATTAATACACTAGTTGAATGGCATATTTGTGTGACTAGTAATTCTAAAAGCAAAGTATTAAAATAGCAATGATTTGTACATTTTACACACACATTTTTTAAAAGATGAAATTGACTTACCTGAAAACAATAGTTTTTGTTTTAAAATTTAGATGTGTATTTTATAAAAAAGACCTCAAGAAATTTCATTCATAGTATAGACTTTCAAAACATGTTCATAGCAATACAGTGATTAACATGAAAAGGAATCACTGTTGCTGCTTTGATATAGTTCTCTGTGGCCTGGATTTTCTTTCTTTCCTTTTTAAAAACCAAGTATCCTCTAATTTGTGGATATCTCCATGTTTCAGATCTCAGTACCTGTTTGAATTAAATTTGCAGGGGAATAACTGCGGGATCCCCCCATAGACAAAGTGTGGCCTTTATTTCCTTTCAAGTTGGCAGTGTGTCCTTGCTTAAATGAAGCACTCTGAGGCAGACTGTTCTCTTGCTCTTGGAAATGCTTGTCTTTACAATTGCAGTAGCAAATACCTGGAAGTCATACAGGCTAGTTAGATACATATTCTAAATGTCATGTGCTGCTTGATCATTGTAAGGATTTTTTTTCTTAAAAAGTAGATTTGGGGACTATTCTTGACCTTATCTTTCCAACTCTTGGAAATATTTTAAAAAGTTAACTTCACCAAATATTCTGTCAAAAACTGTAGGCCCCTCAGATAGAATGACCAACTGTCCAGGTTTGCCCAGGGCTGGGAGTTTTCTTGGCATGTGGGAATTTTAAGTAGTAAAACCAGGAAAGTCCTGGGCAAACTGGGATGACTGGAAACCCTATTCCATGGATTAAATTGTGCTCTCACAAAAATAGAGTAAAAGCTTACATGTTGGTCTCTGGTCCAGCATTGAAAGTACTCCACAGTGGCTGTAGCCTTCTTAATTACCAGATTAAAAGTCAATGAACACAGCCCTTTGTAACTGGTCTTCATAGTACCAATCAACAGAAGCTGAGTGGACCATGAAGATAAAATGGAACAAACTACCTTGATTATCTTGGCCATTCCACCTTTAGCCTTTGCCTCCCGAAGAAATGGGACATAGGTGTAGGCTTCCAACTAGCCACTGAACCCTGTTCATGAAATCAGGTTAAATGGCTGCTTTTAGAAAAGGCTCTCAAAAAGTATTCCCTTGGAATAAATCATTGTTTTGTAAAAAATTGATGTTAAATTTTACCAGATTGTAAGTAACTATCAGGCTGCTGCATGTGTGTGTGTGTGTGTGTGTGTGTGTGTGTATGTATGTACATATATATAATTGTATATGTACATATATATTTGTATAATAAAGCAATACATTAGGATGAGATTATAAACTCAAGCAGAGATTTCCCCAAATGGCTGTACAGCAACAGTTTATATAATTATTATACTTTTTTCCAAGGTAAGTAGGGTTAACACCCATATCTTTCCTCAAATTAAAAGTTGTATCTACAAAAAGGAAAAAGTAAACTAAGTCTTAAAAATTATACTGTGATTATTGAAAATTGTAGAATACATTTTGTGGACCGTGCAATCCTTCACAATGGATTTCACGATGGGTTTCCCTGGAAATGTGAATGTAGACCTTCACGTTTCTACATGAAACTCTTCCATCAGAATTGGTTCACTTCTTTTTTGAGCTTACTGTCATCCTTCTTGTAAATGCACATGCAGTTTCACTGCCTTTATTGTTGAAACCACAATACTATTCTTGCTATCTCTTAATTAAACTCAATGTAAATGAATTTTAAAAGACACATAGGTAATGTAATTATTGCAAGAGGTACCTACACATTAGACTCTAGAGCTAATTCTCAATATGGGACAATTTTGTTCTCTAGGAGACATTTGGCAATATTGGGACACATATTTGACTCTCATAACTGAGCACTGAAGGGTGCTGTTTTAGTCTGCTTTGCATAGCTATAAAGAGATACCTGAGACCAGGTAATTTATAAAGAAAAGAGGTTTATTTGGCTCACGTTTCTGCAGGCTGCATAAGAAGCATGGTGCCAACATCTACTTCTAGTCCACACCTCAGGAAGACTTTACTCATGGTGGAAGGCAAAGGGGGTGCAGGCCTGTCACCTGGCAAGAAAGGGAGCAAGAGAGAGGGAGGTGCCAAACTCTTTTAAACAGCCAGATCTCCTGGTAACTAACAGAGTGAGCACTGGCTCATTACCAGAGAAGGGCACCAAGACATTCATGAAGGATCCACCCCCATGACCCTAACACCACCCACCAGGCCCCACCTCTAACACTGGGGATCACATTTCAACATAATATTTGGGGGGGAAAATCACCCAAACTATATCAGGTGCTATGGGCCTTTAATGCGTAGAGGCCAAGGGTGCTGCTAAACATTCTAGAATGCACAGGACAGCCCATGACAATGAATTATCTTATCCAAAGTGCCAAAGTTGAGAGACCTTGCTTTGGAGGAGTGATTAAAATTGCAAATATACTTTTTAAAATAGTGAAATATATTGAATTTATAAAATACAATTGAGAAAAATATGGATTTACTGTGTATACAACATGGGCTTTATTTTTATCTTTATTTTTTTGAGACAGAGTCTCTCTCTGTCCCTCGAGCTGGAGTGCAATGGTGCGATCACAACTCACTGCAACCTGCCTCCTGGGCTCAAGTGATCCTCTCACCTCAGCCTTCTAAGTAGCTGGGTCTACAAGCATGCACCACCACACTCGGCTAGTTTTTTAAACTTTTTGTAGAGATGAGGTCTCACTGTATTGCCTAGGCTGGTCTTGAACTCGTGGTCTCAAGTGATCCTCCTGCCTTGGCCTCATAATGCTGATATTATAGGATTGAGCCACCATGCCTGGTGGGCTTTACTTTTGACCTGCAAATTTTCTTTTAGATTGATGAATAGCCTGATAATATTGCATGGTGTCCAAAGTCTTTTGGCCTGTTTTGACAAAATACTGTAGACTTGGTGGCTTAAACAACTGACAATTTTCACAGTCCTGGAGGCTGAGAAGTCCAAGATCAAGATGCCAACAGATTCAGTTCCTGGTGAGGGCCTGCTTCCTGGCTTGCAGACAGCTCTTGTGGCTTTGTGTTCCCATGGCCTTTCCTCAGTGCATGCAGGTGGAGAGAGAAAACCATTGTCTTCCTTTCCTTTTAAGGACACTAACCCCATCATGAGAGTTCCACCCTCATGACCTCATCTCAGCCTTATTACCTTCCAAAGGCTCCATCTCCAAGCACTATCATATTGAGGGTTAGGCTTTAACATGCATTTGGGGGGGACATAAATATTCAACTCATAGCAGGCAATAAAATAAAACTTTTATTATTCAAATCTAGACAGGGACATACGGTATCATAATTTCAGTGGGAAAAATCTGTAAATAACATTAAGCAAGTTTAAAAAAAATCTCTGAAAGGCATTTAGTAGTATTATGCTGTTATACTTCATATTCTACACTTCCATTTTCTTTTACACATTTCCCTGCATCATCACAGGTGTTATGGTATGGGGAAAAACTCTGGCCTAGGAGACAGAAAACCTGGGTTCTAGTCTTGATTTATTTGGTTAAGGGACCTTGAGTGAGTCTGACCCACAGGACCTAATGAATCAAATAGAGACAATAATGAAGTAATAGATATAAAAGCCCCATTATAAATGGTGAAGCTCTGTAAAAATGTGAGAATTATCATTCACGTTAAGCTAATTAAGGAGGAAGTTGAGGATCTGAAGGCTTCTGCTCAGCATTGACTGCCTCCCCTTTAGAAAACGAAGTTCCAGTCACTGAAGGGCCGCAGGATGACTGGAGACCTTTCTGTTGTCTTCCTAGTCACCTCTTCTCTGATTTCATCACCACACTTGAGTTCTCCTGTGTACACCTGGAATATTTTCTGTTTAAGTTTTTTCCAGACCTGGTAAATTTCATATGAATTAGTCTGCAGTACAGCTACTATGGCATTGGAGAGGGGGCTAAGTCCTAGTTAGAAGAAAGAAGGCCCCTCTTCTGAAAGGGCTGGAATGGAGCAAGAATTATTACAGGAGTGTTCTGAGGTCAGAGGAGAGTGGGGCTTAAGAGTATGTATGTTCCAGGTCCAAATGTGGCAAATTCACAGACAGACCTTCTGGGTTGAGAGTCCTCACAGAGTGGGACAGTGCCCAGGAGCTGTGTTGCTTCATTTGTTCATTGACAAGTTGGGGTAGATGTGAGCATCTTGCCGGGAGAGGGGAGGCTCATGTCCTACAGGTAGACAAGTTGGGGTCATTTTGCTTTGGAAGGGAGAAAAAGGGAAGGGATATAATGAAAACCAAAGTCAACTACTCTTTCCTGGGGCTAGCCCAGGTGGGAGTGAGTAGAGGAATTGAATGGAAACATCTCTCAAATAGAGACATAACCTTGGATTTTAAATATGACCTTTCCTCCTCCTCCTCTAAAAAGGAAACAAATTTCAAGATAATAGAGAATTGGACAGAGAAGTCGAATGTCATCTCGGAAAGAATCTTGGACTTGCAAGAACTGGCTTGAATCCCAACCAGCTCTTAGCCTCAAATCCATTTACCTAAAATAGTAATAATAATCATTTTTCACTAATTCAGGTCTGTTGGGGGAATCAAAGAAATGAAGTACATAATGACATTTTTAGCACTAGAGTCAGCTACACATCTTAGTCTTCTTCACCTTGCATATTTCTTTTCTCTCTTCCTCTTCTCCCTGTTCTTCTCCCCCCTTCCTCCTTTCTGTCTCTTCTTTCCTCCACCTCCCTCTCTCACTCCTCCTGCTTCTATCACTCACCCTTACTGCTGATGTGACTTGAAAAGGCATAAAGCAAACTAATGCCATATTTTTCCTGCATCTCTTTTCAGGCTAAGCATGTTTTACAAGACTTATTTACACAAAAAATTAAGATAATGGGCAACCTTAAGGTTAAATGACACAAATGTACTTTATTAATCAACCGGTGATGTTGCTCTTAAAGCATAAGTGCATCTCTATGCATTAATGTATGCTTTGGGATATGCTATAGTCACACGCTACATCGTGATGTTTCAGTCAATGACAGACCACATATATGATGGTGGGCCCATAAGATTATAATACAGTATTTTTGCTGTTCCTTTTCTACTTTAAGATATACAAATACTCACCATTGTGTTATGGTATTCAGTACAGTACAGTAACATGCTATACAGGCTTGTAGCCTAGGAGCAATAGGCTATACCATATAGCTTAGGTGTGTAAGGAGGCTATGCCATCTAGGTTGAAGTAAGTACACTCTATGGTGTTCTCACTGTGTTGAAATTGCTAATGATGTGTTTCACAGCACATATCCCCATCATTAAGAGATGCATGACTGTATAGTAGTTCCCTCCTTATCTGTGGTTTTGCTTTCTGAGGTTTCAGTTACCCAAAATCAACCACAGTCCTAAAATAGGTAAGTACTATACAATACACTAAGATATTTTGTGAGAGACCACATTCATATACCTTGATAGTATATTGTCATAATTGTTCTATTTTATTATTAGTCATTGTTGTTGATCTCTTTGTGTGCCTAATTTATAAATTAAACTTCATTCATCATAGATACATATAGAAAAGAACATAATATGTATGGAGCTCAGTACTATACCATTTCAAGTATCCACTGGGAGCCTTGGAATGTATCCCCTATGGATAAGGCGGAACTACTAATTAAATTTCAATTTAATTTCTTTACAACCCCTAACAAATTGACCTAATTGGTAGGTTTTATACTTGAGTAACATGGAAACAGCTCTTTGAGGCCACTCTAATTCATGACCAGGAAGTGATTCATAATTTCCCTTCAGAAATATACTCCTCTACTGGATTGATAACAAATCGAACAATTATAAGAATCCTTTGTTTGTCCTTGTTGACTATATTGCCAAAGGGAGCTTACTTCACAGCAATTATGAAAATGTTCCTTTGATACAACTGATATGGACTGAACATATTTTGATGCATGAAGTTGAGCAGGATTGAGGGCTTATATCAAAGAGATTGATTAGTAATTGTATTATTTCCTCATATAAGAATAGCTAGCCATTTTGGTGCCTTGGTCACCTCTGTGATCTAGTGTATTAGTTTTCTATTGCTGCTGCAACAAATTACTAAAAACTTGAAAAATACACATTTATCATCTTACAGTTCTATAAGTGAGAAGCCTGGCACCTGTCTCACTGGGCTAGAATCAAGGTGTTGCATTGTTATGTTTCTTTCTGGGGGCTCTAAGGGAGAATCTGTTCTGTACTTTTTCCAGCTTTATTTCCTCTATTCTGGAGGCTTATTCCATAGCTTGTGACACAGTTTTCCTGTCTTCAAAGCCAGCAACATTGGGTCAAGCTCTTTCTGTCTGATTCTCTCCATTTGGAAATACTTGCCTGCTTTTAAAGACTCATGATTAGATCAATACAGGATAATTCCCCATCTCAAGGTTACTAGCCTTAATGACATCTGCAAAATACCTCTTGCCATGTAAGGTAACGTATTCATAGGTTCCAAGGATGAGGGCATACACATTGCTGGGGGCCATTATTCTATCTGCCACATCTATGTTTAGCTGTTGGAGCTAGAAAATTTTTCTTTTAGAAGTATTCCTTCCACATTCTCATTCTTTACGATTACTTTTTTTTTTAAGTGGATTCCTGAATTTCTTCAGTTCCCATTTCATTCTTTCAAAGTATGTTTCTGTCAGTGGTCAATTCCCCATTGATTTCCCCTCTCCTTTTACCCCATTTTCTGTTAAGAGGTCTGCAGATCAGTCCTTGTGCTCTACCTGATTTCTTTGTATTTCAGATGTCATCTTTCTTCCTCGTCTTTGCACATATTCTCTGGATTGCTACCCTTTTTGTTACTCTATATGTCTTTTCAATACACATTTCTCTAAATTCATATTTTGTGTCTGTCCCAGAAATAGATCAGAAAAAGATGGAGATTGACTGATGTCAACCTTTTTCTCCCAAGTGAACACATATAACCCCACTGTTTTTTTTTAAGCTACAGATGATATAATTGTATGGCTTTCATCAGAAGCACATCTGTCAAGTGATTACATTTTTGCTCTTTAGTGAGGGGCTGGATGGGAGCGAGAGTTGATATAGTTAATCTCATCTCCGATTAATCTAGTATGTATCTCTAGCTGTGATTATAGATTTTAATTCTTCATGAAGTTACCATCATATTTATAGAGACAATCTTTTTCTCATTATCTTTAATTTAAACATTTTGTCAAAAAAGAAAAGAAATCTCAATTGCCTGGGTTGCATTTTATACAAATTCAGATAATGAATACACCTGCCTTAGTTTAAAATGTTGTGTTGACATTTTTGGAGAATAAATTTTCCTGGCATTACAAATGCATCCTTAAAAATGTTCTCTAAAATGTAATTTTTAATCCATACTAAAAACCAACTGCAAGTTTTTTTCTTCTATCTACACTGTTACGGCTGGAAGTGTATATTTTCCTCCATATATATAAATCTATATATATATATATATATATAAATCTTTCTGAAAATATATGCCTCTTAAAGCAATTATTTAAGAAGAAGATTCCAAATGTTCATAGTTCTCCCCGAATATACATTATTTTTAAGAATGTGATTTTGGAGAAATTACACAGAAATATATCAAAATTTCTATAAATCAATAATAAGTTAGCATATGCAGTTATCTTTTAATACCACCATCCTTTATATTCTTCTAAAATTTTACATCATTCATCTTCTTTATAGCTTTTTTCCCAAGGAGGCATAATTCAGGAATAGACCAGAGGTCACTTGAATGTAGTAATGGCTCTATAAATAAAGAATATGTATTTTAATAATATACAGCTTCATTAGAGACAAACTGAATTAATGTAGGAGTTGTAGGGTGTGTTTGTAGACCTCAGATAAGACTGGTTACGATGGGGATATTTATTCAATGCTAACTAAAATAAAATCAGATGATCTTCAAAATATACGGTATTTATCAGAGGTGACAATGGGTTACTAGGAATTCTTAAAATTGAATGTGCGTAAAAATCACTCAGAGAGCACGTTAACAATGAGGATTTCTGGCCTCATTTTCAGAGGTGCTGATTTTGTTGGCCAGGGAAGAGGTTCGGGAACCTCCATTCTGGTGATTCTGATGCTGGATGTTCTTGAGTTCTCTTTGAAACACTGGATTAAAACACAACTTCAAGATAAACCCCTAGCGATTTGTCTCACCAGCAAACTCCCTCTTATAAACATGTTGTGGAACTTCACCAGTGAAGTGAAGCTATGAGAACCAGCTTTACAGAATCCTCAGTAGGGAGCAGATCTGTTCTGTCCACATGGTCTTTGTCCCTAAAGGTCTAAATCAGAAACAGTCAAGTGGCCAAGGCCACTGAGTGGTTTACTCAGGTCTAAAATTCTTTTAAAATTATTAGCTTTTTTTTTTTAAGGGAGGAGGTTGAATTCCACAACTAGAGATTAACTTAGAATTATCCCTTTAGTAAGAAGACTTTCAGAGTAGTATCAGTTAACTGACCCCTAAACAGTGAAGGAGAAGGATACAGATTCTCTCTTGCTTAGATAGGGCTCTGACAACAGCCACAGAGAGGGAGATAGTGCAGCAGGTGGCAGCTTGATGTGCAGGCAGAGGAGGGACTTAAAAGGCTCCTGGTATTCCCCAGCGTGGGCCTCTTTGCTTTCAGTGGGGCTGCCATTTGCAGAAGAAGCTGTGCATAGAGACTTCTCAGGCAGCTCAGCTTCCCAACCTTTCTGAGTATTTTGTTTGTTTAGGTTTTTAATACATCTGACTTCTTAAAAGTCCCTTCCTTCCCAGGGAATTCACTAATCAAGGTATTACTCTATTTATTTCCATAAACAAATCCTTATGAAAGAATTCATTCATTAATCAAGAAATGTGATCATTTCCACTGTTGTACCCAAGAGCTTCAAAGCACCATTGTTGTTCGCATCAGTTAATCCAGGTAACTGGGAAATGTGAGTAAGACAGGACTAAAATATATCCCAACTGATTTTACAAGATTAAAAAAAAAAATCTAAGATATCTAAACTCATGTTGTCTTAAGCATGTTAAGAATGTAAAGAATGTTAATTCTTCATAGGAAAGAATCACAGCACAGAGGAAAAGACTGCCAAATCTTTTTAGAATAAAATAATTTTATTCTAGAACTTACTGTACCTTGGAAAGTTTCAAGCAGCCCCTTCCTTTGTACTGTGTAATATACTGGAAAGATACACCTCCTCCAGGTATGTAGGATGCCATGTTAGAGTCTAGCTAGGGACTCTAGCTAGGGAGTATGGAAAACAATTTTTGATTTTTTAAAATTAAAATGTTTATGTGAATAAACATTTTGCATAGTGTTTATATAAACATTTTAATGATGTGTAAATTAGTCTATGAATGATGGATGTTGAATTTCAAAGATAAATATTTATTGATGTAATTAATTACTTATACATAGTATTAATACTTAATTCAGAGGGCAGTTCATGACTAATAAAAAAAAGAGTTGGCTATTAGATGGTCATTTAGGAGCAATTCCTTCCAAATAGCAAATTTTGCTAATTTCAAGGCTAAGGCACATGCATTTTTAAATGAGATTTTCAAAGAAAGTTAAAACAGCACTTGAATTAAGTAGAGGTGATTGAAGTGATAATCAAGTAAAACCTTTATCAAGAAAATAAAATTGACCCATCCCCCACACATTCCACCTACCCAACTAATTAAAAAAAATTTTTTTTTACTGAGATACAATTCATACACCATAAAATTTAAAAATAAGATTTTGTAGTTTTTAGTATTCCAAAAAGTTGTACAATACTCACAACTACCTAACTCCAGAATATTTTATCACACTAAAAAGAAACCCTGACCCATTAGGAAGCACTCCTCATTTCTCCCTCCCCCACCCTCTGGCAACTACTGATCTAGTTTTTGTCAGTGTGGATGTGACTATTCTGGATATATCAAATAAAGAGAGTCATACATGTGGCTTTTGTGCCTGACTTCTTTCACTTATCAGAATGTTTTCCAGACTTGCACAGGTTTGAGCATGTGTCAGTACTTCATTCCTTTTTATGGCTAAATAATACTCCATTGTATAAATATAGCACATTGCTTACCTACTTATTCCTACTTATTCATTAATAGATACTTGGGTTGTTGCTATTTTGAGCTATTATGAATAGTGCTGCCATGAGCATTGTGTGCAAGCTTTTGTGTGAATATATTATTTTAATTCTCTTGCATATACACTTAGGGGTGGTACTGGGTCGTATGGTAACTTTATGTTTAATTTTTTGAGGAACTGCTAAACTGTTTTAACAAAGTGTCTTCAATTATTTTGTATTCCCATCAACAATGTGTGAGGGTTCCAGTTTCTCCGCATCCTTGCCAACGCTTGTTATTGTCTGTCTTTTTGATTATAGCTGTTTTAATGAGCACGAAATGGTATCTCACTGTGGTTTTGCTTTGCAGTTTGCTTCTTGTCAATATTCTGAAACTGATTCCATGGTAGAAGGGAGGGGAGTTCATGATGGTTTTTATACCTCTGAATAAACTGAAAAAGGGGTGATTCTAGAATTAGTTAGATTCATTGCTTACCTATATATTTATATACCACTCCATTAAAAAAGCCTTCATATGGTTCATCATAATGCATTGTATAACATAAATGTAAAAATATATTAGAGTATTAGCTGAGTAGAAAATATAGATAAGGTAACTTGTAATATGCTATGGGCATATTATAAGGTTTTTTATACTAGCCAGAGGTGGGCTAAAATTTTGTCTTTGAACTTCCTAGGAGCCAAACTGAAATGATAAATTGAAAACTCCATAGTGCTCATAAGATTAAAAACAAGTTAGAGTCCATTGCTGACTATTGTGGAGTCATTATCTATTCTCTGCATGAGCCCACCAATATCAACAGGACCCTGAATCTTGACACATTCCTTCCCATTGCTGACTATTCTGGTTGATAGAAGGGTTAAAATCAGCCTGTCACATCCATCTGTTAGTACCATGTCTGCTCCTTGGAACCTTTCTCAATAGATATGTTACCCTACTTTCTATCAGCAGCAGTGCAGTTATTTGAAAGTATAAGGCACCTGTAAAACCTTGACTGTTCCTTCTCCAAGCTGAACACTCACTCTTCTTATGAGAAGCATCAGATGGCTCCCCATTTTCTAAAGATTTAGGTCCAAACTTGCTGGCCCCTGTTGGGTCCTTTAGCCCCATTTCCCCTCAGCCCCTCATGAAATCCAGGCACACTGGACTCACTGTTCATTTTGCCTGGCAGGTCCTTGTCTCCTCCATTCCCTGTTCCCTTACCACTGAGGAAATTTGAACACCACTCTTCAAGGGCCAAATTCAGATGTTATCTTTTCCTGGTAGGTTCTTAATACCCCCAGGCAGAATTAATTTTCTTTTCTCTGTGTTCCCATAGCACTTTTAAAGCAGCAATTGTATGAATACATCCTAGTGATTTGTTCATGTGTCCATCTTCCCCAGTAGACCGTGATCAGTTTCACAGGAGAAAACTGTCTTTTTTATATCCTCAGTGCCCAGCACAAAGCAAATACTCAACAAAGGGTAGTTGCATCAAATTGACTTAATAAATCATTCCTGACTTCTCACTCTCCTGTAAACATGTGGGTTTGTCACTGTCTCTCTTTAAAAGTGACCCCCAGAAGGAAAAATCTTCTTTCAGATGTTAGCCCATCAATGTGCTAAACACCCATCTGCTCTGGAAATTATATATTTCTATTAATGTCACCTCAGGCTGCATGGGTTTTGTTCATAGACACATTCACTATAGCATCCCAGAAAACTTTGCTGAATATTGTGATTATTTCCCCCCTGGGCAAACCACTAACAGACTAGATTTTCCTTTGCTTCTACTTTCTTATCTAAAAGTAAGTCCTTATATGTATCCTTGATACATTTAATATTGTTTCCCACTAAAAAAGATAACTTCATCCTTTTGAACTAAAACAGTACATTTCAGTTTTGATTCTATCATCTGTTATATCCACTCTCTCTTCCAGTTTGATGTCACCTGTGTATGGAAAGATAATGTGAAATATGTGCATTTGCCTTCTTAATAATTATTAAGTGTTTAGTAAACAAAGAAAAAATATGCAGTACATCTATTTATTGGGAAGTTTTTGTTGTACTTCTAGAATCCAAGATTCTAAAATATCACCATCAAACCTTCCAAAGATGCATGGAGATATTCTTTAGATAGCTTTGGGGAAAACATGTTATCATTAAATATATGTGTCTCTGTCTGATATGTTTCTAAACCCCACAGAGCCTCTTATGTGCCCCTGCTATGCACTCATGTAGCATCCTGTACCTTCATTATCATAAAACTTGTTACAGTTTATGTAACAGCTTATATAATTGTCTCTCCTCCTTTCTAGTCTACTAATTTCTGTTTTACTCAATACCCCAAAAGCTTAGTACATTACCTGGTTAAAATTTTATTTGAGTCAAATCTACTTTAGATCAATAATGTAATATGTATAAATACTATATTATTTTGTGTGGTTCAACACTGAATCGGTAACTAAAAAGAGGGTTCCTGATATTTCAAAGTAGCCAGAGACATTATTTCAGGGACAGCTGAGGCAGTCAGCAGATTAAATTATCTATCTGATAGTACCATTTCAAGTTTACCATAAACAAATTGCCTTAGTCCGCTTTGTGTTGCTATAACAGAATGCCTGAGGCTGATTAATTCATAAAGAAAAGGGGTTTATTCAGTTCATGGTCTGTAGCCTGGGAAGTTGAAGAAGCATGGCACCTGCATCTGCTCAGCTTCTGGTGAGGGCTTTTCATGCTGTAGGACAACATGGCAGAAAGTTAAAGAGGAAATGGACACATAGAAAGAGGCAAAACCCTAGGGGCATCTTGGCTTTATAACAACCCACTTTCTCAGGAAGTAATCCATTCCTGTTAGAAATAATTCAGTCTCAAAAAAAGTGAGAACTCACCCCAAGAACAGCACCAAGCCATTCATGAGGGATCTGCCCCCCCTGACCCAAACCCCTCCCATCAGCCCCACCTCCTGACATCACTACATTGGACACCAAATTTCAACATGAGTTTTGGTGGGAACCAACCACATCCAAACCATAGTGCTAATCAAATAATGACTTACATTTAGCAAAATTTAAAATCTCCCAAAATATAGACTGTAATACTTTATCAATAAACAGTATTAATTTAATCATTCCAAGGTTTATTAGTATTTGTTGCCCTGAAACTTCTATAGAACTCTAGGCTGCAATGCTAAATCAACTGGGAGATCTTAGGCACTATTCAAGAGGTTTCATCCCTGAAGCACTGAAAAGATCTTATTAGAAGCCACTCACACCATGAAGAAGGTCCCACAGCAGGAAGTCTAAGGAGAGTGTTATGGTGAGATTTCAGTAAAATTTGGTTTTTAAAAATTCCACTCTGCAATACATCCCCATGATATAAATATTCCTAATTACCACAGAATTTCAGTTCCTTCATACAAAATGCTGCATTGCAATTTAGGGCTGCTTAAAATTATCTTAACTTGTCCCATTTGGCAAACTAAGCCAGGGTCTTAGGAAATGTGGAGCTTATAGTATGCAGCAATGTGGGCAGCTTTGAGAGCTCCCTCCTTCCGGATCTGAAAGAGCCTTTTTGTTGACCCTACACTGAATTCTTATGTTTGAATGTATCACCGGGATGCAACAGTCAGCTTCTGGGCTAAATGGCAAGAGAAACTTCTGGAACACCAAGACAGAAAAATGTAAAGTGAAAATTATCAAAACTAAAGTTTTTCTGATATGGTTTGCTGTTTAATGTACATTCAGTTAAGCAGCTCCAAAGAAAAGTAGGTTTTCTGTTAGCAAATGCTGAAGACACAAAAATACCATTCCTGTCTGCTTTCTTTCTTGTTGGTTAGCTATTGGATGCCATGAAAAATAAAATATGTCTCTATTTCCTGAGCCCACCCAATATTTTAAATATCTTGACATCTATATTTATGTTCTGTCGAAAAGGTAATAATACGAAGGATTTATTATAAGTCCTGAGCTTTCTTCTTCGAATCACAGCAGCAATTATTAAGGATTCACATGCACATGGCATTGAGTCTGTGCTATGACGTAGTCTTGTTTGCCAGAAATTGACAGTTGAAAAGTGACCCCATTAGGCAAGAAAGATTTTTCCTCCTTCTCCTACCACCATAACAAATAAAGTACAAGAAGTAAGAAAATGAATAAACATTACACTAATAAAACGCCACAGAGACTGGAAAACTGTGAAGAAAATGTGGAAGAGGGAGGGGAAAAGATAAAGAGGAAGCGGACCATTAATATAAATAGATTTTAAAAATGATTGCATGTGGCAAATGAGATCACACTGTGAGTCAAACATGCCTTTGTATCTACAACACTGCCAGAATTCTCTTTTAATGAGGACCAAGGCATCTCCTGGGGAATAACTTACCTTAGGCCAGAGTCAAATCCCTCCAGCTTGGTGGAAGATCAGTGCTCAACTTTCAGGAGTGGGATGTACACCAATAGTACCCGTGGATCTACCCTTAAAGCCAACTAAGAAGGCAGCCTGAGAATGAACACTGAAAGGGCTGTTTTCATAAAAAATCTGTAAGAGATTTTTCTTTTTTCTTTTACTTTTTATTTTAATGAAAATCTTTGGCATGCTGTGCCACTACATTGATAAAATGCACCATGAAAAGTGCCCTACTTCATTGGAGAATTCATTATGACTTCGTGGAGCAGAAAGAGTTGGCTCATTGGCAGCAATTTGAGTGGATTTGGTTCGCTGGAGGTATCATGTTACTGCGTCATCAGTGCAGGTGGGGCTGACTGGCTTTGACAGTAAAAGGAGGTGGCCCAGTGCCAACAGGGGCAGCAGAGGGGCTGCAGGAGTGCCTTCATAGATGCCGCACAGATGCTGCACACTGCCAGAGCAAATCTCAGGGAAGGAAAGATGGGGCGTCATACAGTGATTGTGAAGATTATGCTCTTGAGCACATGTGAAACACCTTTCGGAGCTCCTGAATTTAGTAGGCAAGGGTGAATTTTGAGAATAGACTGAAAGAGTTAACCATAGTTAAGCCTGCCTGGGGTGTAGGTTATGAATAGAGTAACATGTAATTTATTGTACAAACAGAGATGCCTTTGAAAATGAAGGATTTGCTACTAATAATTACACCAAGACAACAGATATAAACTATGACTGCCCTGGACAAACTGGAATGCATTGTCACACTATGAGGGACTGTCACCTTCGATTGTTAGTTTTGCCATGCTTGCTCTTTTATTCTAACCATGTACTGTTTTAAAATCAGAAAAATATAAGACACTATAATTTACCAGAAGAAATAAAAATCGAGTACGAGGGCAAAGATAGCAGCATAATGTTTACATTGTTAGGGTGACCCTAGTCCCCCCAACCATCATCCCCCTCCTGACCCCACATCACAGTTTAGAAAATTACATCTGCAAATTATTCAACATCCACTGGCGACCCCAGAGCAGCCTACCTTCCTTAGCAAGGCCATGCTGTCCCAGCAGTTCTGATGTGCCCTCACTTTAGTTATTTGATTTTCTGCTTTTTCTCTCTGAGATAGTAGCCTTCCAAGGTTCAAAGGGACATTTGAATGTTAAAAGCCTGGAGGTAAAGTTTACAAACACAATGCTTCCTCATCACAGCTGGCCACATCAGTCCTGTCAAAATGCTAATGGTAGAATGTTTCTTTATAAATAGAGTACCCATGAGATCAAGATCTTAATTTACTTTGTTCCTAATTCACAAAGGGAAGTTGCCTTCTTTTTTAAAACTAAGTTGAGGTTCTGTCTTTAGTAAATTCTTACATGTAGCTGGAAATTTCCATTGCAAAGTGTACTTGTTTTGTTTTAAGCTCTTTCCAAGTGACTTTATAACTTTTTTAACGTTTTGGCGTCGGCACTCTTCCTCTGTCCACAGAGCTGGTAAAGACAGAATTATGAACTCTTCTGGCGTTGTCCCAGCCCACTTCTTGGAGCCTTTATGAGAGAAGAAGTTTGGCAACTCACCTCCCAGTGCCCACAGGGGTGCAAATGAAGCTGGAGCTGAAGCCATCTATGAGAGCAGCTGGACTGCCAGTCCAATGACTATAACTCTGATAGCTCCACACAAGTTGAGAAGCAGCTTTTCAGCTGTGACAGGCAAGGCCCAGCAGGGGAAGTAGCTCACTGTCTGGTTTGATTTAAGATCACTGCCAAAAAATTTTCTTCATTAACTTCACAGTTATCTAAGCTCTATGAAGGCAGGGGTTTTTGTGTTTTGCTTATAGGAGTATGCTCAGGGCCTAGAACAGTGCCTGGGTTATAGTAGGAGCTCAAAAATATTTGTCGAATAAAAGCATATTTCTTCACCTTCAAAATGTCAAGATGGGATATTAATAAAACCTGTATCCAGGACTGATAGTCAGCTGATTTCCATTCTGATATATCATTTCAGTGTCACAGGATTGTTGTGGTGATTGTATGAATTAAAACATGAATTAAAGCACTTACAATAAAACCTGACACATATCAAGTGGTTAATAAATGTCAGCTGCCATCAATTTCAAGGCACAGAGGTTGACACCGAGGAAGATTGGGGAACACTGTAGGATCCCAGCAGGGGGCACTCCTGAGTTCAAGAAGCAATAACTGGTTCCTGCTGGGTCCTACTTGACTATGGGGAAGGACAGTTGCCAATGATGCTGTAGTCCTTGCTTCATGGGCCCAGGCTTACACCTGGCCAGAGGTCATACATTAACTTGTCATCAATAAATGGCATTTATGCCATCTGCACATGGATACTGTTCTCTTAGTGAGGAGATGGCAAAGTTCTGAAAGAATGGATCACAGGGCAGATAAGTTTTATCAGAGCGTGGGACAGTGCCCAAGAAGGGATAGCCCAATACTGCCAGGGTGGGGCACTTTGGAGGAGAGTGGCTAAGAGTGAGTGGCACGGGGAGCAGGGTGTAAGCAGAATAGGTAGGGGGGCTCTGCCACTAAAATATCTATTGACTACCCAGGAATAAAATGTGTTACAAAGATGAGAAGCTCAACAGTATTCTCAGAAGGCTTTTCAACTTAATTTCCCTGTTCCTTTTCCTAATTAGAACCTTGATCAATTTAGGATACAGTATATGGTACTCTTTGGTTAGGTTTATGTGTATGTAAGAATCAGGTCAATTGTAGAAGGTTAAACTGGATTAGAATGTATACTATTTGTGCATTTGGTAACAATAATTCTTATACTTCCCATTTGTATAATGCATTGTATATATTATATACAGATAATAATCTATATTATATAGAGGTTATATTATATATAGATTTCTATATATAATCTACTTTGTTACTATATATAATCTATATACATTACATATAAAATCTATTTTGTTACAATAACTCTGTGAGGTTTATAGGGGATGTAGTATGAACTCTATTTAACATGTGTAGAAAATAAGGCATGAAGAATTAAGAGGCAAGGATAGTGGTAAAAGTCCCTGGGGATGGGAAATGGCATTTTCGTTAGTGTTCTACTAATCGTCAGAGCAGGGTTTTCTGACTTCAGATTCAAAAAAGATTTTTCTTTTCAAGCATACTTGGCTACCCCTCACCCACAGATTAATTGAAAAAGCTTCTGGGCTCCACCAGTTTTGCTCCCTATTAAATATACTAATTGAAGAGCAAACTAATTCTGTCTCTAAACCAGTCATTCTAGAGGATATGCAAGATGACCCACTGAAGTGTTGGAAGAAAATGCTAGGATTTACAGTTTTATATTTTTTGGATGTGTTAAAATGAACATAATTCATTACTACAGTATACCTTAATACATATATAAGCACATATAGCAATACATGTGTAGAATTTATAAGTAAGTGTATTTACAAATATTGAGATGCATACTTTTTTTTTTTTGGCACAGAACCGCAGTTTCAAGAAAGACTGGCAACCATTGTTCTAAACTGGTAACTACTCTACCTACAATGTCTGCATTGTTTTTAGCTAAGCACACTTCTCCTTTTGTTTTACCTTATGTTTTGTGCAACAGAGGGTGGCAACGAGCTGCTGTACCCAGAATAACAGAAGCTTTGAGTGAGAAAGGCCTGGAGGGATCAATTCGCCTAACCCCTTCATTTGACAGGGGAAGAAACTGAGGCTTACAGGGGTTAAGGGATTTGCCCAAGCTGAAAAGTTGAGGTTGAGCTCAACAATATGGGAAACGGATGGAAAATCCAGTTAATGCTTAGCTAGCCATGGTAATGTGTCATGGAGTTGGCTTGCAGAAATTAAATCCGTTAATAATCCCCAAACCTTATTTTAGCCAGAACTTTTAAATGCCTCACCTATCAACCCTTTTTTAAAAGATAATAATGTAATGGTTTTGTTTCTCTGGGCACCCATGAATACTGCATTAAGCAAAAATGTCACACATACAGTGTGCCCTGGGTATCTGGTTATAAATACAAATGTGGAGACTACTTATAGCTATATAATTATATATATATCAATTAGAAAAAACAGTTGCATTGAAACAAGTATACTACCCATCCTGGCCTGTTGTAAAGAATGGAACAAAATTATAATATTCTCCAACAGGCAAATTATTGCTCACTCAAAATCCACTGAATCTTGAAACACTACCAGTTTTCTTCTAAAGGGAATTTCATCTCAGAATTTAAGACCAGATCAATGCTGCACTATTTATCACATGCTAAATTCTAGTAAGTATTTGTTTCTATTTCTGGACTCACCATTCTCTTCCATTAATTTAGTCATGTACTTCATTACCAGTGCCTAAGGGTTTTATTTACTGAAATATTATGACCAATAAGATTAGTATCCTTTCATCACTCTTAAATCTTATAAAGTTTAAACCCCACCACTAGGCAAAATCATTTTGCCTGTTCAAAAGCAAAGCAAAACAAAAATGCCCAAAACTACCATCACGAACAAACAGCATACTGGTATTATTGGAAAACTCAGGAAATTTATAGATTGATTTAGGGAGAATTGACTTTTTAATATTGAGTCAGTTTTTCCCTAAAGTAGGATATTTAAATCTTTTTAAATTACGATATACCTTTCCATTTATTAAATCATTTATGTTTCCTTGGCAAATGAGATTTTTCGTTCATATATATATATATATATATAAAATATATATATATTTTTTTGAGACGGAGTCTCGCTCTGTCACCCAGGGTGGAATGCAGTGGTGTGATCTCAGCTCACTGCAACCTCTGCCTCCCAGGTTCAAGAGATTCCCCTGCCTCAGCCTCCCGAGTAGCTGGGACTACAAGCACGTGCCACCATGCCCGGCTAATTTTTTTGTGTTTTTAGTAGAGACGGGGTTTCACTGTGTTAGCCGGGATGGTCTCCATCTCCTGACCTCTTGATCCGCCTGCCTCAGCCTCCCAAAGTGCTGCAATTACAGGCATGAGCCACCGCACTGGTCCGAAAACTGTTGACATTTTTTACCAATAATTCAATCTGTCAATTTATTGAATTTTTCTATCGTTTATAACCATTTTTTAGTTGATTCTCTTGGGGTTTCCACAGGTACACCCATCTCACTTGTGAATAATGACTATTTTGCCTCTTCCTTTCCAATTTTTATGCTTTTTACTTTGTTATCTTATGTCTCTGCATTACTACTTCTAGAGCAATTATTTAATCGCTTCAATTATTGATGACGTGGAATTTTTTCCATTCTAATGATATTGCAGTGAACATTTTAGAAATGTTCACTGCAGCATCATTAGAATGGAAAACAGCAGTTTGGTCATTTTGTTAAGATAGGTTTCTACAAGTGTAATTTGTTGGGTCAGAAAGAATAATTTTAAAAAGCTTTTAGGGCCGGGTGTGGTGACTCACGCCTGTAATCTCAACACTTTGCCTGTAGTCCCAGCTACTGGGGAGGCTGAGGCAGGAGAATCACTTGAATCTGGGAGGCGGAGGTTGCAGTGAGCCGAGACTGCACCACTGCACTCCAGCCTGGGCAGCAGAGCGAGACTGTGTCTCAAAAATAAAATAATAAAATAAATAAAGCTTTTAGAACATGGTATATTAGTTTTTCATAAGGTTCTCCTGGTGACCATCATCACCTTACTTCCACTGTCCACAATCTGAAGGCTCCCAGCACAGTTGCCCTCTTTCCTCTCCTTCATCCAGGCACTTTCTCTTTGCTGTCCACCAAGGGAGGGGTCCCTGAACCCTGGGCCACAGACCAGTAGTGGTCTGTGGCCTGTTAAGAGCTAGGCTGGACAGCAGGAGGCGAACACCAGGCAAACAAGCAAAGTGTCATCTGTGTTTACAGCTGCTCCCCATTGCTCACATTACCACCTGAGCTCCACCTCCTGTGAGATCAGCAGTGGCATTAGATTCTCAGAGAAGCATGAACCTTATTTGCACTGCACCTGTGAGGGATCTAGGTTGCATGCTCTTTAGGAGAATCTAATGCCTGATGAGCTGTCACTGTCTCCCATCACTCCCAGGTGGAACCATCTAGTTGCAGGAAAACAAGTTCAGGGCTCCCACTGATTCTACATTATGGTGAGTTGTATATTTCATTATGTATTACTATGTATTAATAATAGAAATAAAATGCACAATAAATGTAATGCACTTGAATCTTCCCAAAACCATCCTCCCTACCCCAATCTGTGGAAAAATTATCTTCCACGAAACCAATCCCTGTTGCCAAAAAGGTTAGGGACAGCTACATGAAGGGGATACCTGGAAATCCAAATGAAGCCTCCCCAAATCAAACCAAAGTCAAATACAGAAACAAACTTCCTTCTCAAGTAACACAATAAACAATTTGGAGATGAAATTCAATGATTTGGACAGTATTTGCTCTTTGCTCACTCTACTTGTGAATCATCCCAGGTTCCCTTTTGCCCTCATTCTTCACATTGTAAAAGATACTAAGTCCAGTAGATTATACGTTAACTTCTCTCCTATTCATCCTGTAGTTTCTATCCCCACTGTCACTGCCCTAGTTCAGGAACTCATCCTCTCACACCTGGACCACTATAATACTAACTGATTTGATCACTTCTGCTCAATCCTTTCTTTACTTCTATTCAGGACCCTTTAATGGCAGGAAAACTTAGGATGACCACCTTCTATCCATCTAGCTTATTTTTCTCTCCCCACTTATCTACTACCCTCTAGCTTTTCCCCACTATTTGCAGTTCCCTGACAACTTGCAATTTCAAAGTCTCTGTGCTTTGAACTGCGCCATCCAGCTGCAGGAATCTCCTCCTTAGCACCCCAAACCTCCAACAAAATCCTTTTCTACCCTATAAGAGCCAGTTGAAGGGCCACCTCCCTGGTGAAACATTTCCCATTCCACCCTTCAACCCCACTCCAAACCCATTATCAGAGGGCTATCCATTGATGGAGTATGATGATATCTCTTGAGGTTGTTTTTGAGCCCAGTTGCCAGGGCTCTTACATAAGTGGAACAAAGACTGATGAAAATTGGCAGGGACTGGCTCTTCCTTTTTAGTGAATTGTATTTGTTTAACATGACTTTGGGGTTATTCCATACATATCTATTTCCACCATCAGTATAAACACAGAATTGGCATTGCAGAAGGGGCCTCTAACAAGAGCCGGGGGAGGGATGCTTAAAAGGTAAGAGTTGACTCTGCGGTCTCCCTGCTCTCACATGCCTCAGGGAACTTGCCTTGCTGACTGTTAATGATCACCTTAGGCCCTGAAGCACTATGATGAGAGACCCCCAGTGACTGTTGCAACTTCAGACAAAGCTTCTGGTTCTCCTCCCTTTTTTTTTTTTTTTTTTTTTTTTGGTGGGAGAGAGATTGAGAATTTTCGTTTGCTAGTTTGCTAGAAGGCAAAAGAGAGCTGGAAAAGAGGGGGTGGTCTTACATGTCATCTAATCCAGCTCTTCACTTCCAGAAAGACCTGAGGAACTAACCAGTACCTCCTGTTTCTAAAGGTCTATGGGAATAAAAACTCTTTGTTCATCCAAGCCAGCACTTGTCAGCCCTCATCGGCAAGGAGTTCCTAGGTCTCACTTCCTATCCCTACCTGGTGCTCACCTCCTCATCTCCTCTGTTTCCCATGAACAAGAAGAACAGCTGGTCAGTTGCCTCTAGGGTGACTGGCTTAATATCTCTCATTTGCTGGGAATAATAGTGAGCAAGAGTTTTCCCTGAGTGAAGCGTGTTGCCTGCTAACTAATACCAGAAGAGCCTCCCTCTGATTCATGTTCTGCAAAAGTGGGTGAGGTAAGGGGAGTGGAGAGAGTCTTGAATGTAAGTGCAGCACACCCAGTTCCTTGAGGAAATGGGAAAGGTGTTTCCATCACACACCTGGGCAATGAATTTTGCTTCCTACAGCACAGCTGCCTTCTGCAAACCATTCCAAATCAAACCAATTTATTCCAAATTCCACTGCAATATCTGTTAATATCTAGTGAGATGTTCAAAGTAAGTTAACCATCTACTAGTTATGGGGGTTCTCTTTTTTTATTTCATCGAGAAACACAGACAAAACTGCTAAGATATGTTTCTGTTGCTAGACCTTAGTCTTATCACAGTTTGAAACTGTAGAAAATCAATTACGTGCTTTGAATTACTCCTCTTCTTGGCGCAAAAGCATTTCTTCATTCTTTCGGGATAGTGAACACTTTGCAACATCTACCACTAACAGCCTGTTAGGATTCTCTGCTAAATTAATGTAGTACAGATAAAGCAAACAGAAGGCTGGTAGAATGCTAAACATCTCCTCTTTCCTCTGTGGCTGGCTCCTTGCAGCTTGGGACCATTCTGCCTTGCTGCTACAACATCTGGACAGCATTCAAGGTTGTTTCTCAAG